>NC_000002.12:230216890-230519921 GCF_000001405.40 Homo sapiens | reverse complement strand
CACTTAGAGTCCTTCTTCTTGCAAGTACTTAGATAAGTGGACCCATGTAACCCGGGATGGTCAAAAGCAGCAGTGGCCAAAATGGGGATCTTTTGAAAATGCCTAAGCTGATGTATTACCATACACAATTGGAAAAAGCTGGTTTTAGAACCAGACAAACTGACTTACTTCTGATAGCAGTGAGATGCTCCTAAAAGAAATTCTGGGGAAAAAAAATGGCCTTCATTGAAGAGATGAGCAAAAGGCCATCCCACACTATTTCTGATTTGAAAAAGACTTCAGAAGCTTTCTCCCTTTCATTCCAATTTCTTCTCCTCCTTCTACCCCTATGCCTTCATATTCTTCCTTAACTGAATTTATTCCTTTCTACTTGTTCTCTTGGCTCCCATCTGTCTCTTAGGTAGAGATTTTTGGAATGTCACAATACACACATTTCCTTCTCTCAAAAGGGGGAAAACGTATTTACGTTTGGAACAGAAGGAGCAAACAGAACAACTAAAGAATGAAAATGAAACAATTAAAATTATCACAATTATCACCAACAATTTTTTCTGACCCAAGACTAACGAATGACACCGATGAGTTATTGCAAGCTTTGCTGGATCACTTATGCTCCCAATCTCCCACTGACATTGGTAAAACATATTCAACCACCCCCATTAAAGTGGAAGTAAACCCAATTAAACTCTTTATCCAATATCAGACAATACCCTTTAAATGCCCTGCTGGACTTCACAGTCCCTTGGAAATGTAAAACTTCATTAGCCATATGGAAGGATTAAATTCTTTCTCTGTGCTTTGAGATATAAATGTTTTACACTCATTAAGGGCTTCAGTCATGTAGGACAGATAACTTTAACTTGTACCATTTTGAAAGGCACAATTTAATTCAATTCTCCTTTTAAAACTAGTGAAATTTACCTGATTCATGACCAAAATTTTAAAATCAAAGCTATAAAACCTCTCTGTAGTAACAGACTGACTTATAAATACATTAATGCTCAGGAATTAGTAGTCCCAAACATCTAAGTTCACATGACTTGAATAAATCTTTTGATAAGTATGACTGATTAAATATTTTTGCTTTAATAAAACAACTATCTTCTAAGTTATCAGCAAAATACTCATATATTTAACTTTAAGATTCTTTCTTAAGTGAACATCTGATATTCACAGGCTATAAAATTGGTTGACAGGAAAATAACTTGAAATGATGACTAGCTTTGTCTAATATATCAATTTTCATAAGTAATCTAGGTAAACTGTTAAAAATAAATGTAAATGGGATAAACATATATAAATAAACTTTTAATGTAATTTATAATCTTAAAGTTTTGCTAAATTAAATTCAAAAATAGATGCTCATTAAACGTCTAGGTCAATTCCAATTAAGATAAAAAATGTTTTTGTTATGGGAAAATGTTTCTAAAAATTATAAAAGAGTTCTCATTTGTAAGATACTGTCATGTGATAGACAATTCAAGATTTCTTATTTCCTAGGTTTTCAATAAAATTTAAAGTTACTGAAAGTTTAAACATTCTAATTAATATATATAATTCTAAATTTAAAATGTGTCAAAAAAGTAAGATGTGTTTTTCATGACAGAAAATTATAAGAAGGCATAAAAATATGTTCTTTACTGAGAAAAAGTAATTGTGTTTAATTCAGGGGTTATTTAAGGTTGTTTTAAAATAAGGAGCAATAAAGAAAGGAACCAGTAAGAAGGAGAGAGAAAAGCGAAGAAAGTTATAAATATTTTTGGTAAGACAGGTTAAAAGAGAATAATTTTGCATGAGAAAAAAGTCTTGTAAGTTTTTTGTTCTAAAGTAAAATGTCTAGTTATTTAAGAAAGTACAGAGAAAAGCAAAAAGTCCAAGCGTTTCGCAAACAGTCTAAGTCATAATAAGGTTTGTGAAAAGAAACCCTATGAAATAAATTTTGTATATGATCAAGTTGGCTATAATTAAAAGGAAATTCTAAGTCTTTCTAAAGATTGAGATTTGATATTAAAAATAAACTAATAAAAAACAAAAAATTTG
Source organism: Homo sapiens (assembly GCF_000001405.40). Lineage (NCBI taxonomy): Eukaryota > Metazoa > Chordata > Mammalia > Primates > Hominidae > Homo > Homo sapiens. Next base: position 230,517,881 of record NC_000002.12, on the reverse strand, counting down.
GTCCCCTATGTTAGAACAACAAAGTTTGCTTAAAATATTGCTTTGCTTTTAATAAAATTAAAAGATACTGATTTTTAATTCTGATATCTCTTTCTTTTTAAAACTTTTTTTTTTTTTGAGATGGAGTCTTGCTCTGTTGCCCAGGCTAGAGTACAGTGGTGCAATCTCGGCTCACTGTAACCTCTGCCTTCTGGGCTCAAGCGATTCTTCTGCCTCAGCCTCCTGAGTATCTGAGACTACAGGCACATGCCACCATGCCTGGTTAATTTTTTGTGTATTTTTAGTAGAGACAGAGTTTCACCATGTTGACCAGGCTGGTCTCAAATTTCTGACTTCGGGTGATCTGCCTGCCTTGGCCTCCCACAGTGCTGGGATTACAGGTGTTAGCTATGGCGCCTGGCCCAAAACTTATTTTTATTGAGATAATTCCTGTATTGTCTTTATTAAGTTTTTGATTACTCAAGAAAACTGAGCTTTAAAAGAGCTAAGATTTTTACATCCATACAACTTTCTGTATTGCTTTTGAAGTCTTTTGATTATAACTCTGGTTAAATGAATAATTATTATTTTACAATGATCTGTGATTCCATTTTGATCAAGTGTTTTATACCTTTCTACATCTTTGGCAGGTTTCCCCAAGATCAACATCCTAAATTGTTTTTTTGGCCTAAAATTTACTTTGCTATTTTCCAGTTGGACCTCTGAGGGACCTGAAAGAATGTATCTCTCCTCTTGCAGAGATATTAAATGATTAGACTGATTTGGTAAATTGTATGGGAGAAACTGTCAAATGATACATAATACTAGATCTTCCTTCAGTTACACTTATGAGTATGTTATCGATAAAATGTTCCCCAAATTATATAAATTTATAAAAATCTGTTATCAGTCATAATTTTGATTAAGTCTTTTCTAAAGTAATATTTGTATAGATATGTTATTAATGTGAATATCCTAAAGAGTATATGACATTTGTAAAAATCTAATAGTTTTAATGGGACACTATCAGTCGTGATTCTGGTTGTTATCTTAAAATGCTGCAGGTAATCAAAATATCTAAATTTCCTTGTCAATTGGGTACTTCTATTAGATTTTAACCATGGCTATTCTAAGTTTTTGACATCCACAGTTACCGTTTTAAAATTTTCTCTACAAGCATTTGAAGTCAACTATAATCCAAAATTGCTTTTTTATGGAAAAGGCTCTGGCAAGTACTCTTGAACATAGGTTTCTGATAACTTTGGAGATCATATAGTTAGACTAGATAAAACTTCCAGAACTCTAATGAAAAACTGATGTCTTCATGAAGATTGCTAACCCAACACCAGCAAAATAAGAATTACATGAGACTAAATTGATGGAGGAATAAAGTGACTTTTATGACTTTTTGTTTGAAACATTGCCGATTCTTTTCATATTTTGTTTTCAAAAGTCAAGAAAACTTCTCTTTCTTTTAAGTTACTTATATCTGACAGCCCTTAGGTAAAGTAGACTTTTGTGAGCAAAACCAAAACAGTTACTTTTCTCTCTCTACATGAATTTGCCATAATTTGGAAACTATTCATAAACATTCTTATGACAATGGTTATTTGCATAAGTTCAATAATAATCTGTTTCTTTTGTAACAGGACAGATTGGAAACACTGATTATTTTACCAAGGCTTTGACTAGAGTGTCATATTTTCAAGTATGACAAGATTGTTTTGAGGGATTGAGATTGGCTTTGTGGAGCTAATAGACATGGAAGAAGACTGACCTGGTACCTTGTCTACACAGTTCCCTCATACGGTTTTTTAAAAATTGTATTTACTTAGAAGCATTCAGAATGTCAACAAAACAGCTGCAACTGTTTTTTTTTTTTGCAATTACAGAGTGGCATTCAGTTAACAGAACAACAAATGTTTTGTATAAGCTACATCAGAGACAACTGAAGGTGAAAAAACTACCATCCTCATATACAACTAATTTGTGCTGTGCACTAACAAGAACCTGCTTTAAATTTCCATGCCAATTTACAACCCCCATACTGTACCAGGCAAAGGTTAGTGGCTAAATACCACCAGGACAGGGCTATCTGAAGACACATTCGGTAGTGGTTAACTATACAAAAAAACACAGTGTACGGTTTAAAAACAAATCTTACACAGTCTTACGTTGAAGTTTTTTTCTTTAAAAGGAGTGAGTTGTGTACAGGCAGCTTAAATGCTTTATAGACAAGAAAAAAACTGCACTAGAAGCAACTTATTTATCATCATCTTCTTCATTTTCCTCCTCTTGTTCATCCTCTTCATCTTCTTCCTCTTCCTTCTTTTTCTTGCTTTTTTCAGCCTTGACAACTCTCTTTTTTGCTGAATTAGGCTTTCCTTTAGCTCGATATGCAGCAATATCCTTTTTGTATTTTTCCTTCAGCTTTGCAGCCTTCTTTTCATAAAACTGCTTGTCAGCTGCAGCGGTGTTATTCCACATCCCTGCCAGTTTCTTCACAACATCATCAATGGACAGGCCAGGATGTTCTCCTTTGATTTTTGGGCGATACTCAGAGCAGAACAGGAAAAAGGCCAAAGGAGGCCTCTTGGGTGCATTGGGATCCTTGAACTTCTTTTTTTTCTCCCCTTTAGGAGGGATATAGGTTTTCATTTCTCTTTCATAATGGGCCTTGTCCGCCTTTGCCATATCTTCAAATTTTCCTTTCTCTTTAGCAAAAATGGTCTTCCATGTCTCTGAGCACTTCTTTAAAAACTCTGAGAACTTGACTGAAGCATCTGGGTTCTTCTTCTTATGCTCCTCCTGACAAGTTTGCACAAAAAATGCATATGATAACATTTCACCTCTCAGCTTCTTAGGATCTGCTTTGTCCATGTTTAGTTATTTTTCCTCAGCAAGGTACAGAGTCGCCCAGGGCCTGTCCAGCTCTCACTTGCGCCAGCACTATCTCTATGGAGCTCAATGTACTGCAATCTCTTGTAGGTTTTTTGACCTCGTGTTAAGTAATGTCCCTTCCCAACAGGCCCAGAAACCTTGAGGTATTTGGGGGACTTCAAGAAAGGAGGAATTTACCCAATTCTTACAAGTAGTGCAGACACAATCTGATGATAAATCCTTGGCTTGGCTTTCTAGCCTGAAGAAGCTTTTGAAAGTCTAATCTAAAATGTCTAACGAAAAAGTTCCAGCAAAGCCAACTTAAAAGGAGTCTATATGGACAATCACTATTCCTGTTGCCTTTTATATAAATAATCAGGTCAAGTACAATAAGACTAAAACTTATATTGCAAATAAAATTGGCCTATGATTTTTCTTTGGCAGAAAAGGGAGATCGAAGAGAGAAAAATTATCTTTCAGAAGAAAATTATAGCATAGTTGTTATTAGATTCTAGCCCAGACCATTATTTTTGAGTTTCAAAAATTATTATTTGCTTGCAATTTGGACTTAATTATTTCCTGGCTATAATAAGTCTCTAAAGAAGAACCTGGATTTAATTTTCTTTCTTAGTTGGCTCCCTAATGGAACAGGTTTTTTTTCCCCCATTCTTGTACACAAATTCTCTTTTTGATTATAATTTTTGTGTGCATTATATTTCTGCTAGTCAATTATTAATGCTGTGAATCACTCATTGTTTTATTTCTTCCAAGAAAAGTAAAATTATGAAAGTCTGAAGACTAGCAACAGCAACTATAAATTGATGACTTGTTCATTTGGTTACTCTTAGGACTAATTTCTTTATTCTATTGTGTTTTCAAGTTGTTTGCTTGTATTCAACAAGCAACAGCAACTATAAATTGATGACTTGTTCATTTGGTTACTCTTAGGACTAATTTCTTTATTCTATTGTGTTTTCAAGTTGTTTGCTTGTATTCAACAAGCAACAGCAACTATAAATTGATGACTTGTTCATTTGGTTACTCTTAGGACTAATTTCTTTTTTCTATTGTGTTTTCAAGTTGTTATGATTATAATATTAGGTTGGTGCAAAAAAGTCATTGCAGTTTTCACCATTACTTCTGATGGCGAAAACCGCAACTACTTTTTTGCCTCAACCTAATAATAAACATAGTTTATTTTCTTGGCTATTAAGTCACTCATGATTTGCATTGTGCTTGCTTTCGATCCATGGCTAAGGCCAAAATACTGATTTCCCAGTGAGATGATTTATCATTCAGGAGAATAGCAGGTAGCTGTGTGTCATGACCTACCTCATCTTGTCAGCAAACTGGCCTGATTGCAATAACAAGGTTTTTTTCCCCCACCGAGGGACATGACCTCCTGGAATAAGCCTTCCCATTGACAAGGAATGAAGAACATCTATCCCCTTAACCTAGCAGATTGATCAGCAATACTTCCATGGGAAGATTTTTTTTTTTTTTTAATCAAAAAGGGAATGTGATAATCTACAGGTCACATTTGGCAGTTTAGTTTAAAAGTAAACAGGCTTTCCAATTAACCCACCTTGGGAAGGTCTTGTGATTCATGGTGAAATCTTGTCCCTGAATCTTATCATGAGTCTCTCAAATTGTTGACACAGTGATTAATGCATAACCCAGTGACCCTGAAAAGGACACTGATTTATTTCTGGATCTTAGAGTTTTACTGATTGTCTTGCATGGATACATTTGAGCCTGCATGTTGCGATCTGTATCCAATGATTGTAACTTCTGTATTGTATCCTTCAATGAGAAAGGACAGCTCTGGTGTGAGGAGTCCCTCTCCCTTCTCCTAAACTCTTCTACAAAACAGGGGTTTCCAACTTCCGGGATAAGGACCTGTACCAACTCATGGCCTGTTAGGAAATGGGCCACACAGCAGAAGGTTAGTGGTGGGCGAGTGAGTGAAACTTCATCTGTATTTACAGCAGCTCCCCATTGCTGGCATTGCTGCCTGAGCTCCACCTCCTGTCAGATCAGCAGCAGCATTAAATTCTCATAGGAGCACAAACCCTGTTGTAAATTCCACATGCGAGGGATCCAGGTTGCGTGCTTCTTTTGAGAATCTAATGCCTCATGATCTGTCTCTGTCTCCCATCACCCCTAGATGGGAACTTTTAGTTGCAGAAAAACAAGCTCAGGGCTCCCACTGATTCTACTTGATGGTGAGTTATATAATTATTTCATTATTTCAGTATCTATTACAATGTAATAATAATAGAAATAAAGTGCAGGATAAATTTAATGTGCTTGAAACATCCCAAAATCATCCTGCCCCCAACCCCATCCCGGTCTGTGGAAAAACTGTCTTCCACAAAATTGGTTCCTGGCACCAAAAAGTTTGGGGACCTCTGCTATAAGAGCACTTCAACTTGTGGCCAGTGCGGTGGCTCATGCCTGTAATCCCAGCACTTTGGGAGGCTGAGGCAGGTGGATCACGAGGTCAGGAGTTCAAGACCAGCCTGATCAGCATGACAAAACCCTGTCTCTACTAAAAATACAAAAATCAGCCAGGCATGGTGGCACACACCTGTAGTCCCAGCTACTTGGGAGGCTGAGGCAGGAGAATTGCCTGAATCCAGCAGGTAGAGGTTGCAGTGAGGCAAGATCGTGCCACTGGACTCCAGCCTGGGCAATGGAGCGAGACTCCGTCTCAAAAAAAAAAAAAAAAAAAAAAAAAAAAAAAGGCATTTCAATTTGTTAAAAACTCCCAATACTCCCAACTTTGTTGGTGTGTTTTATTGAGTCACTCCTCACATTTGGCTTTTAAGAAATCGTTATCAAATTATTTCTTCCTGGCCAGCACTGTGGCTCATGCCTGTAATCCTAGCACTTTGGGAGGCTGAGTTGGGAGGATCACTTCAGCTCAGGAGTTCAAGACAAGCCTGGGCAACATAGTGAGACCCTGGCTCTACAACAAATTAAAAAAATTAGCTGATGTGGTGGCATGCACCCGTAGTCCTGGCTATTTGGGAGGCTGAGGTGGGAGGATCACTTAAGCCCAGAAGGTTGAGGCTGCAGTGAGCTGTGATTGTGTCACTGCATTCTAGCCTGGGTGACACAGCAAGATCCTGTCTCAAAAAATTTATTTATTCCTAAACAGCCTTAATTTTGGTTGATAATGGAGCCTGTGGAATCAGGTTTGTACATCATTGAGCACCAGTCAAGAAGTGAGAATAAACATGCCTCATCAGTTGCCAAGTGGTGATGGTTTTTGTCCTAACCAGCTCAGCATACTGAGCCTAAACCTCCCTCAAGAGTGGCAATAGGGGCTTCATAAGAGACTCACTTTTCGTGTGTGTCTTCCTCTGCAGAACTAATGACAGAGTCCATACCTCGAACTCACCAGCTCGGCTCGGTCTGTTCCTTCTGGCTGACTGAGCTCTGTCTGCACCTTGGAGCAGATATTTGGGATTTTCCTTTCCATTCCCACCACCTACTTGAAAATGCTTTTATTTTCTGACATTTGATCCTTCTCCCTAATCGGCAGGCCAGCCCTGTCCATTACTACTTCAAGTTCTTGTCTCTGGAGGCCTCGGTGATCTAGAGCTCAGCCTCCTATACTCACTTTCTAAGGGAAATGAGGAAATTTGAAGATTTCTACTGAAACAAAAGGCTGCTTTTGCACTGAGACACCCAATCCCAGACCCAGGTACCTGGCTTGCATCTTCTAATCACACACAGCAACATACTCCAACTGAGACTGAGCATGCTTCGGGGAAAGGCAGTCATGACATAGTGTGCCTGGAGAAAGGCCTGACTTATTTTGGGGTCATAGTCGGAAATTTATACTTACACAAGGGTCAACTAAGGTATTGTTGTGAGATTCCAGTATTCTCTGTTGAAAAAAACAGAAAGATTGGTACAATATTGAGTGTGATTTTTCATTAACCCCACATTTGAACAGACTTCTTTATTTTTAAGGGATTCATGCCACAGCCCTTCTTTTGTTTCATGTCTGCTTTTATGGACCTGTACATCTAACTGAAGAATAAAAAAGCACTAAATTATGTGTCAGTGACAGTTTGGCCCAATGCAAGTGCCATTTCCTGGCTCTCACACCCAAGGCAGGCCTTCGTGAAACCATTCAGGGAGACTGAGCTGGAGCAACTCTATCGGTCCTCCTACTTCAAGGGGCCTGCAGGCATGTTTGTCTAAATTTGGAAGTGTCCAGGTGCAGTGGCTCATGCCTGTAATCCCAGCACTTTGGGAGGCCGAGGAGGGCAGATCACAAGGTCAAGAGATCAAGTCCATCCTGGCTAACGTGGTGAAACCCCGTCACTACTAAAAATACAAAAATTAGCTGAGTGTGGTGGCGCGCACCTGTAGTGGGCTGAGGGAGGAGAATCGCTTGAACCCGGGGGGTGGAGGTTGCAGTGAGCTGAGATTGCACCATTGCACTCTAGCCTGGTGACAGAGCTAGACTCTGTAAAAAAAAAAAAAAAAAAAAAAAAAAAAAAAAAAAAAAAAAAAAAAAAAAAAAAAAAAAGGAAGTGTCATTCCATCCAGAGAAGCTGCAAAGGGAATCGGCCGACTCTTCCTCCACAGCTCCCAGTGACCACAGGGCCCAGAGTCTTGGACACCATGCAGGTGTCCCAGGAATAACTCTAACCCTTTCTGCAGCTCTCCAGGAACACATCTTTGAAGACAAAATGCCTCCAAGATCCCCAGTACTGTAGCTCTTCTCCTGAAGGTAAGCACCTCTCCACTTTCTCCTGAATCTTGAGAGCTTGCTTTGACCTAGGGTATCTGTGGAATGAAACAATGACTGCTAAAGCTTTTACCTGTAGCTCAAGGCAGAGAGGCCTTAGACAAACCACTCAGTGGGATCCAAGGCATGATGATAGAAGAGGTGGCCATATTACCACCTGCCAGAAGCAATCTGGGCCTTTTGGCTAAGATAAAGTATAGCAGCTTAGTGGCCTAGAATCTCCCACTCCATCCCATGAGTTATTCACCCAGGTAAGACAATAAGGTTGACAGAATCCTTAAGGTTCATCCTTTTGGCCTCCTTTGTTTTGCATTATTTCATTGGCCAAGCCCATCACCTGGAGCTTTGTAGTGGCTCCACAGTTGTTTGTTTAATGGATACATAAGTGCATGAACAAGTGAACACAATTGTCACTTGGGAGAAGAGGTTTCTTAGCAGCCAGTAAACGATTAGCTTGGACTTTTATGACTTATTATCCTGGGGTATCTCAGCTATCACCAGCAGGTTTAACAAAAAACTTATAAGCAGGAAAGCTGGCAACAATAGCAGTTACCACGCGGTGCTGAGAGTGACACAAGCATTAGAAACCGAGGGGAGAGGAGGGAAGATAGACCCTCCGGGGAGATCCTCTGAGAACCGAGGCAATTTCACCTCTAGAGCTGTGGGCCCTCAGGGAATGGAGAGAGGGTGCCTGTGATGAAGGGATGGGAGATGGCCAGCTCAATTGATTAGCCCAGACTGCATCAGCCTTGACTGTCTGGCAGTGGGTAGACATGTTTGATTTTAATAATTATATCAAATAATGTCTTTCTCCAGAAAACCCAGTGGATACAGAGCCTAGTCACTGAATCTCTAGTCATAAAGCCAGTGGAGCAGGTAGCCCCAGGAGCCAGCTTTGTAAAGATTGTGACTTCCTGGTATGGCAGAAATATCCAAGGTCACCCATGTCAGAGCTTAGGAAAATGGAAGTTCTTCCATCTCCTTCCTTCACCAGGTTCTCTCTTATACCCAGCCTTGGAGAGGCCATGGAAGGCATCAGTGATCTCACCATTTTTCCATAGAATACATATAGTATGAAGACCACTGGTCTATGAACTCCACATACTACCTCCACAGAGGGAGAATTTCACCTTCACAGATAGAAGTGAGGTCTGTGCAGCCCTTTTACTGGGGCCAAAGGGCCTCTCCACAAAGGAAAAGATTTTCTAGGTCAGCAGCCTCACAGGGCACTCTGCCTCCCAGTCCAAAATTTTCACCTGAAGAACTCGCGTGTGTGTGTGTATGTGTGTGTGTGTGTGTGTGTATGTGTGTGTGTGTGTGTGTGTGTGTGTGTGGTGGAGGTAAAAGATAAAAGAAAAGGAGAGAATGTTTTTTGTTGTTTGCTTCCCTGGGTGACATATGCCTATATATACATTTTAGGGGGAATTCTCCATTAGGTCATGTGTAGTGACCATGGGATGTTTCTAGGGGAACTTTTGCTTCATATTTATTTCTAAAATATAGAATCCAGAAAAACCAGTGAAAAACAACCAGTGTTTATGTTGAGGTTGCAAAGGCACACTGTTTTGTGCATTTCAAACTCATGCTTATTTTTCCAATGCCAGCTCTATCTTTTATATTTAAAGAAAGTATGGCGCCAGGCATGGTGGCTCATGCCTGTAATCCCAGCCTTTTGGGAGGCTGAGGCGGGCAAATCACATGAGGTCAGGAGTTTGAGACAAGCCTGGCCAACGTGGTGAAACTCCATCTCTACTAAAAATACAAAAAAAATAGCCGGGCATCATGCCACACGCCTGTAGTCCCAGCTACTGGGGAGGCTGAGGCACAAGAATCGCTTGAACCAGGGAGGTGAAGGTTGCAGTGAGCCTAGATCACACCACTGCACTCCAGCTTGGGCGACAGAGTGAGACTCTTTCTCTTAAAAAAAAAAAAAAAAAAAAGTATGGCATTTAGCTCCTTTACTAAAAAACACATACAATTCAGTTCTGTCTTTTAATCTATTTCTGAGGATTGTTCCCACCTCTATCTCAAACGTTTTGATGTTCAAAGGAGCCCTGGACTTATACATTGAATAATGTTTGAAAGCAGCAACTGCAAAAGCATCATATTATAAAATCAAATTTTATGATGATGGGTCAATTTAAAGACTGTAAGTCCACAGAGATAGAAAATCAACAACATAATAGACGAGACATTGGCAGAAGATCACTTGATCATCACCTTTTTTCTTGTGCTTGGTGGTTCTGGCAGAAATTTGTTCTAAAAAAGAAAAGAGATAAATGATTTGATGGGTTCTTGCTTTTATTTTGTGAGCTTAGTATTTCTGACTGCCTTCCAAATATTCCTACCTGGATATCCCACTATTAACTCAAATTCAAGGTATTTTCATGGAAATTACTTTTCATGATTCTCCAGGGATTCAAGGAAGCATTTCAATGCCTTCCTCTGGCCTCATGACTTCTATAATCAGTCCAGAGAATGTAGCCACCTCATTACTCCCAACTTCTTGACACATTGTGGAGCAGATTTGCATGCTGTCCTTTCTATATATGTAGAATGCCCCATTCTACGTTTTTGCTAGTTGTTCATCTTTTTAGACCTAGCTCAGTGCAAGAGTTCCACAAAATGGTCCTCAACCTCAAAGCCAGAAATGACTTTCTCTTCTCCGATCTATTGTACCTCTTCCTGCAGGTGTCTCTTGTGAGAACATTGACACCGTGTCCAGGCCTGTAATTATGAAAGCACAGCCTTCCTTCTGGGAAGGGGCTCACACTTTGTATACCCTCCACAGCTTTAGATGTTGGTTCAATAAGTATTTACTGGGCAAAGATCTTTTATTTGTGTAATAGTTATTTATTTATTTTTAGAGATGGGGTCTTGCTGTGTTGCTCAGGCTGGAGTGCAGTGCAGTGCCTATCGACAGGTGCAAACCTACTACTGATCAGCAGGAAAGTATTGACCTGCTCTGTTTCCAACCTGGACTGGTTTACCCCTCCTTAGGCAATCTGGTGGTCCCCTATGTTGATGCTGAACTTAGCATGGATATCTCATTGGCATAGTACACTAAGCCCAGGACCCCTGGGCTCAAGTGACCCTCCTGCTTCTGTCTTCTGAGTAACTGGGACTACAGACATGTGCAACTGTGCCTGGCAGATTTTTTTTTTAATTGTTAGAGTGGCATGAGGAAGGACTGTCTGTGGGCGTGCAACAGAAAGCACTGTATTTGGAGTCTAAAGACACAGGTTCATCTGCAGCAAAGACCCTGTGCCTGCTTTGTAACATCAAGGGGTTCATATGAGAAGCAATGTTACTTTAAAATGCAATTTATTTATATTCTCTTACAAGAATAAATTTGAGGTGGCCTATTCAAAGAAATCTTGTTGAAATATTTTGTAATCCAGGAACTACATATATATATGTTAAATATGTGTGTGTGTGTGTGTGTGTGTGTGTGTGTGTGTGTGTGTGTATTTAACATTTACCTCCCCCGAAAATTTAAGACCTCCCCTCCAACTTAAGTTACTTTCATGTGACCAAATTGCACAGTTTATTAATGGCAGAGTCAAGGCCACAATTTACTGTCCAACCTTCAAAAGGGTAAGAAATAAAGTACTTAGAGGATTAAGCTGTAATATAAGCCAGCCAACGTAATGTTCAGGTGAGAACGTTAGTAATAACATATGCATGGAGACCTGGGCAGAGGAAGTCATGATGAATTTCTGGGCACTGAGAAATTCTGCTAAAGCTTGGTGTTAGTGAAGCATGACAGCTAAATCCTTGGTTTCAGCCATCTGTCACTAGAATACCTCCATCAGGACTTTCAGGGTATATCCACCGCAGCGTATACTTAGCTTCCAGTTCTTGGATGCTCCGCGGTCTCCTTCAATTTCAAATTCCCTGGGAGTGAACCACTTTTTATCCTCACTCTGTATACACTTCTTTGAGGTTCCTGTAAGACCAAGGCAAAGTGAGCTCCCCAACTGTGAAAACACCTGAACTTGGCCTCCCCCCATGCTGGGGTCTGGGGCCACCCACTTTGGGCTTAGGATCGTAGCAGTAAAGTCTGAATTTTCCTGTCAGATATCAGGGGCTTCATACCCAGCCTGAAGGAACAGAGATGAAGGGTTCTCTCTGTCATGTGTGTACATTTCTTTGACCATCATGCAATGAGAAGAAATATTACTACCAACATTTACCTTTTCAACGTATTTTGCTATATTCCAAAGGTGGGGGTGGGTGCAAAGAATGGCCCTAAAGAATGAGCAGAATTCTTCCTCCTCCCTTCTCTGAGACCTGATATAGAGTCAGCCTGAATTTCAGAGAGGTGGATGAAGGCATAAAGCCCTCTACCATGCTCTTGGGTCCCCAAGTGGCCATGTGGAAGCTGTTACTACAGCCACATCTGCCTTGTCTTGTACCATGTTGTACATGTGGTACAATCAATTATGTTTCATATTTTGAACTCATGGCTATTTTATATTAAAAGTAATTATGGAAATGTTATATAGTGGGAGAAGTTAAATTATGCTTATGCAACATAGTCATGGGGCAAACATTTATATTTGTTGGTGCTCAAAGAACTATGTTGTGGGGAGGTGTCAACCATGACAGATGAACATTAGTTCTGTAATTTAACAATTGTAACTTGCAAAGTATTTTATGTCTGTTTTTTTATTTTTTTCTCATAATAATACAGTGAGGCAAGTTATATTATTGTTCTGATTTTGTAGAGAAGGAAGTTCAAGGTTAGAGAGACCGAGCACCTGGCTGTAGATGAATCAGACACTCTTGGTATAGCTGAAACTTGAATGCAGGTCTTCTGATTCTAAACCCTGTGATCTTACCATTTAGCAGAAGGCTAAACAGATGTTATGGGAAATGGGGCGTGAAAGTTACTGCTGAGATTCTCAGATGTGTACATTTTCCACCCAAGTACTGAGGTGCTTGCCCTTGTAGTGGGTGCTAGTTGGATGTCTTGTGGGCCTTTCACATAGGGTAAGAGGAGATGGCCTCATAGGTTAATGTTTTATGAATTTTGAAAGTGTGAAAATGTCATTGTTGTGCAAAACAGAGTTAACAGAGTGGGCCTGAGACTTTCCTTAGAGGGCCTATATGCAAGGTTGGCCATTGTCCATATGCAAGTTTGGCCACTGGCATTTAGGAATTTGGATTTTAGGAGAGTTCTATCATTCCCAGAACTCACTGTGGGCTAAACTGTTCATAATAAACAATGTGGATAAACATATTGTTTATCCATAAAGATAAAGCCCTTTAGAGATAAATCCCTCTTATTTATGGTTATAAACAAATGCAATTTATTTATATTCTCTTACAAGAATAAATTTGAGATAGCCTATCCAAAGAAATCTTGTTAAAATGTTGTGTAATCTGGGAACTACCGATCCTGATGTATTATTTTCAGACATATGTAAATAAATTGCATTTATCTATAACCATAAATGAAGAAGAGGGCTCACTGTGCCTAAACTGTTTGCGCAAATGATATGGTTTATGCTGAACACCCGCTTTCCTTCTGGGAATCTGGAATTTTGGTATGTGCTAGGCAGAGGGCACCTATGTGACTGGTAAAAACCCTGGACTCCTAAACTCAGGCTGGTTTCCCTGGTAGACAACATTTTACATGTGTTGTCACAATTTGTTGCTGCAGTAATTAAATGAGTCCTGCATGACTCCACTGGGAGAGGACTCCTGGAAGCTTGCTTTTGGTTGTCTCTGAATTTCACCCCATGTGCATTTTCCCTATGGTATGTTTTGCATGCTTCTCTCATAAACCCTAGCTGTAAATGTGATGATGTCCCAAGTCCTAGGAAAGCTCCTAGCAAATCTTCAAGCCTGGGGCTGGTTTTGCAGAACCTCAAAGGCAAGTGTCTACTCCTAAACAGTATGCTATCTGTGTGGATATTTTCCAGCTGAAAATCGTAGATGGACCAGTAAACTCACCTTGTTTGAATCGCTCCTTATATAGAGTGCCCTTCACCTCACCACAGGTCACAGGAAGTTCAGATTGTTTAAAATTAATATTTTCATCTTTGGGAATTCTTGGACCTGCAAGGAAGCATTTTTTTTTCCATTCCATCTACTTTTACAACTGTGCATTGTCCCTCCCCACCTGTCTTGAGAGCTTTCTTTTATAATTCAAAATGTATTGGAGGTATTTCCCCCATGAATCAGTTACATTTCAAAGTCCTTCTTTCATGGCACATTAGATAGCTGTAGATACTGTTGTCCTCCATTCCACCCTCTAAAATATGACACAACATCCTGGCATGTGGTAGGATCTCAACTTTCAAGCTGGTTGGTCATATCCACCTATCACACAATGATTTTCCTCCTGATGTTTTGAAGGGAGATTTCCACTCATATTGCTTTGATGTTGTGTTAAAACAAACTCTCAAATTTTAGCCTCATCTCCCCATTCCAGGCATTGACTGAGGGGACAGAGGGCAGGATGGCAGAGTGGCACCTAATGGGGCACCTTTCGGGGTGGCATCTGTCTCCCTCTTTGCCAACTGCTTTGCTTCACTTTTTCACTTGAGCTTTCTCCGACGCTAAAAGGGAAGCTTGGTGTGGGGGGTTCTAGAAGAAACTGCACATTGAGAGAGGAGGGATAAAGAGAGATTGACGAAGCATTCAGATATACAGTTAGATAGAAGAAATAAAACCTGGTGTTTTCAATAGATCAATAGGGTGATTATAGTTAACATGAATTGATTATACATCTCAAAATAGCTAAAAGAGAATAATCTGAATGTTCCTGGCATCAAAAAAGGTAAATATTTAAAGTGATGGATATCCCAATAACTCTGATTTGATTATACGAAAGTATCAAATTGTCACATGTACCCCCAAGTATTTCTATCTATTACGTATTAATCAATCAATCAACAAAAAAGAACGTGCACATTGCTCAGGGAACCCTGCATGAGGGGTTGACTGGGACACTGGGGATCTGATTCCACTGAAGCAGGTATTGAGGGTCTTAAAATGAACTGCTGGTCAACGTTAAGGCTCCAGTACTAGCTCCATATGCCAATTAAGAAAACTGACTTGTTACTCACAGTACAGAATATTAAATATTAAATGTTTAATTATGAAAAACATATCGATCACTTCTATTTACCTCTTTTTCTTCTTCTTTTCAAAGGTCTAGTGTTGGCTTTTCTTCCTGAGAAAGTTGAAAAACAACATAAATGTCTCTTTACATTGCAAATAGTAGTGTTTTACAAAACCACCATTCAAATGCAACTTTTCAGGATCCTGTCTAGAACTTAAAGAAAAATATCAGGAGTCGGGAACTTTTTTTGTAAAGGGACAGATAGTAAGTAGTTAAGGTTTTTCAGTTCATAACCTCTGTTGTGACTACTCAACTCTGTAGTTGTGTCATGAATTCATCAAAGGATGCGACGGTGACTGTGTTCCAGTAAAACTTTATTTACAGTCAGCAGGATAGATTTGCCCTGTAGGTCATACTTTGCTGACCTCTGATCTAGACTCGGTTACAGCCACGATGCTTAACTGAGATGTATCCTATATTTCTCTATTAACGTCTCCAAATCATTCCAGATAAATTTGAAACAGTATTTTACCTGCTTCCCAAGCAACAGGAGGAGAGCAAGAATGAAGTTGAACACGTATTCAGTGCTTGTTGTATGCCAGGAGCTATCCTTAGATCTTTGCCTCTATTAACCGACTTCATCTTTACAACAAAATCTATTAAATAGGCACTAGTACTATCCTCACTTTACAGATGAGGAAACTGATGCTCAGAGATAAATATATAAATTAAAGTGTTGACAATTTTCTTTGGGAAAGAGTCAGAGATAAAAAGTAGAAACATAAGGTCTCAAGACAGACCTCATGGTAGACTCTACCAGTCAGATATGTAAACTTGGAAGGTTTTGTACTGAAAATGGTGAGGAAAATGACCAAGGACTTAAAAACTAACCCAATGAAGGCTATTCAAGAGGAACTTGTAGAAATTAAGGCACAAGGCCTAAGAGTTGTATGGTTAAAGATAGCACAAAGGATTGACTTAAAAGATATCTCAGGGCTGGGCCCGGTGGCTCAAGCCTGTAATCCCAACACTTTGGGAGGCCAAGGTGGATGGAGTTCTGAGGCTGAGGTCAGGAGTTCAAAACCAGCCTAGCCAACATGGTGAAACTCCGTCTCTACTAAAAATTAAAAAAAAAAAAAAAAAAGCTGGGTGTGGTGGTATGTGCCTGTAATCCCAGCTACTCGGGAGGCTGAGGCAGGAGAATTGCTTGAATCCGGGAGGCGGAGATTGCAGCGAGCCAAGATCACGCCACTGTACTCTAGCTTGGGCAGCAGAGCGAGACTCCATCTCAAAAAAGAAACAAATCTTGGAAGCATGTATCTATGTGTTGATCGGTGTGTCCAAATAAATAGCCAGTCATTCCAGATGTATGTTTAGATCTGCATCGTTCAAACGTGTTTGCTGAAGTCAGGGACACAAAGTGGATGCTCTTTCTTAAGGTCTGTGCCCATTATTCTGTGCCCATGGCTGGTATCATAGGGTGTGGATTTGGGTCCTGCAAGCCCCAGGAGAAAAACTCCTCCAGATGCTCAATTGTGAATGCTCCTTCCTTTGAGCAAATTATGACGAGATTAGGCTGGAAAGGCATGTTTCCTTCAATCTAGCATAAAGAAACCTTGGGATTGATGACACTGTATTTTCTGGGCCTCTGTCATAACAATTACTTAGAGGTTTTTTTGTTTTGTTTTGTTTTTTAACTTCATCAAGATAAAAATGGTACCATCAGACATTTACTGATAATTCACATGTCAAGAGGAATCATATCCTGAGAAAAAGCATGCTCTACCGCACAAGATGTTGCCCTTAGGAAGTTTATTAAAATATTATGGAGATACATGGGGAGGAGAGATGACTAAACCCATATAAAAGAATTATAAACTTGGCTATTGAACTAAAGGTTTCCCCCCAACCCCCTTTATTTTTTTTGAGACCGAGTCTTGCCCTCTTGCTCTGTTGCTCAGGCTGGAGTGCAGTGGCACGGATCTCGGCTGGCTGCAACCTCCACCTCCCAGGTTCAAGTGATTTTCCTTCCTCTGCCTCCCAAGTAGCTGGGATTATAGGTGTGCGCCACCACACCTGGCTAATTTTTGTATTTTTAGTAGAGACAGGGTTTTACCATGTTGCCCAGGCTTGTCTTAAATCCAGGGCTTAAGCAATCCACCTGCCTCAGCCTCCCAAAGTGCTGGGATTACAGGTGTGAGCCACCACACCTGGCCTGAACTAAAGGTTTAAAAGAAACACGTAAAATGTGGAAGAATGGAGACCTCAAGGAATTAGATGAAGCTTTCTTACCACTCGTTCCTTGTCTCTCAGGTAAAATTGCTCTAGATCGATCAGTTTCAAAGACCATGATTGGGCCAAGTATGGTAGTTGATGCGGTTGCCACAGTAAAATGTCATCCACACAGGGGTGGTTCTGTGTGGGACTCTCCCTCCTGTCACTCATGATGCTCAAGTTGCAGGTGCACCCAGGAAAACTGGCCACTTCTAACTCTTCTCTCCTCCTTCCCCCAACTCTCCCTTCTCCCCACAGTTCCATCAAAAGACACTTGTGTTCTGTCTGCTTTCTTCTTTCTCATAAAGTGGTCAAACTGGAGATCCAGCTCTGGCCATAACCTGGGTATGTTCAGCCCTAGCCATTATTGGTCAATGTATATTCTCTTGCTCTCAGTTTATCTCTTGTTTAAATCCTTCTTGGACTGCAGGGATTTCCTTTCAATCAAAACCTATTGAGGGCAAACAACTTCAGGGCAAAACACCAGAAGCTCATTGCGCTGCTTCCCAGCTCTTGGCCTGGAGACATCAGGGCTGAGGAGCAGATCATGTATAATAAAGTGCCGCAGAACTGTGCTTTCCAGTGGTTCTTTGTGTGTTCGCTGGCTCCAGCACCTCACTACAATTGTATATCCGGGCAGTCAAATGCCTGGACAAAGTAGGACTTAACTGTTCTTGGGTCTACTAGTTTTAATTCTACATTAACCATGTAAAATAATAATATGGTCAGAAAAAATTAAAAGTTATTTTAAAATATATATTTTTTCATAGCAGGGACTAATCATTCTTGGCAAAAGAGTATATCACCGTGTTTAGGCGACTCTTTGGTTATCTCAGAATATTAGCAGAAGCCTCAACATCCAAGAATGCCACAATAGGAGCCCAGTACTCCTATATCCTAAGGCAAGATGCCAGTCTATCTGCAAAGAACATGGTAGGGGATTGGGAGCCTGGTTCTGCCAGCATCAGCCTTCCCCACCTCCAGGCCTTATGAGAGAGGCCACATTTCTCTGGAGAGAATTGTCAGATACCTTCTCTCAAGCCAAATGAGGTTTAAAGACATCTAAGCAGGAGATGGACCTCCGTCCCTGGGAATGTCAGGGAATGAGAGACTCTCAGACTCACCTCTGAGAAGTGTAAAGGTGAAGGTCATGGCTAGCGGGGTCAAGGGTGCCAGAGGGCTGAGCTGGGAGCCAGCAGGGGAATAATGAAGAAGCACGATTCCCATGGTCTGGTGCAGACCTTGTGGATGGGAGCTGTACTGGGTGTTTTTAAGAGATACTCTCACTGAGGGAACAGCAGTGGGTTGTGTATCTTCTAGAAGGACCATCCAGTGTCTTAATTCCCAAGCAGGTTTGCCACCACCAACTATGGAGAAGCAGTTGCATACATTTATATATATATATATAGGGGGAGAGAGAGAGAGAGAGAGAGAGTCTATATGAAGTTATGTGGCCAGAGAAAGAGTTTTAGGTGTTAAAACTCTTTTAGATGACAAATTTGTCTGTAAATTTGAGCAGGATAACAACAGGGCAGTCTGGCAGGAGATGATGTCTGTCTTCTCTGCTTGCCTCCTCCTTCATGCACCTTTCTCCTGGCTGAAAGAACAGCTCATCAGAGTTCCAGAATCATCTGCAAGTTGTACAGGGAGGAGGCTTTGCATTTTAGAGCCTCTATGTGGTGGAGGTGGGGACTGAAGAGCTGATTTAGTAGAAACAGGTGTGAAGGTCTTAAAATTAACTTGAGGATTCTGAGCTGCTGTTCCAACCCTTCCAGCCAGTGACACTGGGGAAGAGGCACAGTCTACAAGAGCTCTGTGCTGATGATGCGGGAGAGGGGGCTGTCCATAGTTTTTACCGAGTCCTGTAGGAGATCCACGGAATGAGAAGCCACATGGGAAGCTGGTATGGGCCTTGGAGGGCAGCCAGTCTTGTCTAACTGACTTAATTTCACTTTACAGATGAGTAAACTGTAATTTACTTGGGGCAGACCCAAGTCCACACAATTACCACGTGGTGATGGGCAAGAGGAGGGACAGCTACATCACTTGTGAATTACATAGGTTTTGTTTGTTTTGTTTTTGTTTTTATGCCAGCAACTATTTCCAGCCTTGAAAGTTATCAGCTCAGGAGAGGAAGCACTGCAAGCAGCTCCTGGGCCCTGGGGTATGGTTGCAGATTCATCACCTAGCTACTTGTTTGTGGTGTTATCATCTTTTTTTCCCTGACATATTTTGGAACTTGACTACATCTGATATATTTCTCAACAGTAAGTACAGCTACATAAAGCATTTAGGAAAAAAATGTTTCTTACTAAGAGCATGAGAATTTAGACGTTATTTATTTAAAATGTATTTTTTTTTTTTTACCTCTTTGTTGCCATCTTTTCTTTTGGACTTTGTTATTCAGAGTTAAATGTTTTCTAGGTCTGTCTTTCTTTCTCCCTGAGAAAATAGGAAAATATAAATATGGATGGTGTAAAAAACTCACATTATATATAATAGTGCTTTCAAAAATTTTATTTAGCTATAACTTTTCCAGAGCCTAACACACAAAGAAAAATATGTAACACATAGCCTTGCAATTACCAAGCCTTTGATGGTTAACCTGGGTTCATCCTAGATTTTCTTTCCTTTCCCGTGACATTAATCCAAATTCATTTGCCTCCCCCCAACATTAATTTTAAAAAGAATTTACGACAGTTTCATTTATATCCCAAAGAATACTGTAAGAATAATAATAATGAGGGCTAAGACTTAAGTGCTTATTATGTGCTAGACACTAACACAAGATATTTACATCTACTAATTCATTTATGAGATAGAGACTTTTACTACCCCTATGACCAATGAAGAAACTTCAGCATACAGATATTGCAAAATGAAGTGAAGCATTGCAGATTTCCTCTGGTTGTAGGCAGAAATCAATGGCAGCAATGCAAGAATTTGGATTGTCCTGCTCATTATGATGGTGACACACTAGCCACCATCTTAGCCCTCAATGAAGGCTTTGAGGCTGAAAATACAGTGAAAATGACCAAAGACCTTATTCACATAGGTTTGGCCAAAAAATTAGGATCTAAGAAACTAACCAAGAGATTATTGTCCAAGGGGAATTTGTATAGAGATTCAAGTCCCAGAAAGCCTTAGGGTTAGGACTAACAAAGGGTTGATTAAAACCCTATTTCAGGAATATGCTGTTAGATTCAGCAGGTGATGGGGGTAGGTAGAAAGACAGTGAGGTATGTGCAGGAGCATCTCATGAGTGCCATGTTTAAAGGTGCTGATCCTTTCCTTTCCTTTCCTTTCCTTTCCTTTCCTTTCCTTTCCTTTCCTTTCCTTTCCTTTCCTTTCCTTTCCTCTCCTCTCCTCTCCTCTCCTCTCCTCTCCTCTCCTCTCCTCTCCTCTCCTCTCCTCCCCTCCCCTCCCCTCCCCTCCTTCCCTTCATCCTTTCCTCCTTCCCTTCATCCTTCCCTCCTTCCCTCTTTCCCTCCTCACACCATCTCCCTGCATTTTTCTTTCCTTTCTTTCTTTATATGGCCTGGCCACAATTTGAACTTGTCCAACCATAAATATCTTAGACAAACAAAGACTCTTTTTCTGTTCATCTATGTCTTTGGTCCTGTTGTAGTCACCTTTCATCAAAGTCCACTGAGGACAAACAAATTAGAGGTATACAAGTAGTTTAGTTCCGTTTACTCGAGCTCTACTTACTAGAAGATTTGGGGCTTAAGATCTGCTAATACTATAGAGCTCTTGGGACTTCCTTTGTAATTATTCTTTGCAAATTGTCTTGCTCAAATACCCCACAGGAAGTAGTGTGGCTATTCTTGGATTTCCTACCCAAATACTAAAGGTTAACACCATGTTATAGAAGTTGAGTAAAGTGCTCCTCCGTCCTTAAGGCAACTGAGAAGACTTCAGTTTCAATGTAACTGATCTTCACCTTCAGGAGTTTGAGGAAGGCAGAGACATTTATAGACTCAATCCTAGAATGTTGAGAGGGTATGAAGAGTCATAATTCCTATAGGTCTCCCTAGGGAAAGGAGGAACTCACTTAGTTCTTCTTGAGAGATATTCTGTCTGGGAGAATCACTTGGATGGATGAGTTGACCCCAGCAGGAGTGTAGTGTGGACCTCCCAGAGCTGGGAGACTGAGGGAATTGGTAAGCATCCAGTTGAAGTTCCTGAATTAGGGGAACTTTGGTTGAGAGGTTCTCTCTAAGTTGAGTGTCTCTGAAGAACTCACAAATGAATATGGCTCATGCATCCACCATATCTAGGAGACACCAAAATCTATAAGGTTGGTGCAAAAGTAATTGCAGTTTTTGCTATTCCCTTTTTTTTTAAAAGGCAAAACCCACAATTACTTTTGCACCAACCTATATAGTATGAGGACCATTCCTGCTCCTGTCCACTTCCTTCTCCTCCTCCTCCTAGACCCAAATTAGCTGAAAGCAATAGACACTGAGTGGAGTTGGAGAGGAAGTGTGGATGAAAGTAAATGCTGACTTCACCCAGCTTCCCTACCACATAATTTCCAGTTTTAATATTATATCAGCTCACGCTTTTTAATATTAAATGAGATATTACCGCTAAAAGGGACTAGCATAGCTCTAGGGCTTACCTAAGACTTCATCCATTGGCAAGAAAAGAACTATTTGAGAGAACAGGTTTGAAAAGGAAGTAGAAGGAATAAATGTGATTTCTGCTTAGACTTAACAAATCCAAGTATTTTAATAAAATAGTTAAGGTAGAGAGGCTTCTATAGAAACCAGTAGAAACATGACGGAAAAAACATCTTAGACCTGGGTAAGTACAAACTGGAATATAACCAAGATGACAGATAGGTATAGAAATAAAAATGATAGAGATGCTAGAAATATTATATGTATATACTTATTTATAGTAGAGTTATATTTAAAGTTACTTATACTTGAAAATATATCATTTACATAAACATATATATCTATGTATATGAGTGACAGACAAATAATCAGAAGTAATGGGAAAAAATATATCCAAATATGCTTTAGCTCTAGAGGAAAAAGTGCTACTATCTCTATAGTGCCATATCAACTTGCCAGAAGTATTTTACAAGATGCAAAAATAAATAAAGAAATAAAGTATGCAAGAGAAGCATAAGTAGAATGGGAGATGGAAGGAAATAAAAGAGAGACAAAGAAGAGGAAGAAAAGGAGGAATGCAATAAGCATAAAATTCACAAGATCTGATGAAGAGAATGGACTGTCACGTCTTTTTTATCTTCACAGTGTGGCATATGCTCTGATTGAGTTTGGTTCACTGCCTGTAATCCCAGCATTTTGGGAGGCCGAGGCAGGTGGATCACCTGAGATCAGGAGTTCAAGACCAGCCTGGCCAACATGGCGAAACCCTGTCTTTACTAAAAATACAAAAATTAGCTTGGCATGATGGTATGCGCCTGTAATCCCAGCTACTCGGGAGGCTGAGGCAGAATTGCTTGAACCTGGGAGGCAGAGGTTGCAGTGAGCTGAGATCGTAGCACTGTACTCCAGCCTGGGTGACAGAGCCAGACTCCATCTCAAAAAAGAAAAAAATAAATAAAATAACCCCGTGTTTCTCAGGCTTAGATCTGATGTGGCACCAGTACTCTGGCTTCCATGTAATTGATTCAAGTTCTCTCTGTCTGTTTCTCCATGTTCTGTCCTGGACTGTATTAGTTACAACACACCTTTCTAACACTTCCTCCTGTTCCCTCATTTCCTAATCAAGGCTGGCATGTCTCTGCCCACATATCTCTGTAATGCATCTCAGCTTCCAGCTCCTGTCCTTGCCAAAGAGTCTCAGGTGACAAAAAGGCTGGATCTGAATAAATGGAGAGTCTGAGTTTTCCTCCACATTTAAGGGAATCAGTGACTTTGGAGGCAAACATAAAGGGCAAGTAGGCATATTGCTATTTGTCACCCATAATCATTCCTTCTTCCATAAGAATAGACTTACAGCTGAACCAAGGACTGCCCGGCCAGCGTTATATTTCTCAGCCTCGCTTTGCAGCTAGCTCTGGCTGTGTGACCAAGTTTTGGCCAATGGGATGTGGGCAGAAGACTTTTGAGTCTTTCTATTAAAATAAATAAATGGCTGGTTCTTTTGTCAATTTTTTTTTCATTCCCACTGGTTGGGAGACAATGTCAACCAGCTCAGCCCTTGTGGACCCACAGTTGGAAACCTCATGTTAAGGAAGGCAGACTGCCTACCACTTCTGGGCTCTTAGATTATTTGGTTTAAGCCACTGTATTTTGGGATCTGTTTGTTACAATGACTTAGCTGGTACTCTAAAGAATCCATGAGGTCTGAAGCTACCGTGGCCCATAGGAGATTCTGAGGCTGCAGCAAAGATGGGGTCTGGCAGGAAGAACAGGACCACAGCGAGTTCAAAGGAGTAAATCCCCACATTTCTTCTTACCTCTTTGGAGACCATTTACTTTAGATCTATGCCTTCTCTTTTTTCCTGCAAACAGAAAAGAAAGAAAATAATCCTTTAGAACTATAAACAAAGATTTACACACTTTATATGTCAATAGTTTACAAGCATTGAATTTTGTTTTCCTTCTACTTTTGCGGGGCTAAGTCCTCGGCCACCAACATCCCATCTTGGTTGTTGTCACGCAGAAACCAATAACCACAAAGCAACCTGTTTTTACACAGTGCCAATCATTTACACTATGCTTGTACATATCCATATGTGGTCTTATCATTCACAATAAAGAAAGTTTTTAAAGTAGCTGAAATCAAGCAGAAGGTGACAGCAGCAGCAGAAGAGTACCAAGAGGGTCAAGCAACAGTAGGTCTAAGAAATCACCAGTGATGGCCGGGCACAGTGGCTCGTGCCTGGAATCCCAGCTCTTTGGGAGGCCAAAGTGGGTGAATCACTTGTAGGCCAGGAGTTTGAGACCAGCCTGATCAACATGGCAAAATCCTATTACAAAAATTAGCCTGGAGTGGTGCCATGTACCTGTAGTCCCTGCTACTTGGGAGTCTGAGGCAGGACAATTGCTTGAACCTGGAAGGAGATTGCAGTGAGCTGTGATGACACCACTGCACTTTCAGTCTGGGCCACGGAGCAAGACTCCGTCTCAAAAAAGAGAAATAAAAAAAAGAAAGAAATTACCAGTAAAGTACACTTGGTGGAATTCAGAGGCATACTTTGAAGAGCTAAAGCTGTAATTGTGTTTATAACAGCCAGAACTTAAGAAATAAGTAGAAAAAAAAAATCAGAGAAATGAAGACAAATTTAGAAGGCAAATAAAGGGGATTAGACATTTCAGAAATTAAAGTGAAGGACATAGATTACAGAAATAGGTAAAGGAAACAAGAAATTTTAAGAATGATTAAACAAATTAGAAAATAAGCTGGTTGCAGTGGCTCACCCCTGTAATCTTAGCACTTTGGGAGGCCGAGGCAGGTGGATCACCTGAGCTCAGGAGTTTGAGACCAGCCTGGCCAACATGGCAAAACCCCATCTCTCCTAAAAATAAAAAAATTAGCTGGCATGGTGGCACATGCCTGTAGTCCCAGCTACTTGGGAGGTTGAGGCAGGAGAATCACTTGAACCTGGGAGGTGGAGGTTGCAGTGAGCTGAGATGGCTCCACTGCACTCCAGCCTGGGTGACAGAGTAAGACATTGTTTCAAATAAAATAACATAAAATAAAAAATAGAAAATAATCAATGTAAGTGAACAAATTATTGGAGTTCCCAAAGAAGAAAATCAAAATAATAGAATAAATACTTGATGAAAAAAGTCTGTGGAATTATAATATAAATTGAAATGTATACATCAAAAGTACCTATCTCTTCACCCTGTGACAGAGAAATTGACCCAAAACAGCCAACACTGAGATATATTTCCAACAAATTTATTGGACTTTAAAGATAAATAAAGAATTGAATGGGCGGTGTAGGCAAAAAGTTATTTTCAAGGGAGACTTATTGGCCACAGAATTTTCCACAGCAACATTTAATGCCATGGGAGAGTGGAGAAAAACCTATAAGATATTTCTAGAAACAAAGAATGAGCAAACTATTTTTCAGGTATAAATAACACAAACACATAATTTTGAACAGAAAAATTCTTGGAATGTAGTTTCTGAGTCCTTATTGTGAAAATTACTAGAAGATATACTTCAGCAAACTAAGGTAGAACTGAAAAATTCTGGCAAAAGGACAAAAATAAAAGTGAGCAGTAGGGTGACAGATGAGAATATGAAATGCATATGCTCTGACAATATAGAAATAGTATAATAACAAAAAATATGAGAAGGGTTAGGTGCAGTGGCTCATGCCTGTAATCCCAGCACTTTGGGAAGCATAGGTGGAAAGATCGCTTGAAGCCAGGAGTTTGAGACCAGCTTGGGCAACCCAGCAAGACCTTGTCTCTACAAAAAATTTGAAAAATTAGCAAGCTATGTTGGTGCACACCTGTAGTCCTAACTACTCTTGAGGCTGAGGTAAGAGGATCACTGGAGCCCAGGAGTTAGAGGTTGCAGCTAATATTGCACCACTGCCCTCTAGCCTGGGTGACAGAGTGAGACCCTGTCTCTAGCCAAACCAAACCAAAACAAACAAACGAAAAACAGGGAGGAGAGAGCAAAAATAGGCTGTAGGGCAAGTTCTTTGTTTATTTTATAGGTAGGAATCCAAAGGTATTGTGTTGACAAATCCAAGAGTAGATGTAAAGCAAGGTTAATGGCTGAAAGGTAAACATGGTAATGGCACAGCCTAAAATTGGATGGGAGAGGAAAAAGACTGGACAATGGAATGGCACACAGGCTGATTTTATAAATCTTCTGGGTGGGAAACTAAAGGATACTGTCTAAAATAGAGCACCAAAGGAATCATATAAAGGTAATCCTAAAAGTAATCACTAGAACAAAAAAGCAAACCTTCTTTAAATTGGAAGTATACACTCCTAACCACTGAAAAAATAGGAAATGAGTGTGGGCTGCTTACCCATTCATTTATTTCAAGGAAAAGACTCAGAGGTGGCTCACATATCTTCTGCTTATATGCCATTGGCTAGAACCTAATGACATGGTCAGAGCGAACTGTAAGGAAGGCTGAAAGTATCGTTATATGGTTTGGCTCCGTGTCCCCACCCAAATCTCATGTTGAATTGTAATCCTTGTGTGTTGGGGGAGGGGCCTGGTGGAAGGTGATTTGGATCACGGGGGCAGATTTTCCCTTTGCTGGTCTCATGATAGTCAGTTCTCACAAGATCTGGTGGTTTAAAAATGTGGCACTTCAGCAGCCAGCACTGGGACTCACAACTGCCTAACACTCTAAGTTCTCTGGGCAGGGGAAGGGTGGCATCCATCTCTATAGCTCCAGGCCATGCTTCTCCTCTGCTGGAGCCAGGGAGGCTGGATGGCTTGGTCCCAAGATGTGTCCCTCACAGCCCAACACACTGGCTGTGGCCTACTACAGCCAGAGTGCCTCTTCAGGCCTGACCCTGACTCATCCTTCCTCACTGGGTGGGGCTTCCCTGCAGGAACTCCAATAACTCCAGCCAGAGGCTCAGGGACAGAACCCAGATGTCCTTGGGCCTGAGCCCATAGCAGAAAGGCCGCAGTCTCCATGAACCAGCAGACTTAGCCTTTCCTCCTGGTAGTTCTGAGGAATCCGTGCAGCCCAGACAACTGGGTTTCACCCCGCCCCCAAAGCACACCTCCTACACCAAGGGACAGTCAATGTGCTTCATTGAATAAAGCCTCCAAGAAATATGGGACTTTGTAAAAAGACCAAACCTATGACTGATTGGAGTACCTGAAAGAGATGAGAAGAATGGAAACAAGATGGAAAACATACTTCTGGATATTATCCAGGAGAACTTCCCCAACCTAGCAAGGCAGGCCAACATGCAAATTCAAGAAATACAGAGAACACCATCTAGATACTCCAAGAGAAGATCAATCCCAAGACACATAATCATCAGATTCTCCAAGGTCCAAATGAAGGAAAGACCAGAGAGAAAGGCCAGGTCACCTACAAAGGGAAGCCCATCAGACTAACAGCAGACCTCTCAACAGAAACTCTACAAGCCAGAAGAGATTGGGTGCCAATATTCAACATTCTTAAAAAAAAATTTTCAATACAGAATTTCATATCCAGCCAAACTAAGCTCCACAAGTGAAGGGGGAATAAAATCCTTTTCAGACAAGCAAATGCTGAGGGATTTTGTTACTACTAGGCCTGCCTTGCAAGAGCTCCTGAAAGAAGCACTAAAATAAAGAAAAAGCCA
Source organism: Homo sapiens (assembly GCF_000001405.40). Classification (NCBI taxonomy): domain Eukaryota; kingdom Metazoa; phylum Chordata; class Mammalia; order Primates; family Hominidae; genus Homo; species Homo sapiens. Next base: position 230,490,628 of record NC_000002.12, on the reverse strand, counting down.
GTACCAGCCACTGCAAAAACACCCTAAAAAATAAAGACCAGTGACATTATGAAAAAACTGCATCAACTAGTGTGCAAAATAACCAGATAGCATCTTGATGACAAGATCAAATTCACACATAACAATACTAACCTTAAATGTAAATGGGCTAAATGCCCCAATTAAAAGACAGACTGGCAAACTGGATAGAGTCAAGACCCATTGGTGTGCTGTATTCAGGAGACCCATCTCACCTGTAAAGACATGCATAGGCTCAAAATAAGGGAATGGAGGAAAATTTACCAAGCAAATGGAAAGCAAAAAAAAAGCAGAGGTTGCAATCCTAGTCTCTGACAAAACAGACTTTAAACCAACAAAGATCAAAAAAGACAAAGAAGGGCATTACATAATGGTAAAGGGAAAAATTCAACAAGAAGAGCTAACTATTCTAAATATATATGCACCCAATACAGGAGCACCCAGATTCATAAAACAAGTCCTTAGACTCCCACATAATAATTGTGGGAGATTTTAACACCCCACTGTCAATATTAGACAGATCAATGAGACAGAAAATTAACAAGGATATTCAGGACTTGAACTCAGCTGTGGATCAAGTGGACCTAATAGACATCTACAGAACTCTCCACCCCAAATCAACAGAATATATGTTCTTTTCAGTGTCACATGGTACTTATTCTAAAATTGACCACATAATTGGAAGTAAAATACTCCTCAGCAAATGCAAAGAACTGAAATCATAACAAATAGTCCCTCAGACCACAGCACAAACAAATTAGAACTCAGGATTAAGAAACTCACTCAAAACCACACAATTACATGGAAATTGAACAACCTGCTCCTGAATGACTCCTGGGTAAATAATGAAATTAAGGCAGAAATCAAGAAGTTCTTTGAAACCAATGAGAACAAAAAGACAACGTACCAAAATCTCTGGGACACAGCTAAAGCAGTATTAAGAGGGAAATTTATAGCACTAAATGCCCACATCGGAAATCTAGAAAGATCTAAAATCTATACCCTAATATCACAATTAAAAGAGCCAGAGAGACAAGAGCAAACTAATCCAAAAGCTAGCAGAAGACAAGAAATAACTAAGATCAGAGCAGAATTGAAGGAGATAGAGATATGAAAAACTCTCCAAAAAAACCAGGAGCTGGTTATTTGAAAAAATTAACAAAATAGATAGACCACTAGATAGACTAATAAAGAAGAAAAGAGAGAAGAATCAAATAGACACAATAAAAAAAGATAAAGGGGATATCACCACCGACCCCACAGAAATACAAACTACCATCAGAGAATACTATAAACACCTCTACACAAATAAACTAGAAAATCTAGAAGAAATGGATAAATTCCTGGAAACATACACCCTCCCAAGACTAAACCAGGAAGAAGTCAAATCCCTGAATAAACCAATAACAAGTTCTGAAATTGAGGCAGTAATTAACAGCCCACCAACAAAATAAAGCCCAGGACCAGACTGATTCACAGCTGAATTCTACCAGAGGTACAAAGAGTAGCTGGTACCTTTCCTTCTGAAACTATTCCAAACAATTGAAAAGGAGTGACTCCTCCCTAACTCATTTTATGAAGCCAGCATCATCCTGATACCAAAACCTAGGAGAAACACAATAAAAAAAGGAAACTTCAGGCCAATATCCCTGATGAACATTGATGCAAGAATTCTCAATAAAATACTGGCAAACTGAATCCAGCAGTACATTAAAAAACATATCCATCATGATCAAGTAGGCTTCATCCCTGGGATGCAAGGCTGGTTCAACATATGTAGATCAATAAATGTAATCCATCACATAAACAGAACCAAAGACAAAAACCACATGATTATCTCAATAGATGCAGAAAAGGTCTTTGAAAAAATTCAACATCCCTTCATGTTAAAAACTCTTGGCCGGGCGCTGTGGCTCACGCCTGTAATCCCAGGACTTTGGGAGGCCGAGGCGGTTGGATCATGAGGTCAGGAGATTGAGACTGTCCTGGCTAACACAGTGAAACCCCATCTCTACTAAAAATGCTAAAAATTAGCCAGGCATGGTGGCGGGTGCCTGTAGTCCCAGCTACTTGGGAGGCTGAGGTGGGAGAATGCCGTGAACCTGGGAGGCGGAGCTTGCAGTGAGCCGAGATCATGCCACTGCACTTCAGCCTGGGCAACAGACTGAGACTCCGTCTCAAAAAACAACAACAACAAAAACAACAAAAACCCAAACAAACAAAAAAAACTCTCAATAAACTAGGTATTGATGAGACATACCTCCAAATAATAAGAGCTATTTATGACAAACCCACAGCCAATATCATACTGAATGGGCAAAAGCTGGAAGCATTCCCTTTGAAAACTGGCCCAAGACAAGGATGCCCTCTCTCTCCACTCCCGTTCAACATAGTATTGGAAGTTCTGGCCAGGGCAATCAGGCAAGAGAAAGAAATAAAGACTATTCAAATCGGGAGAGGGGAAGTCAGATTGTCTGTACTTGCAGATGACATGATTTTGTATTTAGAAAACCCCATCATCTGAGCCCCAAAACTCCTTAAATTGATAAGGAATGTCAGAAAAATCTCAGGATACAAAATCAATGTGCAAAAATCACAAGCATTCCTTTACACCATCAGTAGGCAAGCAGAGAGCCAAATCATGAATGAACTCCCATTCACACTCACTACAAAGATAATAAAATACCTAGGAATACAGCTAACAAGGGATGTGAAGGACCTCTTCAAGGAGAACTACAAACCACTGCTCAAGGAAATAAAAGAGGACATGAATAAATGAAAAAACATTCCAACCTTATGGATAGGAAGAATCAATATCATGAAAATGGCCATACTGCCCAAAGTAATTTATAGATTCAATGCCATTCCCATCAAACTACCATTGACATTCTTCACAGAATTAGACAGAATTAGAAAAAACTACTTTAAATTTCATTTGGAATCAAAGAAGACCCCATACAGTCAAGACAATCCTAAGCAAAAAGAACAAAGCTGGAGGCATCAGCCTACTTGATGTCAAATTATACTACAAGGCTACAGTAACCAAAACACCCCCATGGTACTGGTACCAAAACAGACATATAGACCAATGGAACAGAACAGAGACCTCAGAAATAACACCGCATATCTGCAACCATCTGATCTTTGACAAACCTGACAAAGACAAGTAATGGGGAAGGGATCTCCTATTTGATAAATGGTGTTGGGAAAACTGGCTAGCCATATGCAGAAAACTGAAACTGGACCCCTTGCTTATGCCTTACACAAAAATTAACTCAGGATGGATTAAAGACTTAAAATGTATAACCCAAAGCCATAAAATCCCTGGAAGAAAACATAGGCAAAACACTGAGGACACAGGCATGGGCAAAGACTTCATGACAAAAATGCCAAAAGCAATTGCAACAAAAGCAACAATTGACAAATGGGATCTAATTAAACTAGAGAGCTTCTGCACAGCAAAAGAAACTATCATCAGAATGAACAGGCAACCTACAGAATGTGAGAAAATTTTTGCAATCTATCCATCTGACAAAGGTCTAATATCCAGAATTTATGAGGAACTTTAACAAATTTACAAGAAAAAACAAAACCATCAAAAAGTGGACAAAGGATATGAACAGACACTTCTCAAAAGAAGACATTTACGTGGCCAATGAACATGAAAACAAGCTCAACATCACTGAACATTAGAGAAACGCAAATCAAAACCACAGTGAGTTACCATCTCACACCAGTCAGAATGGCAATTATTAAAAAGTCAAGAAACAACAGATGCTGGTGAGGCTGTGAATAAATAGGAACACTTTTACACTGTTGATGGGAATGTAAATTAGTTCAACCATTGTGGAAGACAGTATGGTGATTCCTCAAGGATCTGGAACCAGAAATACCATTTGACCTAGCAATCCCATTACTGGGTATATACCCAAAGGAATATAAGTCATTCTACTATAAAGACACATGCACACGTCTATGTTTATTGCAGCACTATTTGTAATAGCATAGTCATGGATCCAAACCAGATGCCCAACAATGATAGACTGGATAAAGAAAATGTGGTACATCTACACCATGGACTACTATGCAGCCATAAAAAGGAATGAGATCATGTGCTTTGCAGGGACATGGATGAAGCTGGAAGCAATCATCCTCAGCAAACTGACCCAGGAACAGAAAACCAAACACTGTATGTTCTCACTCATAAGTGGGAGTTGAACAATGAGAACACATGGACACAGGGAGGGGAACACATAGGGCCTGTTGTGGGGTGGAAGGTGAGGGGAGTGAACCTAGAGGATGGGTCAATCAGTACAGCAAACCACCATGACACATGTATACCTATGTAACAAACCTGCACATTCTGCACATGTACCCCGGAACATAAAAAAAAATGTGGCACTTCCCCGTAGCTCACCCTCTCTCCTGGGTTGCCATGGTAAGATGTGCTTGCTTCCCCTTCACCTTCCGCTGTAATTGTAAGTTTCCTGAGGCCTCCCAGCCATGTGGAACTGTGAGTCAATTATACCTCTTTTTTTTAAAATAAATTACCCAGTCTCAGGTAGATCTTTACAACAGTGTGAGAATGGACTAATACAGATAGTCTCAGCTAGGTAGCCACTAGCTAGTTGTAACCACTAGAAGAAAAATGCAAATCTTCCTTAGTATCAGAAGTACACACATGCACATAAAATGAATAGAAGACAGAATGCAGAGTGTTGACTTTTAAAAAACCCAAATCCCTAGAACATATAATATAAACCAATGTGACTAAAACAAGATCAAACGTCTTGGTTCTATCAATAAAAGTAAATGGGCTTAACTCACTTATTTAAAAAAGAAATTTTGAGAGACTGAATTACAAAGTAAAACCCAACATTTTATCATGTATACAAGACTCATTTAAAAACATACAAAACATTGAAAATAAATATATAGGCAAAGATATATTCAGTATACATCAATAAAAGAAATCAGGGACCATGTAATTCAGGCCAAAAAGTTTTAAGAAAGTAGAAATTATAGGAGATGCAATAAGAAATGGGTAGAAACACACTATTAATAGAAGACTTTATTTTTGTTTCTTTTAGCCCATGAGAGATCAGTGTAGAAAACAGAAAAGGATGGAAGACCCAAATTATTTGTTTAACAGGATCAATATGATTGATACATGTTGAACTCCATAGCCAGAAAATAGAGTATACACATTTTCCCCACCCTCTCTTAAATAACTGAGTCAAAGAGGAAATGCAAATACAAATTGCAGGATATTTAGCAAATGACAATAATAAAAAACATTGCCTATGAGAAGCTATGGAAGACTGTTAATATAGTGCCCAAAGGGAGGGGAAAAGTCTTAGCTGGGTGTGGTAGCTCATGCCTGTCATCCCAGCTACTTGGGAGGCTAAGATGGGTGTATCATTTGAGACCAGGAGTTCAAGACCAGCCTAGGCAACATAGTGATACCCCATCTCTAAAATAAAATAAATAATAAAATAAAATAAAATAAAATAAAATATTGGGACCTGGTGCCATGTGCCTGTATCCCAGCTACTTGGGAGGCTGAAGCAGGAAGATCACTTAAGCTGAGGAGTTCAAGGCTGTAGTGACCTATGATTACACCACTGCACTCCAGCCTGAGTGACATACCAGGATCCCTATCTCCAAAAACAACCAAACCAAACCAATAAATAGCCTTAAATAATGAACCAGTGGGAAAAAAAGACACCAGTTGAATTAAACATATGCCTCGGAAAAGTTAGAACAAGCACAAAAAAGTAAAGCAGATTGTATGATTATATACCTGGAAAACCCAAGGGAAGCAATTAAAAATATACTATCATAATAGGAAAATTTAGTAAGTTTCAAAATTAAGATATAGAAATGAGTAGCTTTCCTATATGGGAGTAAAAACCAGTTAAAAGATATAATGCAAGGGAAGACCTCATTTATAATAACAACGAAAGCACACTGCCACCAAAGCTCAGACTAAGTGTAAAGAAAGTCTGCATCACCCACCCACATGCAGGAAATAAATGTAAAAGTTCCACTGAGGGCACAGAGGACCCTTGAACAAATCGATCATCATGGCGTGTTCTTGGGGAGGCAGTCTAGCATCATAAAGATGGGAGTTCTCCCTATGTTTATTTATAAATTTAACACAATCCCACTAAAAGTACCAATAGATTTTTAAAAAGTTGAGTAAAGCTAATTGGCACACAATCTTCATTATTCACAGATTCCAAATCTGCAAATTTGTCTATTAGTTCAAATTTATGTGAACCCTCCAATCAATACTCGTGGCACTTCCCTGGTCATTTGCAGACATGCAGTGTGGCAAATTATTTGAGTCACCTATGCATGCTCTTAGCTGAGGTCAAACAAGGTGATGCTTTGCCTTCTTGTTTCAGCGTTCACACTGTAAACAAGAGTCCGTTTGTGGTCTATTTAGTGCCACTTTTTTGTGTGCGTTTTTGTGCTTTTTGTTGGTAATTTCACTATATAAAGTGGCACCCAAGTGTAATGCTGAAGAGTTGTCTAGTGTTCCTAAGTACAAGAAGGCTGTGACGTGGGACAGAAAGTACATGTGTTAGATGAGCTTTGTTCAGGCATGAGATATAGTGCTGTTGGATATGAGTTCAATAGTAATAAATCAATGTGATATTACATAAGGTGTCTTTATACAGAAACACATATAAAACAAGGTTATGTATTTATCAGTTGAGGAAAATATGACCAGAGGCTTCGAAAAACCTTATTCTGTATTTCTACTAGAAGCAATGGTCCAATATTTGCTAAGTCTATGTTCATGGTGACTTTATAGAATATAACTATCAGGAATAATGAGAATTGACTGTATATGTGTATATGAATACATACCCACACGTATCTGCATTTTCAGAATCTACCCACTTTTGAACGCTTCCACTGCTACCAACTTAGTCCAATTCACCATCACCCTTCCGAGACCATTGCAATAGCCTCCTTACTCCTGCCCCATCCTTGCCCTCCTAAAGTCTATTATCCATGTAGAATCCAGAGGAAGTTCTCACAACGTAATTCAGATTATAGTCCCCAGCTCAAAACTCTCTGATGTCTTCTCTTACTTAAGAATCCAAAGTCTTTGCCATGGCCTATAAGTTCTATATACCTCTGAGAAACCACTTCCCGCCCAACCCCTCTCTACCTCTCCAGCCAGTGGTCTCCCTTGCCGTTGCCTAAAGGACCATGTATAGTCCTCTCTCAGGTCTTTGCAACTGAGGTTTTCTCTGCCTCAGCTCCATGGCTTAGTCCCTCACTGCATTTAGATCTTGAGTTACATGCAGCTTGTTAGCAAGGCTCTCCTTGGACACCCTACATAAAATGGCACATTTCTGTCACTGTACACCTCCATTATTCTTTATTTTTCTTTATGACATTGTCACTATCTGAAATATTATGTACTTATTTGTGTACTGTCTATATACCCTAAGTAGAATGTAAGCTCGATGAGATTTTTCTCACTTCTTTATCCCTATTGAGCAACATTGGAAATAAGGATTTGCTGAATAAATGAATAAAGGGTCTAAAAAGGAAAGAATAAATAGTGAGATATCTCTATGTTCGTGAATAGAAACGGTCAATATTTTAGAGACGTCAGTTCTCTCCACATTTATTCTATGCAATTTCAATAAAAATTCAACAGGGTTTTCAAGGGTTGACAAAATGATATTAAAAGTTATAAGAATGATAAAATGGCTGTAATAGCCAAGACAATTTTGAAAGAGAAAAAAGTTGAGAGAACTTACCCTACCTGATATTAATACGTTATAAAATTTTAGTATTTACTAGAGTGTGATATGTATTGATGCAGAATAGATAGGGCAATGGATCAGACTAGAAAGCCCAGAAATAAACCCTATATATATATATATGTAAATGGCAGCTTGATGCATGTTATGTGTGACATTACACATCAGTGGAGAAGCTAGAAGAAATGGTTATCCAGGTTGGTAAAAATTAGACCCTTACATTATGCCACACTAAAAAAAAAAAATCAATTCTAAAAGAATTAAATATCCAAATGAGAAAAAAAATAAGAATGTCTCCACCTAATATTCCCAAAAGCAAATCTTGAGATAGGGTTTTGTTCTCAGTAGGTTTATTTTTCAAGTGATCACAAGGATTAGGAGTGAGGAACCAGGAAGAGGGAAAGGATGAGAAGGGAAGCCAATTGGGCTGGTCACCAGTGTGGTCAACTGAGCCTCACTCTTGCTGGGGACTCTCTGAAGAACCATAATGAATGATCCTCAGGCTGCCCATCTTAGGAATGGAAGCGAGAGTATTTATTCACTGGATCTGACTTTATTGGTCAAGATGTTCAATAAAGTAAGAAAAGTATTAAAATATCTTGGTAACCTGAGATTAGGCCAAGATTTCTTAAACAAGATTAAAAAAATAATTATAAATGATAAAACAGACCAATTACACAAGGATAAAATATTCCGTACATCAAAAACTTACAATCAAGTGAAAAGACAGGTCAAAAGGTGATATCAAAGAGGCTGGGGGAGTTTTTAAGAAACGCACCAGCATGGCACATGTATACATATGTAACTAACCTGCACAATGTGCACATGTACCCTAAAACTTAAAGTATAATAATTAAAAAAATATGGAGATCAGGCAAGGCCTCTCCATGGAGGAGACACCTGAGCTGAAACATGAATAAGAGGAAACCATTCTTACCAGGTAAAAGCATCTTATGTAGAGTCAACACGAAGTGCAAGGGTTCTGAGGCTGAACACTACTTGGTTTATTCAAGGAAGGCCAGAGTAGCAAGTGAGGGGGAATCATAAAGGATGAGGTTTAAGAGCTGATCAGGGGCAGCCTTTGTAATGCTTCATAGGCACAGTAAGAAGTTTAGACTTTTTTTTCTAGGTTCAACTGGAAACTTTTCTAGGTTCGACTGAAAACCACTGAAAGGATATAGCAGTTGGGTGGCCAACTGCTGAATGGAGAATAGGTTCTAGTGGGCAAGAATGAAAGCAGAGAGACCATTTAGGAGGACTCTGCGGTATTCCACATGCAAGATAATAGGGCTTGGGCCGGGGCAGTGGCAGGGGAGATAAAGAATGGACAAATCTGATATATAGTCTTGGAACTTGATGATAGAGAGAGTGCGAGGGGTTAGCATAGAGGGAAATCAAGCACACCTTCTACATTTTTGGCTCAAACTTAGTAAATGTAGTGCCATTTACTGAGATGAGGATTACTGATGAGGATGACAAGTTTGGGAATGAGAATCAAGAAATGTGCTTGACACATCAGATTTAAGACACCTGTTAGACTTCAGGTAGAAGTTTGGAGTAAGAAGTTGAATTTATGACTTCGCAGTTGAGGAGAGAGAGAAGAAAAGAAATATAATTGGTAGTCATTCACATATTGATAAAATTTAAAGAACAGGACTGGATGCAATTCCTAGGGAGAGAGTATAGAGACAAGGAAAGCACTCAGGTCCAATCCGTGGGGCACTCCAATACGTAGACATCAGGAAGCCACGAAGGGACCAACACCACCACCACCACCACCACCACCACCACCACCAATACTACCACTATCCACACTACCACCAACATCACCAGCAAATGACCAGGAAGGAGCTATATTAGCCAGTAGGAGATTGGGGTGTTCCAGAAGACAAGAGAAGAGAATGCATCCATCCACATGGCCCAAAGGAGACCACCTTCTCCCAGCTCACTCACCTGATCACGGTCATGCCAATACGTGCCAGGTGTTAAGAGGCAAAGGGCAGCCACAACTTCCAGTCAGAAAGGCCATGAGCAGGTGATCACTGAAGGCCATTCTCAGACAAGCCACACCAGCTCGATCTCTTTGACTGGAGGAACCAGCTTTTTGGAAACAGATCTTTTCAGGCCTCAGACCTCAGGCTCCTGGCAGGAGATTTGCCTCCCCTTCCAGCATTGCTCTACACACCTGCCGTCTACCCCCTACCTCATCTGTGAAGCCAGCAGGACATCCACCCTTGATCAATCTGTACAGTCCTCCTAGGGAGAAGCCCAGCTGCCTACTGAGAACATGTAGTCAAGAAGCAGACTGGCCCCCATAAATGAGATCCACAGGGAACCTGAATTAGCTGACAATATTGATTACCATGTGATTACTTATGACAAAGAGCAAGCAATGAAAAATCCCTGATCTTCTAATTTATAGGTCTTGACATTTCTTTACCCATCCTTTTATTTTTAATGTTTTTTCTTTGCTTGCTTTAAGTACATATTTTGTACAATCATATATTTGGATTAGATTTTCACAAGCTGGTAGAATTAATTTATTCATGCAAATTACTCATCCAATAACTATTAATCGGGCACTTACTGTGAATCAACCCACTATCCTAGATGCTGAGGATACAGTTGTGAATAAAACAAAGTCCTTGCTGGCGTAGAGCTTATGGTCTAGTGGGGAGACAGCAATGAAGAAATAAACACAGAAGATGGCAGAGTGTTTTGTGGAAAAGTAAACCAGAATAAGAACTTCAGGGAGTGGTGAATGGGGCTAGAAGTGTGTGTGGGAGGAGGATGTGTTATTTTATGTAGAAGAGCCAGGAAGAACTTCTCATAAGTCAGCATTTGAGGAGAGGCCTGACAAAAAGTCAGAGAGTAAGCCATGAATCCTGTCCTTCATTGGTCAAGATGCCCAAATCATGCTCTAGAAAGACTATTGCAGGCTCTGAGCACACTGCCTTATCCTGTGGAACTGGGAGTCACTGTGAATTGTCTTGCCATGTCCTATAGACTGAGCTATGGTGACTTCATCTCCAACGAAAAACATTCCACCATCTTCACTGTGAGCATGGGCTTGGCCAAAATCTCTCAAAATCTTGGCATCTGTGCTGAAGCCTTCCACACTATTGGTTGGGGGATCGCTTTAAATCTGGCTGTTTCTTCCATTTCACTGGATTTCCTATTTTACTCCAATAGTGATGGACAGTTTTGAAGCCTGTTTGTACGTCCTAACCCAAAACAGGTACCCTGAAGGAAGACTGAGTCTTTAGTACAGCTGTGGTCTAATTTACAAGGAAAGAAAAGTTGTGGGAGGGTTGGGAGTGTGAAATAGATAAGTAGAACAATAAAAAGGGAAGCGTGATGAGGTCCATAGGATGAGGTCTGGCAAATGGAAGTGGTATAAAGAAAGGCCATCAGTATTTTGAGATAAAAGAAAATAAAATGCAGAAAGTATTTTAATGATGCTGGGAATAATAATTAGCCTATAAACAGTAGCAATGCCTATAAAATATTACACAAGATGTAGTGTTAAAAGAAAGACACCATCAGCATCTTCACCTAAATACTGAACTAACTTCACGTTATGTATTTAGGTGAAGACAAGACAGAAAGGAAATCTGAAAATAAAATGATATGGGATCTGGAGCTCATTCAGAATGGAGAATGTGGGAGAGCTGTAGTTGAAAAATCTATATGCATCCTAGGCCGGGCACGGTGGCTCGCGCCTGTAATCCCAGCACTTTGGGAAGCCAAGGCGGGTGGATCACCTGAGGTCAGGAGTTCAAAACCTGCCTAACCAATATGGTGAAACCTCATCTCTACTAAAAATACAAAAATTAGCCAGGCATGGTGGTGGGCACATGTAGTCCTAGCTACTCAGGAGGCTGAGACAGGAGAATTGCTTGAATCCGGGAGGCAGAAGTTGCAGTGAGCCGAGATTGCACCACTGCACTCTGGCCTGGGTGACAGAGCTGGACTCCATCTCAAAAGAAAAAAAAAATCTTTATGCATCCTATTTCACTGTTTTTAGGTGAAATTCATTTCAGGCACCTCTATTTTTCCCAGTAACATTGAGCTCCACGGGCTTACATTTCTTGTAAGGCTAACTAATGAATTCCACTGACCAGATTTTAAAAATGTAAGTCTTCATAACTAACAAAAGAAATTGCTGAAGGAGATGAAAGGAAAGGCCCCTCGACCCATAGTTGTGGAAGGAGAGAGGACATTCTGCACCACAAGACTAACATAAAGAATCTGATTTGACAAAGTGTTAAATTGAGAAATTTCAAAAGAAGATCAGTCTTACTCTCTTGCAAAATATGGAAGTGTGTCTTTTCATAACCGTTACTGATTTGTTCTGTTCTATGTTAACATAAACTTGTCCTTAGGAGAGCTATTTGAAGAGGTCTTGTAATAATCCCACAAAATAGAAAATTACTGCCACTTCTCATGAAACCAGTTTCCAAAGAAACCTGTAATTCTGATCGATGGTTTTATTTGATAATTTTTGGGCCTGGCCATAATATTTTAAGTGACATCTGGATCCCTAAACTTATAAATGCTTGTAAAATTTTATATTAACTAAGTGGCATTCTGATTCTCTCATATGCAAGTAGGTAATAAATTGACTACAGATTTCCTTTTAAATAAAGATTTTGAGAGTCTTGTCTCATTTAAATTCCCTCCAGTTATTATGTAATAGAAAAAAAGATATTCATAGCAACACATAAATTTATACAATGTATAAAACTTTTTTAAAATGCCAGAATTGTACAAAAAAATTTTTAGTGGAAGAACATTACATAAGACATGAATAAAAGAGTAAAAGTCTCTGTTCTTCCCAAATTAACCTTCAAATTCAATGCTTTTTTTTTTGTTTGTTTTGTTTTGAGACAGGGTCTTGTTCTGTCACCCAGGCTGGGGTGCAGTGGTGCAGTCTCAGCTCACTGCAACCTCTGCCTCCCGGGTTCAAGCAATACTCCTGCCTCAGCCTCCTGAGAAACTGGGATTATAGGCATAAGCCATGATGCCTAGCCAGTTCAATGCATTTCTGATCAGAGCTTTCAATGGACTTGGGAAGGAGTTGGGAGAGATCTTCTTGAGCTCATTCTAAAATTCACCCCAATGAAGCATCAGGATGGTTCTACCTCTGAGCTCTTCTTTCTTTTCTGTAGTGCCTTCAATTACAAAAGAAGAACATAGAATATAGACAGGTAAAGGCAGTGTGTAATCAAAGTGGTGATTCAAATCACCATGTCACCATGCCATAGTGTGGAGAATATTTTTAAAATTCCCACCTCACTTACACAGAAAGGCAAACCCCCTGTAGATTACATATGTAAACATTAAAAATGATCAGTTATATCAAACTTCTAGAATCAAATATAAAACAATATTTTTAAAATATTGAGGAAGAAATAGCTGTTGTAAATATGATATGGAACCCAAGAACCAGTCAGAAAAAGGCTGACAAATTTGACTACATAAAAATTTAAAACTTCTCTAGGACAAAAGATTCCCTTAACAAATCTAAAAGAAAAACAACAAATGGACAAAATACTAGCAACGTATATGACCAAGATTTAATATATATAATATTTAAGAGTTCTATATTCATTCAGAATAATAAGAAAAACACCATGACTTAAAACACTGAGAGGGCCGGGCGTGGTAGCTCATGCCTGTAATCCCAGCACTTTGGGAGGCCGAGGCAGGCAGATCACAAGGTCAGGAGATCGAGACCATCCTGGCTAACACAGTGAAACACCGACTCTACTAAAAGTACAAAAAATTAGCCGGGTGTGGTGGCAGGTACCTGTAATCCTAGCTACTCGGGAGGCTGAGGCAGGAGAATGGTGTGAACCTGGGAGGCAGAGCTTGCAGTAAGCCGAGATCACACCACTGTGCTCCAGCCTGAGCAACAGTGCAAGACTCCGTCAAAAATAAACAAAAACACAACAAAACAAAACAAAGAAACACAGAGCATTCTCTGACAAAGAGTTTTATGAAGAAGAAAAAGAAATGACCGATAATAAATGAAAAATTCCTGACGACACTAAAAATGAAAACAATGCACATTAAAGCAGCTCTGAAATAAGACTTTTTATATTTCAATTTAAAACGTTTTTATTGTCCAGGTATATTAGTTTAAAAAGCAAGAAAGGACAAGTGTGTACAGAGTTACTCATTTAAATAAAACTATATTCCAAAACGTGTTAATACATGCATAGTAAAATTCTGGAAAGATAGACACCAATGTTCACAAGAACATCTATTTTCAAATCAGAATGAAAAGCAAGATGAAGACAGAATAAAGCAACATGAGCATTTTGAAAAAAATAAATGGCTACTTTAAAAGGCATTCAGGTTTTATCTTATGAAAGGAGTAGAAAAAAATGCTCCTGGAACTGACAAATTTAGTAAAGTTTCAGAATACAAAATCGATGCATAAAAATCAGTAGCATCTTTATACACTAAAAACGTTCTAGCTGAGAATCAAATGAAGAACACAGTCCCATTTACAATAGCCATAAAGAAAATGAGATCCCTAGGAATTCATCCAGCCAAGGAGGTGAAAGATATCTACAAGAAGAAGTACAAAACACTGCTGAAAGAAATCAGAGATAGCACAAATAAATAGAAAATTATTCCATGCTCATGGATTGGAAGAATCAATACAGTTTGAATGACTATACTGTTTAAATCAATTTATAGATTCAACACCATCCTTATTAAAATAAAAGCGTCATTTTTCACAGAATTAGAAAAATCTATTCTAAAACTCAGTTGGAACCATAAAAGAGCCTGAATAGCCAAAGCAATTGTAAACAAAAAGAACAAAGCTAGAGGCATCGCGTTGCCCAACTTCTAACTATACTATAAGGCTACAGTAATCAAAATGGCATGGTACTGGTACAAAAACAGACACATAGACCAGTGGAACAGAACAGAGAACTCAGAAACAAACCTGCTCACTTACAACCATCTGATCTTCAACAAAATCAACAAAAATAAGCAATGGGAAATGGACTGTCTATTCAATAAATGATGCTGGAATAACTGGCTAGACATACGAAGAAAAACGAAACTGGACCCATACTTCTCATCCTATACAAAAATTAACTCAAGATGGATTAAAGATTTAAATGTAAGACCTAAAACTATAAAAATCCTAGAATAAACCTAGGAAATACCCTTCCTGACATAGGCTTTGGCAAAGAATTTATGGCTAAGTCTCCAAAAGCAATTGCAACTCAAACAAAAACTGACAAGTGGGACCCAGTTAAACTAAATAGCTTCTGTACAACAAAAGAAATTACCAAAAGAGTAAACAGACAGCCTTCAGAATGGGAGAAAATTTTTGCAAACTGTGCATATAACGAAGGTCTGATATCCAGAATCTACAAGGAACTTAAACAAATCAACAAGCAAAAAACAAAATCCAATTAAAAAATGGGCAAAGGACATGAACAGACACTTCTCAAAAGAAGACATACAAGTGGTCAACAAACATGAAAAAAATGCCCAACATTACTAATCATCAGATAAATGCAAATCAGAATCACAGTGAGATACCATCTCACACTACTCAGAGTGGCTATTATTAAAAAGTCAAGAAAATAACAGATGCTGGTGAGGTTGTGGAGGAAAAGGAATGCTCATACACTGTTGGTGGGAGGGTAAAATTAGTTCAACCATTGTGGAAGACAGTGTGGCAATTCCTCAAAGACTTAAAGACAGAAATGCCATTCTACCCAGCAATCCCACTACCTTTAGGTATATACCCAAAGGAAAATAACTTGTTCTATCAAAAAGATACACGCACTCATATGTTCCTTATAGTGCTATTCACAAAAGCAAAGACACGGAACCAATCTAGTTGCCCATCAACAGTGAATTGGATAAAGAAAATGTGGCACACATATACACCATGAAATACTATGCAGCCATAAAAAGAATGAAATCACACCCTTCGCAGCAACATGGATGGAGCGGAGGCCATTATCCTAAGCAACTTAATGCAAGAACAGAAAACCAAATACTGCATGTTCTTACTTACAAGTGGAAGCTAAACATCGAATACACATAAATGTGAAGATGAGAACAAGAGACACTGGGGACCACTAGATGGGGCAGGGGGAGAGGGTGGCATGGGCTGAAGAACCATCTGTTGGGTACTATGCTTACTGCCTGGGTGATGGGATTTTTGGGACACCAAGCCTCAGCATCACACAATTTACCCATGTAACAAACCTGCAAATGCACCCTTTAATCTATAATAAAAGTTGAAAAAAGAAAATGATGATAATAAACCTTAGCATTAAAAAATAGTTCATTTGTAACATAAAAATTAAGTAAATTCTTATTTGTTCTTACTTCTTTTCCCACTGTGTTTTTCCAAAGTAGAATTGTTTTCAACATCCATGGTATCTAGAAAGTGACAGGTAGTGGTCAGAGAACTGTAATTTATAAGTAAAATTTATAAATCTTATGACAATTCACACTGCATGGAAGGCTTGCGTTTATAACAATATTCTGAGTATAATTTATCTGTCTTCCTTCCAAAGGAAACAGACACTGAATTGATGTCTAAGGTCTTCGTCTAGTTCTCTGAGACTTTGAAACAGCTCTTCATTACTTTTATGCACCAATTTCCTCATTTATGAAACAGGGACAGCAACGGTTATCCTGTTCAGCTTTAAAATTTTTATGAATATTAAATATCTTACTTGCAAGAGTTAATAGGAAATCACTATATAAATCAATAACAGTCCAGAGGATATCTTTCAAAACAATGTATTTTTAGCATAAGAGTAGGTATCTGATTTTTCTTTCCTGACAGGTAGCAGGACTATTTGTCTTTTTAGGCCTTTCCAAAGTTGTGACAAAATGACACTATTACCTGTGAGTGGAAGAACATGTTTTCTTTTTTTTTTTTTCAAGAACAAGGATGGAACTCGCTTTATAAATTCAACACTTTACTATTGATATGCTAATATAGTGAGATACTACTATGTTTACCAGTGTATTTTTTTACCACCTAACCAAGAGAGCCCATTCTGTTAAATATGGCTTTATAATGATCTCTTGCCTCCCTGCAGTTCCCAAAAGGGTCGGGTTAAGCAAATGTAGAGAACAGGATTCTGGCGGCACCAAACCTGTTCTTTGTCACAGTCTGCTCACAGTCAAGTGCAGCAGGAAACCGGGACTATGATTTCAGACTTTTGAAATTCTGAAGCTTGGGGCCTGTGGGCCCACTTCCTGTTGGTGATCCAGAGGCTGTTTCATGCTTTGCTTCAACTCTGATCACTTCCCACATCCCTACCCAGTGTCTGTGATATCCACTGAGCCACTTCCATCCCAAGACCCTAGGGTAGCCTTACCCATCATGTCAGATGCTTGACTACTTTCAGTCCTTGCTTCTTGGCTTCTTGGCACACCTTTTGGAAAACACATGACACAGGAGCACTTCTTATTTTCAGGTTCTTGTGGCTGTGATCCTAAATTGTGATTTGTAAACATTTTTATTTGTGCCCACTCCCCTTCAAAGATTCTCCTTCCCCCCAACATTAGTGACTGCCCACTCCCCACAGCTAAATTAAGGGATGGGCTCTACATCTGAAATCTCTTTTTCTTTTGTGGTTCCTCACTGTATTTTTCCCTTCTGTTCATAAATAACCCTGAGAATTTCATCTTGAAATAAAGGGTCAATTAATAGTTTGTTTCAGTGATGAAGAACACTGGAGGAGCAAAGGCTGGTTTTAGGGAAAAAGATGATGTGCTCAGTTTTGGAGGTGTTAAGTTTGAAGGTCTTGAGTAACATCCAAGTGGTGAAGTCTAAGGCCTTCAGAATCTCCAACAGGAGCCTTCTGACACTTGGATGAATGAGTTTAGAAGACAGGGCTGGCTGGAGATACACATGTAGGAATCATGAGGTTGTGGGTGGTGACTGAAATCACAGGAGTGGATGAAATGCCTGGGTGAGGCCTTTTTTAATCTGGGTGAGTCAGAGGGGCCAGGGGACACCTTATTCTGAAAACTTACTGCTATTGTGAATCATGCCTTGTGCTAAAGTTGCTTTTATCTCATGGTCATTTCAGATCCTACAATTTCTCCATCATTCTCTTCTCTCCCATTTACACTTCCCCCTTCTTGCCTCCATTTTTCTCTCATCTTTTAATTCTTTCTCTACATACTTCTTGTTGTACCTAATTTTTTACACCACTCATCACCCTTTGAATGTATCTCATTCCACCTGTTTTTCTGTTTATATCTTTAGATCTAGTTTTATTATTGAGGTGAACTTCTTTCTACTATCACTTCCTCCTTCTATTCTCTCTTCTAGCTTGTTTCTCTGAATCTTGTCTTGACTTTTTTTTTTTTTTTTTTTTTTTTTGAGACGGAGTCTTGCTCGATCGCCCAGGCTGGAGTGCAGTGGTGCGATCTTGGTTCACTGCAAGACCTGCCTCCAAGGTTCACGCCATTCTCCTGCCTCAGCCTCCTGAGTAGCTGGAGCTACAGCTGCCTGCCACCATGCCTGGCTAATTTTTTTTGTTTTTAGTAGAGATGGGGTTTCACCGTTTTAGCCAGGATGGTCTTGATCTCCTGACCTCGTGATCCGCCCACCTCGGCCTCCCAAAGTGCTGGGATTACAGGCATGAGTCACTGCGCCTGGCCCTTATCTTGATCTTGACTCTTTTTGCAATTTCAATCTTTGTCTTTATCCACATTTTCTTCATCTATATTCATCTTTATCTCACAGGTTATTACTTTCATCACCAAATGCCTGCTGTTAGGACACTGACCACATAGCCATCTCTATTACCTTTGTCTGTTCTTTATGAGCTTTCTACCTTGCAAGGCTGTCAATCAATCAGCAACTTTATTTTCACGTTTCTGGTACAATTTCTGAGAAGTGTGTTGAAAATTATCCCTCCCTCCCCCACAAAATTCCCCTACCTGGAATATTTGAATTCCTTGTCCACTTAGAAAAACTTGAAGCTGACTCTTATATCTTTTCATTTGGTGACTCTAGCCTACCTTTCTCCATTCTTTCTCCTTACTTTATCCACTCAGTGTCTCCTCCCTCCATTCAGGAGCCCAGCTCTTCTTTTTCTTTTCGCTCCCTCAAACCTGTCGCAAGCAGCCCGAGTCTGTGCACAAGTCTTTGTGTGTGTGGTGTGTATGTGTGTGTGCATATGTTTTGGGGGAGAGGTAAGGAAAAGAAAAAAGAACTTTTCCTCCATGCAAGTAGGAAAAAAAAGATAATTAATAATGAACTGAACATCATAATCGGCTTCTCCATCACAAGCTAATGGGCTGCATCTCTTCTGACTCTCTTTGTGTATTCATTGGAGGAGCTCTAAATTCACAGGACAATGAAGACAAACAAGGAAATAATAGACTATAGACAGTGACGAGGAAACCAGGGAACCTGTCTCAATGTGGTCATGCTGAACTATTTTCAGAGCTTAAACGGACTGACAAAAAAATACACCTATATCAATGAGTACACCTCATAGCCCTACTCTATCTGGCCACACTTCGTTCTCCTTCTCACTTCTCATTTTTCTGCCCATTGCCCTGCTGCTATACATTTTTGTCTCTGTCTCTTTGATTCGGTGAGCTCATCTCCCTTTGATTTATCTTGTCTCCTGTGTTGCTTTTTCTGTTTCCATCAATGATGTTCTGTTCTCCTTTATTTCTATGTTTATCTATTTTGCTTCTGTCTTTCTAGGTATTTTGTATATTATATAGCTGGTTCCATTCCTATTATCTCTGTCTGTTTGCGATTTTTATTTTTCCCTCCCCCTAAAGATTATATGTATTAACCAATATACATATATACACACACATATGTGTGTGTTTATGTATGTATACATGTTATATGTAACAAATATATGCATGTGTACACACACACACACACACAGTGGTTGTTAAATAAGCTTTCTTGCATCAGGCACTGGTATAGTCTCCTGTGAATATTCTGAGTTCCTTGCGCATCTTCTTTGGACTTTGACTTAAATGACACAGCTCTTATCCTCCTGTCTGTTACATACAACAGTCACCCACCGTGAGACACCTGGGTTGCTAGTTTCTATTGTTTCTTTAGTTTTTTGGCCCTAATACTTCTGTACATCTATTTCCTCACCCCAAAATGGGTATAGTTAGCCTGCCTATGTCTTAAAAATTTTGTGATGACAAAATAAGATATTATTTGCCAAAAGACATTGAAATAACACAATATAATCCAATTACATGATGAAGGACATCTACCAAAAACTATACTAACGTTTGAGAGTGTTTGATCTGAAGTTTTTATTTCTGTCTATAATTACATAGTAGGAACAGTTGTCTTTTGAGGCTTTACAATTACAAATGACAATGATGTCAACCCATTTATCACTATAAAAATCTAAGATCTTAGTGTTAATAGGAATGAGAGCAGGTTTAAAAAAAAGAATACCACAAATTTGCTATTTATTTCTTCTACAACAACAAAATATAATTACATACATTTAGTCAGTGAAACTCTTTCTGTTAAACATGAGTTTATCATAATTTCCTGCCTCTTTCCATTTTCTAAAATGCAAAAAGGAGTTCCCAGATGAACTGGATACAAGGTAGTGAAGGTGCTCAGAATAAAAAGCGTCTGGAAACAGCAGCTTTTAATTCACATTCCTGACATTCTGCAGGCCAAGTCTTGGCATCCTAATCTTCTTTACCTGACCCTCTTCTTAGGGATGAGCTGCAGGTTTCCTGAAGCTCTTCTCCATTACTCAGGTCTGAAAAGTCACTACTGCTGAAACCTGCAGAAAAAAATAAAATTCCTTAACAGTCTTAGTCTGAGTCTTAGGAATCAGCAGGGAATTCTTTAAAAGCAAAACTGAACAAGAGAAGCTTGTGGAGGAGGGGGAGAAATAGTCCCACCACTAGGCCACCCTTTGGCTTTGATCATCTGACCTGTTGGTCAAGATTGCTCCAGGAGCCCTCTCTGAGGCTGGGGCTGGGGATGACATTGTTTCTTCTTCTTTTTTTTTTTTAACTTTGGGAAAAATATGTATTTATTATAAATCATCCATTTCATTGGGTGGTTTCAAATTAAGAAAGCAATATATGCTTGTCATAAGAAGACCAATGAATGCAAATGTATATAACCCCAAAGCTCTCTTTTCCTACCCTATTCTGTCTCTGGTCTCCCAGCTAGTGAAGTCAACAGATCAGTGTGGATCCTTCCATCGTTTTCTCCTATCTCATTCATGCATAATCAAATAAAAGGAACATACATAATGTTCAATCTTTTCTGAATACAATCCTAGGACAACGTTGTTTCTTACGCTTCTTAGGCTTTCATTATTAGTTTGCACATACTTCTGCTTCCATCTCAGTTTCTTATCCAAGGGAACCATGGAAGCAACATCTTAAAGATGTCAGAGCCCCCATCAGCTGGGCCCTGAATGACTGTGTGGGCACCCCCTCTACTCAGGAACTACTTTATCCTATTTATGTGAGTGAAAAATAAACTTATGTTGCACTTGTGCCTTTGAACATTTTGAGGCTTATGTTTTATACCAGCCCAACTCATCTAATTGAAAATGTAAAATGCAAATCATCTAAAATCCCAACAAATTAATTTTTTATTTTAAAGGATATAACATAAAAAGTGAATGTAGCTTTTGCAGCAAATAAAGACATTTGTTACATCAAGAGTTTTTAATTGCTCTTACGTCTCTTCCTGCTGGGTATTCTCCAAGTAGATGTACTTCTAGAAGTCATAGGAGCTAGAAAGTAAAGGAAAACCAAATCAATAATATCTAACTAAAAGATCTATAAATCTTATGACTGCTTACACTGTTGACAGAATTTGGACTATAAATATTCTATGAGGATCATTTCTGTCTCTTCCCATCTAAGGGAAAGAGATTACTATCAAATGGAGCACAGACCCACAATCCTTTAGCCCTAATTGCAAAATCAATGACTTTTTTTTTTTTTTTTTTTTTTTTGAGACAGGGTCTCACTCTGTCAGCCAAGCTGGAGGGCAGTGGTGCAATCTTGGCTCACTGCAGTCTTGACCTTCCAGGCTCAAATGATCCTTCCACCTCAGCCTCCCACATCACTGGGACTACAGGCATGCACCACCACCATGCCCAGCTAATTTTTTGCATTTTTTGGTAGAAATGGGGTTTTGCCATGTTGCCTAGGCTGGTCTTGAACTCCTGGGCTCAAAAGATCCACCTGCCTCAGCCCCTCAGCCTCCCAAAGTGTTGGGATTATAGGCGTGAGCCACCACACCTGGCCTCAAAGATATTTTAATAACCAGTATTGTTTTCATAGGTTTGCAGCTAACTAATTTGGCAGTGAATCTGGACTTGAGTTGCCATGAGTCCGTGTAAAATCTTATCATATTTGGTGTGAATATTTATATAATTTGCTGTATAAACATTAGTATATTTGAGAATGGGATTCTTCCCTGGATCCTACTAGGGTATTTTGTTGTATATAGAATATAAACCACATTGTCTTTCTAAAATAATAAAACATTTTTTGAACTTTGAAGTACATCTGGCTTTGAAGGTTTTATAGAGGATTATGAATGTTTATTAAGAGTTTGGGTTGTTAGTCTTGTCTCCTCCTATAACTTTCCATATGTGATGTGCAAAGAAAAAAGATCCTTAAGTGTGCCTTAGTTTCCCCATCTGTCAAATGGGGGGAACAATAGTTATCTCACCCACCTTTTAGGTTGTTGTAAAGATGCAAGTAGATCTTATTTGTAAATATATTTTCAAATATCACTATTTGGCCAATTTCATGTTGGGGGCCATCTGTCAAAAGCTATGAATTGAATCTGATGGTAAGAAACAGGAGGCTTTCTTTCTGTCAATAACTAGAGAGTATGACCAGAAGCTTTGGAATTTTGAACAAGTTGGTGACAAAATCAGGCAATAACAGACTAGTGTACTTTCTTTTCTTTACAAAACAGAGAATGAGCAGAAGTAGAAATCACTACATAAATCCAATACTTTGGAGTTAATAGGTCTGGCAGTGATATGGTTTGGCTGTGTCCTCACCCAAATCTCATCTTGAATTCCCATGTGTTGTGGGAGGGGCCTGGTGGCACGTAATTGAATCATGGGGAGAGATCTTTCCTGTGCTGTTCTTGTGATAGTGAATAAGTCTTACAAGATCTGAATGGTTATATAAGGGGGAGTTTCCCAGCAGAAGCTCTCTTCTCTTGTCTGCCACCATGTGAGACGTGCCTTTCACCTTCTGCCATGATTGTGAGGCCTCCCCAGCCATGTGGAACTGTAAGTCCATTACACCTCTTTCTTTTGTAAATTACCCAGTCTCAGGTATGTCTTTATCAGCAACATGAAAATGGACTAATACAGGCAGTATGTAGTAAACAGGCCACTGCCACTCAACCACAACCATCTTGTTAAGCCTGAATTTAGAGTGACTTCTTTCTTTGCATTTTTCAAAATGGCCAGATGAGGTAGATGCAGAGAACTGGCTCCTGGATAGCTGTTGTGTGTGCTCAGAGCACAGTGCATCAGGGAAGAGGTGCTCTGAAGTCAGAGCCCTGAAGTCAAGGGAGCTGTTCTTACCCTTCTCACCATGCTTGCTTCTCAGTGCCCCGCTCGAGGCTTCTGCGGGCGCCTCCTCCTCACTGGATTCTGAAAAGTCGTGGTCTTGTCCTATCACTGCAGAAAGGAGCAAATGTCCTTTGGAGCTCTCAATGTATGATAAGGGAACCAAGTCAGAATAATATTCTATGAAAAGGAAACTAGGAAAATTTGTGATGCTCTGAAACTTCAGGGCAAGAATGTCCGTGCCTCAAACCTCCATGATCTGCCTTTTCATTCAGATTTGTGTGGCTCAAGGTTAGTATTTTATCCCTCACTGTCACCTGAGCCTGAGGCTGAGAAAATTTTAGCCCCAGTGGGCATCTCTGCTTTGTCTTGGCCCTCTGTCTTCTTACACCACATTATCTTTCTTTCTTTACTTGTCCCTTTATGGTTTTGTTGTGGTTTTTGTATATGGATTTGTATTTATTTGTAAATTTGCTTCTCTCTCAGGGCAACCATGAAAGTCTAGGATGGGAGAAGGCAGATCTTCTACTTGCCTGCTTCCCTGAAGAACTGCTTGAAACAGAGCCCAACCTTTCCCTCATCTAAAAATCCTTGAAATATTCAGTTGAAAAAAATACAAACTTCTACTAAAAAAATAAAAAACCTTCTGTTGTGTTGGGGTCATTGACTTCTTTGGGTTCATATGTTATAGCAGTTAGCCAACCTCCCTAATACAAAGGCTAAAATAGGAACCATTGAAATTTAAAGCAAATTTATATTTTACTTTGAAGGATATAGCAAGGAATTAGACTGACTCTTTTGTAGAAAATATTGTTCATTTATAACCATGAAGAGAAGTTATTTTCTCTTACCTCTTTTCCTAAAGCTTTCTCTTACCTCTTTTCTTAAAACTTTCTCTGAATGTAGATAATTTTCTGAAATCCATGGGCTCTGTAAAGTAAAAGGGAGAAACCCGTTATTTGTATGCAAGAGACTTATAAATTCTATGACAACTGACATGGCAAATGGGCTTGGGTTAATAACAAAGTTTTTTTTTTTTTTTTTTTGAGATGGAGTCTTGTTCTATCACCCAGGCTGGAGTGCAGTGGTGCAATCTTGGTACACTGTAGCTTCTGCCTCCCAGGTTCCAGTGATTCTCCTGCCTCAGCCTCCTGAGTAGCTGGGATTATAGTTGTGCACCACCAAGCCCGGCTAATTTTTGTATTTTTAGTAAAGACGGGGTTTCACTGTGTTGGTCAGACTGGTCTCGAACTCCTGACCTCAGGTGATCCACCTGCCTCAGCCTCCCAAAATGCTGGGATTACAGACCTGAGCCATCGTGCCCTGCCAATAACAAAGTTTTGATGAGCGTTTTTCTCTCTCTCCTTCTAGTGAATCCAGTTCTGGAGGTTCAGGGTCATAATGTTGGGATCCTGCCCAGCTCTCTCCATAATCCTCTGTGTGTATTATTTGGAAATGCCTCTTTTTAATTAATTTTTTCAACTTCTATTTTAGGTTTGGGGGTATATGTGAAGGTTTGTCACATGGGTAAATGTGTGTCACAGGAGTTTGTTGTACAGATGATTTCATCACCCAGGTATTAAGCCCAGTACTCAATAGTTATCTTTTCTTCTCCTCTCCCTCCTCCAACCCTCCATCCTCAAGTAGACCCCAGCATCTGCTGTTTCCTTCTTTGTGTTCATAAGTTCTTATTATTAAGATCCCACTTACAAGTGAGAACATATGGTATTTGGTTTTCTGTTTCTGCGTTACTTTGCTAAGGATAATAGCCTCCAGCTCCATTTACGTTCTCTCAAAATACATGATCTCGTTCTTTTTTACTTATTTTTTTTGAGACAGGGTCTCACTCTGTCACCCAGGCTAGAGTGCAGTGGCACAATCGTAACTCACTGCAGCCTCAACTTCCCAGGTTCCAGTGACTCTCTCACCTCAGCCTCCCGAGTAGCTGGATCACAGGTGCACACACACTACCATTCCTGGCTAATTTTTTTTTTTGAGATGGAGTCTTGCTCTGTCACCCAGGCTGGAGTGCAGTGGTATGATCTTGGCTCACTGCAACATCCCTCTCCTGGGTTCAAGTGATTCTTTGGCCTCAGCCTCCCGAGTGGCTGGGACTATAGGCAAGCGCCACCATGCCTGGCTAATTTTTGTATTTTTAGTAGAGACAGGGTTTCACCATATTGGCCAGGATGGTCTCGAACTCCTAATCTCATCATCTGCCTGCCCCCGCCTCCCAAAGTGCTGGGATTACAGGAGTAAGCCACTGCACCCGGCCCATGCCTGGCTAATTTTTGTATTTTTGGTAGAGGTGGAGTTTCTCCATGTTGTCCAGGCTGATCTCAACTCCTGAGCTCAAGCCACCTACCTGCCTTAGCCTCCCAAAGTGCTGGGATTATAGGTGTGAGCCACTGCGCCTGGTCATAAATGACTCTTAAACACCACTAGCTCCCATTTTCTCACATATAAAGCAGGGATAAACTAGTTACCCTACCTCCCTGTTAAGGTTTTTGTGATGGGGAAATGAAGGTTCATTTTCAAAAGCCCTGTGAAAAATCACAATGTAAGCCAATAAGTGAACTATAATTTGGGTTTGGGTGTAGTTGAAGTCACTTTTTTTTTGCCATTAATAATTAAATAGCAGCACAAAGTATTCTTTGAAGACTTTCTGAGCTTGTGATTAAGACAATAATTATCAATGAACAAAGGAAGACTGTGCTTATCATGCTCTATCAAATATAAAGGGTAGTAGTAGAGAATAAGTACATTATTTCAACTCTTGAAATAATAACTCTTGATAGTTTGTTGTTAAAAAGACTGTTATTTTACTAGCATATTTTTGCTACATTTTCAATGTATCAATCGATTGAACCAATCCAGTTAAACAAGAGTTTATAACACCTTCCTAATGTCTTCCATTTCTCAACAGGGCCAGAGAGGTTAAATGTAGAAAGTGATATTCTAGAATTTATGGAATCAAGGCATAAGGAGACCACTCAGAATGAAATTAATCAAGAAAACAGAGCTCTGGATTTGTACTCTGGATATTCTACAGTCTCGGGTTGCAACTCTAATATTCTTACCTGGTACAATCTGGGGTCGTGAGCAAGTGGCTTCTTGGCCCTCCTTTTCATCATTTGATTCTAAAGGGTTGTCATTATTGATCACTGCACAAAAGAATGGGATTCTTTAGAGGTCTCAGTGTGTGACCAAGGAATCAGTTCAGTAGGAAATTCCCTAATAAGAAAACCTGGAAAACCTTGAAAATCCGTGCAAGTCCTCGCCTGTACACAGGCCATGCTTGTCTTGCCTTTCAACTAACCTTCATTGTGGGTTAGTGATACTCCATTCTTGTCCCCAGAGGGAATATTTGCCTTGCTTGGCCTTTGCTTTCCCACGCTTCTTTTACTTCTTATCCCTTCTGCTTGCCATTCCACATTTCCTTTGTTTCTGCTTCTATTTTTCATGCAGGGGGACCTTGAAGATCTTCTGTTAAATTCGTGAGCTTTTTCTACCTCCCACCAACCCAGTGCCTTGCTGAATTGTTTACAAGGCTGAGAAATAATCTCCTCATGTATTTGAGCCAAAGACATATTTTGGGACTATTTTTTACAGCAGATTGCTTACACTAAGTTCAAAGTTAGAGTACATATTGTCTAAAAACTAATGCAAATTTACATTTTACTTTGAAAGATACAGTGAGCAATTAGAATGAATGTATTATTACATTGTTATTTTATAACATCAAGATGAGGTTCTTCTTTGCTCTTAGGTCTTTCCCTAGTGTATTTTCCCTAAAGTGGCATATTTCTAATATCCTCTGGATCTAGAAAGTAAAGGGCAAAACAAATCAACCAATTTGCATACTTATGTTATGATAAGTATTTATGTTATAAATCTTATGACAACTCATGCTGCAAATAGGATTGAGATAATACAAGATTTTAATAATGTTTCTCTCTTTCATTTCACAAAGGAAGTAACTCAGAATCCAGGATGCTAGTCTTGTCTTTCCTTTAATTTACCATGAGATTTTGGAGATGACTTTGAAACATTTATGCAATTGTGTTCTCTCATCTAGGAAACAAGGACGAGAATCTCTCTTCTGTTTACCCCTTTAAGGTTATTGTAAATTTAAAAATAAGACAATTTGCAAAAGTCTTTCAAAAAATCACTAAATGTGCCATGACTTGCTGAAGAACTCTATCAGAAACAATACTTCAAGTTTCAGAATACTTTATCTCAGGTGTTTGTTTTTGCCAACACCAGATAGTTGGATGAGATGTCTTTTGACCCTATTCAAAGTTTGTGATCAGATGACAATAACATCTTCCCATAAAGGAATATTTAGTTTTCTGTTCTCTATAAAAATCACTATATAAATCTAACACTATATAGGCATAGCAACTAGTTAGTTTTAAAAACAAACTCATCACTTGGCTAGCCTATTCCTACTATATAATCAATGTATGGGTATGAATATTGATTAATAGAATCCATCAAGAAAGAAGGCTAATTCTCAAAAATAAGTTTATAACAATTTCTTGTCTCCCTGCATTTTCCAAAAAGGTCAAGTAAAATTAATGCAAAGAATGGGATCCCAGGATAAACTGGATCCATTGTACAGAATGAGCTCAGAATAAAATGCCTCAGGAAATAGTAGCTCTTAAATCAGATTCCCACAGCCCAAGCCTTGCTCTCCCAAACTTCCTTACCAGGCTCACTTCTCGGTGCTGAGATGAAGACTTCTAAGGGCTCATCAACGTCAGTGGATCCTTCAGAGTCCTCACTGCTGATGACTGCACAAAGGAGCAAAAACCATTAAGAGTCTCAGGGTGTGACCAAGGAGTCCATGCACCAGGAAATTCCACAATGAGAGCACTAGGAAGACCCAGGAAGCTAAGTTAACTCAAGACCCTGGGGTGTTCCTTGAATGCATGCCACCTGCAGTTTGTTCCAAGTTCTTAACCAAAAGCTGATAAAATTGACACACAGAAGGCAGTTGTGCCCATCCACTGACACTGTTCTTACCCCAACCCTCATTCTATTTTTTTCTTTCACTCTCATTTTACTTCTCATCTTTCCTCTTTGTTCTGCCATCTCCCCTGCTTCTGCCTCTGTTTCCAGCGATGGTGTCTCTTTATACCTCTCTTTGTCTTGATGTGTTTCCCTCCCCATCTCCTCTTGTGAATATCTTGGCTCTCTGATTTTTTTTTTAACTCCTCTCCCATGCCTTCCTCTCTTTTTTATTTTTTATTTATTTTTTCCTTTTTTTTTTCTTTTTTGAGACAGAGTCTTGCTCTGTTGCCCAAGCTGGAGTGCAGTGGCGGAATCTTGGCTCACTGCAACTTCCGCATCCCAGGCTCAAACGATGCTCCTGCCTCAGCTTCCTAAGTTGCTGGGACTACAGACATGTGTCACCTTGTCTGGCTAATTTTTATATTTTTTGTAGAGATGGGGTTTCGCCATGTTGCCCAGGCTGATCTTGAGCTCCTGGACTCAAGCGATCCCCCTGCCTTAGCCTCACAAAGTTCTGGGGTTACAGGCATGAGCCATCAGGCCCAGCCCTCTCTGACTTCAGAAATAGCCTCTCTGACATTCTTACTGATTACCTCCATTTCTGTCTTCTGGTATTTTCCCAACTCCTAAGGACTTTCTTCTGTCAAGCTGAAGACTCACTGCATCAGGTGCCAGCCCCTTTCCCTTCCTGCCTCCATCCCAGGCTACCTGCACTGCCCCGATGGTCCGTGATGAAGTCCCTGAGCCCCTTACCTGGTAACCTGTGACTCACAGTTACAAACTCTCCCAGTCAGCCTTACCTATTATGTCAGATGCCTGGTTATGATGAGTTCTTGCTTGGGCTTGGCACTCAACTTTTGAATTAGAAAATGGCTTTTCCTTTTTTATATCCACCAGTCGCACAGAACAGGAATTAATTTGGATTCCATGGTTGTGTAGCTCTGCCTCTGGGCCTAATTGTAATAAATGAAGAATTTTCATTTGTGTCCCCAGTGAACCTCCTTCACTATCATTAATAACTCCCCCTCTCTGCAATTTCACTGCTGGGGCTAGACCTTCACCCCACCTCCGTGTTTTTCCTTTTGCTCAACTCTGTCCCTTCCTTTGTGCCTCTCTTGGCTCTGTTTTGTTTTTTACCTTTCCCTTTACCTACTCGTCTCATTCTTTGATGGTTAATATTTTGCTTTTTAAAAAAAATAAAAATTATAATTGCAGTATAAGACACATGAATAAAAGTGGGTTTTGAATGATCACGAAGGAAGTAAATCACTTTGATCAAGAAACAGATTACCGGCCGGGCGCGGTGGCTCACGCCTGTAATCCCAGCACTTTGGGAGGCCGAGGCGGGTGGATCATGAGGTCAGGAGATCGAGACCATCCTGGCTAACAAGGTGAAACCCCGTCTCTACTAAAAATACAAAAAATTAGCCGGGCGCGGTGGCGGGCGCCTGTAGTCCCAGCTACTCGGGAGGCTGAGGCAGGAGAATGGCGTGAACCCGGGAAGCGGAGCTTGCAGTGAGCCGAGATTGCGCCACTGCAGTCCGCAGTCCGGCCTGGGCGACAGAGCGAGACTCCGTCTCAAAAAAAAAAAAAAAAAAAAAAAAAAAAAAAAAAAAAAAAAAGAAACAGATTACCAATACCCCAGACACCTCCTGGTGACACTTCCCATTAACTGTTTCCACTAACTTGCTCAAAGACAACTACCATTGAGGTTTCCAACACTAAGGTTAATTTTGCTTGTTGTGTAATTTATAAAAATGGAATAATCTCTTTTCTCTCCACTCTTTCTTTCTCCCTTTACCTCTCTCTCAATATATATAGATCTCCCAAAAGAAGCCAAATCCCCCAAAATTGTATGGATATTTTACTCAACATGCTTGTGAAAGTCATCTGTATTCGTTTTGTATAATTATTTTCACTACTAGATAGTATTCCATTATAGAAATAAGCCATGAATTATTTATTCATTTGTACAATTTCAAGCATTTGGCTTCTATGAATAATGCTGCCTTGAGCATTCTTTTCTATGTGTTTTGGTGACATAACACACATTTCTGTTGGTTTCTGCTGAGGAATATAATTGTTGGGTTATAGGGTATGTATATTTTCACCTTTGGAAGATTACCCCAAACTGTTTTCCCAAAAGCATATATAAAGGCAGAGATGAAAGAAAGAGAGCTTGGCAAATTCCAGTAAGTAAAGGAAGCTTAGTGTGGTGGGAATGTGGCATGAAAGGGCGAGAGGTGGGTGACGGGGAACGCGCAGGTGCGTGGTAGACATCCTTCAATTCACCACTCCAAGCAGTGTTGATCTACTGCTAAGGGCCACACGAAGGCACTGGGTTTCAAACAGGAAAGTCATATCAACTGGTTTCTATTTTGGAAAAGTCCATTCAACTGAAGTGCAGACTTGAGAGGAGCAAGACTGGGGGCCAGACAGGAGACTGTTCCTCTAATTTTAGTGAGAGTGACAGGGGTCTAGATTAGGGTGTTCGTGCTGGGGATGAAGAGAAATGGACAAGTTAGAGATATTTTAAAGTTGGGATTGACACAAGTGGCAAATGAAATGATGATTGTTTTAAGCCACTAAGTTTCAGGATAGTTTGTTACATGACACAGCAATAGATGACAGATGCAGCTTCCAAAGAGAGATGTTCTTCAGGTCTTTAAATAAAGGTCTTCAGGCAATTGGGGAAGGGAGTCAACAGGACAGGTCTGAGCTGGAGATGTATGTTTAGAAATCAACAGATCTTAGATGGTGATTGAGCCATGGAGAGGAAGTGATGCCTGAGGAGAGGCTTATTGTAATCTGGGGGTGGAGGTGGAGTCACAGGGGCCATTTTGATAAGAGGGCAGCTGATCTTTCTCCATAGTAATAGGACACCCTGTGCCTCCTTTCTAGCTCTTATCTCCTCAGATCAGAGAATGTCTTGATTTGTCTTCTCTCTTCCCTTCTTTGCATGATCCACTCTCTACCAATTTTTCATTCATTGTCCTTTAACTCATTTTCTGCATACTTCTCTTTGTGCCTCCCTCCATTTTTCCTATTTCTTGGTATTTATTTCCCTCTATGTTTTTTCTATTCATAGTCTTTTTATCTACACTTTTTAAAAATTATTGTCTCTTAGAGACAGAACCAGGGTGAGGTGAAGGTGGTGCTATGGGGTGCCTTGAAATTTAAGGAAGCTCAGTCTCACATGCCAAGTGAGGTCTCCTTACATGCTGTGCCCTGGGGGCCTCCCTGCCTCACCTCGTGCCAGGCCTGTTGTCCCATATGTAATGTTGCATCTCTGTTACATTTCCTACCTGCTTTGAGTCGGCCCTTATTTCTTAATTATTAACGTTACCTCTGCAAGCTTCTTCTATGTCACTTTTTTTTCAAAAATACTTTCGCATCTGATGTGTGAGTGCTATATCACTTTTTGTCTTTCTATATCTTCCTCATCTCAAACATTCCCATCATTACGAAAGGTCTCTTCCAGTGCCATTGTCTACCACACCAGAGGCCCTCCACTTGCCATTCCTTCCTGAAGGTCTTTCACCTGGGCTTCCTTCCTTTGCAAATCTGACAAGCAGCATCATGCATAATTTCTACGTTTTCATGATAACTTCTGAAAAGTAACTTGCAACATATTTCTATTCAACAACTCCACAACATGACAATGTATGGATACCATGTCACTTTATCTAAAATCTGTCTCACTCATACACAGTTGACCCTTCAACAACAGGGGCTTGAACTACATGAGTCCACTTGTATGCAGATTTTCTTCCACCTCTGCCACCCCTCAGACAGCAAGGCCAACCCCTCCTCTCCTTCCTCCTTCTCAAACTACTCAATGATGAGGATGAAGGTCTTTATGATTACCTATTGCCACTTAATGAATAGTAAATATATTTTCTCTTCCTTATGATTGTATTAATAACATTTTCCTTTGGAGATCTTACTTCATTGTGAGAATACAGCACATAATACGTATGGAAAATATGTGTTATCATCTGTTTATGTTATCAGTAAGGCTTCTGGTCAACAGCAGTTGTTAAGTTTTGGGGAATGTAAAAGTTATGTGCAAATGTTTGACTGCATGGGGCATTGGTACCCCTAACCTCCCACAGTGTCCAGGGGTCAACTGTGTTTTGTTATTTAATATTCCCTAGTTGACCTCTTTTGTATTCTTTCTTCTTGCATTCTCTAACCAGGGACAGTCCCTCTGTTAAAAAGACTCACTCTCTTTTTCCCTTCCATCTCATACCTGTTAAAAGCAGCCAGAGGCTGTGAACAAAGTCTGTGTGTCTTGGATGAGTGTAGGCAGTTAGTATGAGAAAACAAAGGGAAGTTTTGCCCTTATAGAAAAATAAAGATATAATTAGAAAATTGGGGAGAAGTAGAGCAAGATGGGAGAATAGGACTCTCCAGCCCTCCATCCCCTGCAGAAACACTGATGTGAACAACGACCTATGCATGAAAATACCTTTGCAAGAGCTGAGGAAACCAGATGAAAGATCACAGCACCTGAGTGAAACACAGAAATAAGAAAGAGCACATTGAAAAGGGCAGGAAGAAAAGTTTCACTGTGTCATCTTCCCCAACTCCAGGAAGCACAGCATTGAGCAAGATACAATATGCTTGGGGAAAGGAGAAGGAAGTGAGCACCAGACTTTGCCTTACACCCAAACCACAGAACCGACTTCAGTAAAACCCAGCTCCCAAAGCCCCAGACTCTAGCCAGTACCCATGGTCTGAACCTCCAAGCTCACTCTGACCCCAACCTAAATCCTGCAGCCCCAGGACTCAGGCCAGCCCTGCGAACTCAGTCTTCAGCCTCCTACAGCACTATTTCAGCCTCAGTGAACCCATGATCCAGACCAGACCGAGTGCCAAACTGGACCAAGTGGCACTGGGCTTGAGGCCCATCCTAGCAGCAAGCTGGCTTCAATAGCACTGGGCTTCATGCCTACTGAAGTGCCTGAAGAAGCCTGCATCAGTGGTGTAGAGCCCTGCAGATTCTGGCTCAAGGTTTCCCCCAGCACAGACCTGCCCACTGGTTGTCCTAGGCACCAGACTAGCCTGCTTGAGGACTCTAGCAGCAAGCCTGCCCTTGTACCATGCCAGATGGCCATCTTAGAATCTTTAAATAGGGTGAAAGGCTTTCCCAGACAAAGTCAGCCTGCAAAGACTAGAATAGTTTCTACTTTCTCAAATGTACAGACATAAATGTAAGGCAACAAGAAACATAAAAACCAAAGAGACACAACATGACCAAAAGAACACAATAATCTCCCCATAGCAGACCCCAAAGTAATGGAGATAACAAACTGCCTTATGCAGAATTCAAAATAATTGTTTTAAGGAATCTCAGCAAACCTTAAGAAAATATAGGAAACAATTCACTAAAATTAGGGAGACAATAAATGACCAAAATGAGAAAGTTTAACAGAGATATTGAAATTATTTAAAAAATCAAACAAATTCTGGAGCTGAAAAATACAATGAATGAAATTTAAAAAGGCATCAGAGAGCATCAACAGCAGAATTGATCATGCAGAAGAAAGAATATGAACTCAAAGACAGGTTATTTGAAATACAATCAGAGAAGAAAAAGAAAAGAGAATGAAAAGTCATGAAGAAAGCTTACAGGATTTATGAAACACACCAAAAGAGCAAATATTTGAATCACAGGAATTCATAAAAGGGAAGAGAAAGACAAAAGTAGAAAGTTAATTTAAAGAGATAATAGTATAAAGCTTTGCCAATCTGGTGAAAGACATAAATTTCCAGGTACAAGAAGGTCA
Organism: Homo sapiens; assembly: GCF_000001405.40. NCBI lineage: Eukaryota > Metazoa > Chordata > Mammalia > Primates > Hominidae > Homo > Homo sapiens. Next base: position 230,456,422 of record NC_000002.12, on the reverse strand, counting down.
ATGGTCTCCAATCAGATTCAGTGCAAACACGACTACACCAAAACATACTATAATCAAGCTGTCAAGATTCAAGGACAAAGAGAGAATCCTGAAAGCAACAAAAGAAAAGAAGCAACTAACATATGAGGGAGTTTTAATAAGGACAACAGTGGACTTTTTAGCACAAACCTTACAGATAAGGAGAGAATGAGATGAAACATTCAAAGTGCCAAAGGAAGAAAAAGAAACCTGACAACCAAGAATACTTTTCTTGGCAAAGCTGTCTTTCAGAAATAAAGGAGAGATAAAGACCGTCCCGGGAAAACAAAAGATGAATACATTCATTACCACCAGACCTGTCTTACAAGAAATGCTCAAGCTGAAAGAAGTAAATGCTAACTAATAATATAAAAATATAAGAAAGTATAAAACTAACTGGTAAAGTAAATATATAGTCAAAAAATAGTAGCTACAATAATTTTTTAGAGTATACACTATATAAAACTTGTAAACTCTGACATCAAACATTTTAAATGAGGGAGCAAAGTAAAAGTGCAGTTTTTGTAGGCAATCAAAATTAAGTTGTTATCAGCTTAAAATAGCCTGTTATAAGATGTTTTGTGTAAACTTCATGTTAACCACAAAGCAAAAACTTACAGTGATTACACAAAAGATAAAGAGGAATCAAAGTGTATCACTAGAGAAAATCACCTAATCACAAAGGAAGACAGTAAGAGAGAAAGAAAGGAATAAAGAATCTACAGACAACCAGAAAACAATAAACAAAATGGTTTTAGAAAGTACTTACCTATCAGTAATTATATTAAGTGTAAATAAATTAAATTCTCCAATCAAAAGACATAGAGTGGCTGAATGAATTTAAAAATCATGAACCAAGTATATGTGGCTTGCAAGACACTCACTTCACTTTTAAGGAAACACATAGACTGAAAGTGAAAAGATAGAAAAAGATATTTCATGCAAATGGAAATGAAAGAAAGAAAGCACAGGTGTACTTACGTCAGATGAGATACAGTTTGAATCAAATAATATAAAACAAGGCAAAAAAGGTCATGATAAAACCAGGCATGGTGGCTTACATCTGTAATCCCAACACTTTGGGAGGCTGAGGTGAAAGTATTGCTTGAGCCCAGAAGTTTGAGACCTGCCTGGGCAACATAAGGCAATCCTGTCTCTATAAATAACTAAAAAAAATTAGTCAGATGTGATGGTACATGCCTGTCATCTCAGCTACTTGGGGGGATTGCCTGAGCCCAGGAGGTTGAGGCTGCAGCGAGCCATGATTGCACTAGTGCACTCCAGTCTGGGTGACAGAGCAAGACCCTGTCTCCAAAACAAAAACTAAAACAAAAAACAAAAGAAACAAAAAGAAAGAAAGAAAATAAGAAGGTCATTATGTAATGATGAAGGAGTCAACTTATCAAGATGATATAACAATTGTAAACATATGCACCCAATATTTGAGCAACTAAATATATAAAACAAATATTAATAGATCTGAAGGAAAGAGAGACTAATACAATAATACTAGGGGACTTCAACACCCTACCTTCAGCAGTGGACAGATTGTCCAGGGAGAAAATCAATAAGAACACATCAAACTTAAACTATACTTTAGACCAAGAGGACCTAAAAGGCATATATAGAATATTTTATCTACAAGCAGAAAAGTACCATTCTTCTCAATTGTACATGAGACATTCTACAGGATACATCATATGTTAGGCTACAAAACAAGTTTTAACAAAGTAAAGAAGGCTGAAGTTATATCAGATATACTTTCTGACCACAATGATATGAAATTAGAAATCAATAACGAGGAATTTTGAAAAATTTGCAAATACATGGAAATTAAGTACACTCCCAAATAACCAATGGGTCAATGAAGAAATTAAAGGGAAAAAATTTTTTAAATCTTGAGACAAATGAAGATAGAAATGTAACATATCAAAACTTATGGGATATAGCAAAAGCAGTTACAAGAGGGGAAGTTTATAGCAATAAACACAAGAATACATAAAGAAAGAAGAAAGATCTCAAACAACCTAATGTTACACCTCAAGAAACCAGACAAAGAAGAAAAACTAAGGCAAAAATTAGCAGAAAGAAGGAAACAATAAATATCAGATCAGAAATAAATGAGTTCAAAACTAGAAAAAAATGAGATCAACAAAACAAAGCACTGGCTTTTTGAAAAAATAAACAAAATTGAGAAAGCTTTAGCTAGACTAAGAAAAAAGAGAAAACACTCAAATGAATAAAATCAGAAATGAAAGAGGAGACACTACCTTTCTCATACCACATATATACAAAGAATCATAAGACACTGCTATAAACAATTTAATGCCAACAAATTGGATAACCTAGAAGAAATGGATAAATTCCTAAACACACACAGCCTACCAAGACTGAATAACAAAGAAACAGGAAAATCTGAACAGACCAATAATGAGTAAGATTTAATCCATAATAAAATACCACCCACCAAACAAAAGTTCAGGACCAGATGGTTTCACTGTTGAATTCTACCAAATATTTAAGGAACAAATAGCAATCTTTTTCAAACTCTTCTTAAAAATTGAATAAGAGGGACTACTTCCAAACTCATTTTATGAAGCCAGCATTACCCTGATACCAAAGCTAGACATGAACACTACAAGAAAAGAAAATTATAGGCCACTATCCTTGATAAACGTATATGAAAAATCCTCAATAAAATACTATCAAATTCAGTAGCACATTAAACACCATGATCAAATAAGATTTATCACTGGGATGCAAGAATGGTTTAACATATACATATCTAAAGGGTCATACACCACATTAATAGAATGAAGGACAAAAACCATATGATCATCTCAATAGATGTAGGAAAAGCATTTGACAAAATTCAACATTTTTTCATGATAAAAACTCTCAGCAAAATAGATATAGAAGAAATGTATCTCAGGACAATAGTGGCCATACATGACAAGCCCACAGCTAGTACCATACTTAATGACAAAAAACTGAAAGATTTCCCTCTAAGGTTAGAAACAAGAGTAGGATGCTGATATGGTCTTGCTGTGTCCCCACCCAAACTCATCTTGAATTGTAGTTCCCATAACCCCCACATGTCATGGGAAGGACTTAGTGGGAGGTAATTGAGTCATGGGGGCAGTTACCTCAATGCTGTTCTCACAACAGTGAGTGAGTTCTCACAAGATCTGATGGTTTTATAAGGAACTTGTCCCCCCTTTGCACTGTACTTCTCCTTGCTGCTGCCATGTAAAGAAGGACGTGTTTGCTTCCCCTTTTCTGCCATGATCGTAAGTTTCCTGAGGCCTCTCCAGCCATGCTGAACTCTTGAGTCAATTAAACCCCTTTCCTTTATAAATTATCCAGTCTTTTATTAGCAGTGTGAGGATGGACCAATACAGATTGCCCATTCTCACTTCTATTCAACATGTTACTGCAAGTCCTAGCCAGAACAATTAGGCAGGCAAAAGAAATAAAAGGCATTCAAATTGGAAAGGAAGAAGTTTTAAATTGTCCTTATTTGCAGATGACCTGATCTTATATATACAAAATCCCGAAGACTCCACCAAAAAAAAAAAAAAAAAAACTGCTAGAACTAATAAACAAATTCAGTAAAGTGGCAGGATACAAACGCAACATACAAAAATCAGTTGCATTTCTATGCACTAACAATAAACTCTCTGAAAAACATATCAAGAAAACAATCCAATTTACAATAACTGCAACAAAATACTTAAGAATAAATTTAACTAAGGAGGTGAAATATGCACACACTGAAAATGCTAAGGCATTGATGAAAGAAACTGAAGAAGAAAGAAATGAAAAGATACCCCATGTTCATGGATTGGAGGAATTAATATTGTTAAAATGTCCAGACAACTCGAAGTCCTCTAAAGATTCAGTGCAATACCTATAAAAATTCCAATGGCGGCCAGGTGCAGTGGCTCACGCCTGTAATCCCAGCATCTAGGAGTTTGAGGTGGGTGGATCGCCTGAGGTCAGGAGTTCAAGACCAGCCCGACCAACATGGTGAAACCTTGTCTCTACTAAATACAAAAAATTAGCTGGGCGTGGTGGAGTATGCCTGTAATCCCAGCTACTCAGGAGGCTGAGGCAGGATAATTACTTGAATCTGTGAGGTAGAGGTTGCAGTGAGCTGAGATTGCACCATTACACTCCAGCCTGGGCAACAAGAGCAAAACTCCATCTCAAAAAAAAAAAAAATTCAAATGGCATTTTTGAGAAATAGAAAAACAATTTAAAAATTTGTGTGGAGGCACAAAAGACTCCAACTAGCCAAAGGAATTTTAAACAAAAAGAACAAAGCTGAAAGCATCACACTACCTGATTCAATATATACAGCAAAGCTATGTTAATCAAAAGAGCATGGTGCTTGCATAAAATAGACATGTAGAAAAATGGAACAAAATAGAGAGCTTGGATCCATGCATTTATGGTCAATTGATTTTCAACAAAGGTGCCAAGAATATGCAATGGGTAAAGGATATCTATCTCTTTAATAAATGGTGTTGGGACAACTGGATATCCACATGCAGAAGAATGAAATTTGACCCCATCTCATGCCATATTAAAAAATTAACTCAAAATGGACTAAATACTGAAATTTAATACCCAAGGTTGTAAAACTACTAGAAGAAAATATAGAGGAAAAGCTTCACGACATTGGTCTGAGCAAATATTTTTTGGGTATAACACCAGAAGCACAATCACAAAAGCAAAAAGAACTGGGATTACATCAAACTAAAAAGCTTCTGCATAGGCAAGGAAACAATCAACAGAGTGAAGAGACAACCTACAGAATGGGAAAAAATATTTGCAAACCATGTGTCTGATAAGGATTATTATCCAAAATACATAAGGAGCTCAAACAACTCAATATTAAATACAAACAAACAAACAAACAGATTTTTAAATGGGCAAAGGACCTGAATAAACATTTCTTAAGGGAACACATGCAAATGGCTAACAGGTATGTGAAAAAATGCCCTGCCTCGGATATCATCAAGAAAATGCAAACTAAAACCACAATGAACATCACCACATACTGGTTAGAATGGTTATTATCAAAAAGACTAAAGATAACAAATGTTGGTGAGGATGTGCAGAAAAGGGAACCTTTGTACACTGTTGGTGGGAATGTAAATTGCTACAATCACTAAGAAAAACAGTATGGAGTGTCCTCAAATAAATAAAAAGTAGAACTACCCATACAATCCATGAATTTCGCTACTGAATATATATTCGAAGGATATGAAATCAGTACAGATGCTCCTAGAGTTACGATGGGACTACATTTCCATAAACCTACCATAAATTGAACACATCATAAGTCAAAAATGCATTTAATACTTCAATAAACCCATTGTAAAGTTGAAAATCATATGTCTAACCATCATAAATCAGGGACCATCTGTATATGGAAGAGATATCTGCTCTCCCATGTTCATTGCAGCAGTATTCACAATAGCCAAGATACAGAAACAACCTAAGTACCCATCAGTGGGTGAATGGATAAAGAAAATATATACACAATGAAATACATCTACACACTGAAATACTATCTAGCCTTTGAAAAGGAAGAAATCCTGTTATTTGCAACAACAACCATGAACCTGGAGGATATTATGTTATGTAAAATAAGACAGGCATGGAAAGACATATATGACATCTCACTTATATGTAGAGTGTAAAAAAGATGAATTTATAGAAGTTGAGAGTATATGGTGGTAACAGAGGCTGGGGATATGAGGAAGAGGACTGGGGAGATGTTGGTCAAAGGATACAAAATTTTAGTTAAATAAGAGAAATACATTAAGAGATCTTTTATACAACACGATTAATATAGTTAATAATGTATTCTTAAAAATTACTGAGAGAATAGGTTTTGTGTTATCACCACAAAAATGATAAGTACGTGAGGTAATATTTATGCTAATTAGCTCTAATTAGCCTTTTCACAATGTGTACATATTTCAAAACAACATGTAATGATAAATACATCCAGCTTTTAATCTGGTAATTTTAAAAAGTGGTTACGATGGTAAAACAACAACCAACCAACCAACCAACCAAATGTATAGCATCTGAATAAGAAAGGAAAGAAAATAGGCAAGGTAAGCAATAATTACTTTCTTCATCACAGGGCAACGGGCAGGGCATCTCCCTTCCAGCATCCCCATTATTCACTTGGACAGCAATTTGTTCGCAGGACTCTGGAGATAAACGAGATCACAGCTGAGATCCAGTAGAGCCTTGCTCTGTCCTGTTTCCATTTGGTTAGACCTCACCCTGCTTCTCCTTTCTTCTCCTGTTTCTACTTATACCCCTGTCTGCATATATTGCTGCGTGAAGGTGTTCGTGCTTCATTGATTCCTGTCCAATCTCTCTCTTACTTTCTCCTTTTGCCTTTTGTTTGTCTCTCTTCTTTGGTGAGACTCTGCAACTCTTCCCCTTTCTCTCTCAGTTTTTTGCTTCTAGCTTTCTTCCTCCAGGTCTTTGTCATCAGTATGTCAGTGTATCAGGCTCATCTGTATAACAGGCCCCCTCTGTGTCTATGTGATTTTCCCCTGCTTGTTAAACAGGTGTCTCCTTGTATTGTGCATTAGACTCTTCCTCTGCCACCAGCCAGGGCCCCTTGGCTCCTCCCCATTCATGCCAACCCAGTCAGTCTTACCTGTTGGCTCAGCCTTTTGAGCACATTGTTCATTTGTTTGTTGGCTTCCTAGCGAATCATCTTTGTCACTGGTTGTATCTTTTCTCTTTGCATTTATCTGTTCTGTTTCACAGGGGTGCTCTGAGAGTCCATTTTCAGGTGGGGTTGTACCTAAACCATGGTTTGATTCACAGGTATTTTATTTGCCCTCTGCTGCCTGTCACTCCCCTCCAACCACTACAGCACGGGCCACTGATGGACGTAAGGTCAAGGCACCAAGGCAACAGCCAGATTCAAGCAGATGCAGGCAGAAAATGGTGAAGCAGGCACATGGGTAAAACGACCAGGCTCAGCGGCAGCAGGAACCAGCAGCAAGTGTGATTAAGGGGTGTGGGAGGAAGAAACCCTCCTAGGCAACCTAGAGGATAAGGACTTGTTATTTAAATCCCAGAAATGGAAAAACTGTAGATGTAAAACCTGAAAATTCTGGACAATCATTAACACAAAGAGGCAACCCCACAGCACATTCCAGAAAGGGGCAAGAATAGCAGAGGCTCAAAGAGTAGTAAACAGGAACAAACCAGCATGAGATGGGGAACCCGAAGGTGGCCAAGTCAGGCTTCGAAAAGAGTTTTCACCAGTTCCTGGCAGGAAGAAATTAGAAGTTTATTTCAGAAATCGAGGTATGGATTTTGCCATTCTCCCCTAATCCCTTTTTGGTCTCTGTAACGTAGGAGTTAAAGACCCCTTCTAGGTCTCAATGCAAAGGCCACCTGGAGCTGGCAGATGCTACCTAATTACTGAAGTCAGACTCCAGCCTTGAGAGTAGGGGACTGGGTCAGCTGCACCCCTGGATGACAGGGGCCTTGGCCAGACAACTCTGCTGCGTGTCCTCTGTGAGACACTCTGGTAAGTGATGATGGCAGAGTGATCCTGCCTTTGTCCCCAGAGCTACCCTGCCCAGGGCCCTTAGCTCAGTTTCTTTGAAGTCCTGGTTGCCTCATGCCCACCCCCTTTCACACAACACCCTCCCTCTCCACATCTGTTCATGCTTTCTCATTGGCTTTTCCATGAGGACTCAGTGTCTGAGTAGCCTCTACTTCCTCCAGCTCTTGGTATTCTTTTTTTCTGGATCTTTTTGTCTGCAAATATTTCCTCATTTTTGTTTCATTTTTCTGTTTTTATTTTTTTAGATTGCCTGGATAGCACAGGGTTAGGAATGCAGGCTCTGGGGTAGAACATCTGGGTTTTTCCTTATTCATCTGACCCTATGTAAACTCCATTTGTGGTATCTCTGGATTTCAGTTACCTTATCTGCAAAATAGGCATATAAGTAATATTAATCTCCAATGGCTGTCATGAGCATTAAACCAACCGCCACAGAGTAGATGTTCAATCAAAGTGAGCTGTTAATGACAAGGTTATTTTTGTTGTCTTTTACCCCTTTTCACGGTTTCATTTCCCTTCCTTTGTCCTCTAGGTACTTACATCCTCTTCCCATGTGCATCACTTCCTTTCTGAGTCTCTCTACATGACCGCCTTTCTCTTTGAATATTCCTGCTCTTGAACAACATCCTCACATTTAAATTTGTCCCCTCTTCTGCCATCACCAAGTTTCTCCCGTGATATAAGAAATATACATTTCAGTCTTAATTCCCTGCTCCTGGCCAGAGCTCCTAAAACCCTAAAACATCTTAAGTCATAACAAGTGAAAAGAGCACTTTCTGTTATTCATAACAACCCCTTTTCGACCACACCTGGGTTTATGTTAATGAGGTAACTTTTGGAAAGCCCCTAAGGATTGGGGTGTGGTTGCCAGGGGAGCTGAACATGAGATTAGAGGGGTGGAACTTTCAGCTCCACCTCTTGACCTCCAGGGAGGGGAGAGGAGGGATGGAGGTTAACTTAATAATCAGGTGCCAATGATTTAATCAATCCAGGCTGTATAATGGAATGTCCATAAAGAACCCTAAGTGACTGGGTTCAGAAATCTTCTGGGTTGGCAAACACATGGAAGTGCCAGGAGAGTCGTGTCCCAGAGAGGGCAGAAGCTCTGTGCCCTTCCCCACGCTTTGCCCTATGCATTTCTTCCACTTGGCTCTTCTTGAGTTGTATCCTTTATAATAAATGTCAAATATAAGTCAACATTTCCATGAGATCTGTGTGATCTACTAGGAAAGTATGAAAGCCAATGAAGGGCTTGCGGGAACCTCCAATTTACAGGCACAGGCCACAACCTGAGACTTGCAACTGGCATCTGAAGTGGGGGGCATTCTTATGGGAATGAGCCCTTAACCTGCGGAGTCCGTGCCAAGTCTGGGCAATTAGTGCCAGAATTCAATTAAATTATAAGATATCAGATGGTATCTACAGAGAATTGGAGAACTGACTGATGTGGGGAGATCACCGACATGTTTGGTGTCAGAAGTGTTGTGAATATGACAGTACAGGTAAAACAGGAGCCTTTCTTTCCCCAGGGGTCTCCTCTTTGATGTTGACCACGGGCCACGGGCTGTGGTTCTTAACCCTTTGCAACTTCACACTGATCCCCTACAGGGACCTTTCTAAATTACAATTACTTCTAGGTAGTCGGCATCTGTAAATCTGGCCTACTGACACGCTTGGTTCTGATTCCCTCATGGTTATTGAGCCAACTATGCCTTGTCATGGCCACTTCTCCAGGACCCTGCACCTGGTTAGAAGCTCATATAACTCTCTCCTTGACTTCTCCATAGTCCTTCCATATGTCTTCCCTGATTCACAATCTCCACTCAGAACCTTGGATCCCTAACCTCTCTTAGAAAAAAGCTTTTATTCTGTCATTTTTACCTTGTTCAAGACTTAGTTGGAGGCCAGACCTCTCCTCCCTCTCTTCTTCTTCACTTTCTTGGAGAGGCAATTTGTCATGGATTACTGAAGAGTGGGAGAGAGAAGAAGCAATTAGAGATCTACAGGGACCAGGGACAATGTCTGGAAATCATGCTTTTAGGAATTTCCAGCCCTTGGGTGACTCAGAGCTCAGAGGGTTCCACATGACCTAAAGTTCTCCCGTCATCCCCTGGGACAGAGAAGAGAAGACCCCAACAGTGAAGGCTTTATTGTCCTACACAAAAAGGAGACATTCAAGATTTAAGGATAAAGGAGTAATGGAAACATTGTGAGCTGTGTTACCCTCAAAATTGTCAGATGGCAGGGTAGGCATATATCAAGTGTAAGGAAGAAACTGGGGAATTCCCTGGGGAGAAGGTCTCAAGTCCTAGAGAGATTCCACTTTTTTATAATCAGCCAGGTGCAGTGGCTCACACCTGTAATCACAGAAAATCAGCCACGTGCAGTGGCTCACACCTGTAATCACAGCACTTTGGGAGGCCGATGCAGGAGGATTGCTTGAGCCCAGGATTTTGAGACCAGCCTGGGCCACATAGCTGGACCTCATCTTTGAAAAGAAAAATAAAATTAGCTGGATGTGGTGTTGCACACCTATGGTCCCAGCTACTCAAGAGGCTGAGGGGGGAGGATCACTAGAGCCCAGGAGGCTGGGGCTGCAGTGAGCTGAGATTATGCCACTGCACTCCAGCCTGGGCAACAGATTGGAACTGTCTCAAAAAACATAAATAAATAAAAAATAAATGAGAAAAACCTCAACATCTTTAAAGATGAGGCTAGAAACAGGAGAATGTTGTCTTAATTGGGTCAGGGAGGATGAACAGTTCTCAAATAAACATAACAGAGGACACAGGGGCAGCTTGTGTGGACTTCAGGGTCCGAGAGTCAGCAGCATCTCCCTGATGGTGGGTGGGCTTGCTGTGCTGGGTGGGGCGGTGGGTGGTGCTGTCCCAGGTCAGTGACAGTGAGCCTCAGGGCAGGTCACCCAAGCACAAGGAGCGCCAGAAACTAAGACGTGAGTTGTGGGCACTGGAGCTAGGAAGGGGGATCCCTGCAGTCCATGGAGAGGAACAGAGCCCCTGAGAATGTGGGCAGTAAAGGTAGCACCATTCCCTTCATCCCCGCAGCCTGGACCATCCTGCTTACAAACATAACATTGACTCAAAATTTGTGCCCAGGTATTTGATTTCCTTTTATTCCTTTTCTGACTTGAATTTTTGCTATAGAAATTATTTTATTATTAATTTAGATAAGGTTAGTATTGACACAAATCAATAAGCCATATACAACTACTGCTTACACTTCTTTCCTTGTTTATAAACCTGCAGTATTTCTTGATTGCCTAGCGAGTAAACTTCAAATTCCTTAACTTTAAATTCCAGGCCTTTCAATATCTTCCTCCAATTGATCTAAGTCAACTTGTATACTGCTTCTCACTCTCAGATTTAGCCAAATCTAATTTGCCCTGTTTTGCAGACATGTTTTCACACTTTTATTCCAGTTCCCATAGCATCCACCATCTTCAGAGCATGTGCCCATTTTTCTTGTGATGTCTCTATCTCTTATTTGGAGAACTGGGTTGAGATTAAACTGTGTGGGAATAAAAAGTTTTCCAGGCAAGTAAAAAAAATTGGAGGACGTCTTTAACGTGTACCATTTTAATAGTATAAATTATGCATTCTCAGGAAAAAGGTCAAGAATGAAACCTTTAGTTTGGTATAGCACCAAAAATAGTCCCTGGCAGAGTAATCAGTTTTGTCAATCTTTGTTTCACCCCTTGTGGATAAAGGGTTAGCAAAACCACTTCTGCTTCACTGAAGGCAAACTTGACCCAGGGTTAACTTTCTTGCTCATATTCTGGAAACCTAATAAAGGTAGCCTTTTTTGCAGTGTTACTAGGCAAACACTGAGGTTAGAAATGACCCATGACAGGTTGACTGGGACTATATATGGACAATAAATACCTGTGGGGAAGCCATAGTTGTGGTCTTCCTTCAATTGATAACTCTTGTAACTCAGCTTGCCTCTTAGGGCATCCTGAAAGCTGTGACTGTGGAGTTGTTACAAGAGACATACACTCCCACAGGCATGTGGTGCTGAGCCAAGGTGGATCCTGCACCCACAGCTAAGCTGTCACTCAGGGCAGGTAGTAGTCAATTTGGTGGATGCTATGTAGACCACTGCAAGGGCTCCCACTGAAGATAAGAAGCTGCCCTGTTGGGATTCTGTTTCTTATCCTATACTCTTCTAAGTAAATCTGATGCCAGTGTGGCTCTGGTTGTCCTGTGAGTCTAAGTGGCCAGTGAAGCAGACCTCCGGGTACTTGTTTTACCATAGCCATACGCCATGAGCTAAGAGAAGACTCATGGCATGTCTATTTTGTTAACTACTCTATGCCCACTGCCCAACACAACATGTCACTCATGGTAGGAGATCAGTATATACTTATTGAAAAAACTTGGCCCTGGAAATAAAAAGGTAGATAATAAATCTAATTACCATTTTCAAAGCCTTTATAAATGTGAATTAAATCGGGGTATTCCTGCATGTTGACATCGCTGAACAGTGCTTCCAGAACTGGCAGGTTAAATGTCTTCTCCAGTTCACTAAGAACATTGTACACCACTCTCTGTACAGGGACCAGGTTTCTACAAGAATCTTGAGAATCCTTAAAAAATATTGAATGGAGAAAATATAAATAAAGACTTCCAAGTCACAGAAGAGCTCTAGAAAGGAATTCTATGGTTACTGTATTCTAATTTCTCTACGTAGGTATTTTCATGTGAGGTTCTATAATTTTTACTTATTTGTATAGCCAGTAATGAAAGAAGTAAGTCCCTTGTCCTTAAAAATGCCCACTGATGAGCCTGATTGCTTCACCCTCATTTACATTAGATGCAAAAAGGGGAAATTTGGAAGGATAAAAGTGGGCTCAAAGTCCTTTAATAGCCTGATCCATATGTTTTTAGGATAGACGTAGCAGGCAATTGATGAGTGGCTGTTTTGTTGGCTGGACAACCCCTGCTCTTCCCCCAAGACTGATTTGGCCTGAAGGGCCCAAGGAAACCAGGCAACCAGTCTCCCCTTGCTGTGAACTTGGCCACAGAGGAAGCATATTCATAGCCAGAGATGACTCGCTGCTCTGTATCTCCAACAGGGCCTATGGGTGGAATTTACCCATATTCCAAGACTCCAGAAATGCACAAAAAAAAGGAAAGAAAAAGAAAACAAATGTGTTGGAGAAAGAATAACAAGCATCTACCTCCAAATTTGTCCTCTCTAGACATCAATTCCCTGTGGGTTTTAATGTTCCCAGATCTAGGCATTTTAAATTGATGTTAACTGGAAGAAAATGCTGTGTCAACTGCTATTTCAAGTAAATCACTTCATTAAAATTATTTTTAAGTTTTAGTTTATGTTATAGTGTACGAATTCTACAAAACATTGTACATTTATGGAGAACACCTGTTTCCGTTCCAGTTTCTCCAGTACCATTCACTCCAACTCCAGAGGACACCATGGAACACCATTTCCTCGGCTGGAAGTGGGACCATCTCCGGCGACCTCTGCTTCTCCTCTCCTTTTCTACTTTACAGGAGCACTTACAGAAACACTTGAAAAAGTTCCCCACTCATAGGAGACCTGTCAGTTAGCAAATTGTACCCTGAAGTTTTGGTCTAGGATATCAAAGCATAACTTATTTTGGGGCTGCTTTACCAGATTGTGACATAATAAACTTTACTTACTTCAAACATTTTATTTGTGATGAGATCACGATCACGGAGGCCCTCGAGGAATGGAAATGTCTTTTTTATTGCATTTGAAATCTCCACCTTATTTCTTTTGAAGTGCTTGAATACAATGTCATAGAGCAGCCTGTCATCTACACCCTGGTCTTCCGTGAACATCCTAGGGAAAAAGGACACCATGTGAAAATGGTCATCAAGATTCTGAGATGTTTGTGGAGGCTGTAAGAGTTTACATATAAAGGACAAGCTACAAAGAATGAACATATATAAATTAGGTGGTCCTCAGTAGAGGCCAGAATAAATGCAATTGAAGCAACAAAAAAGATGTAATAGAAGAAATGGAGGTTGTGAAAAACTAATATAGAGGACTGAAAAAGTTCTGTCTAAACTGAACAAAGCCATTGTAAAGATACCTTCACCTAACCATATATGGAATATTTTTTGAAATAAAAATTAAATTCCTACAGAATCTAGGTGGAATAAACAGGTCATCCACAGAGAAATGAAAAACAATGGAATAAAAATAAAATCTAACCTTGAATATGCATCTTAATCAACTGAGAGAAAACAAATCTGAGAAAGATGAAAATAACATGTCCTTCTCTAATCTGTAGCTGTTAAGAAAGAAATATAATCCTACATCATTAATTCACAAATAATACAATGCAGTTTAATAATAATAATGAGACCACATTATTGAGAATTTCATGAGAATATGAATGATATCTCCTAGAATGCCTGATTCTACTTTGTATTAATATCAATCTCTCTGTATTATTGCTATATATGGTGAATCATTTTAGGCATCTGAATTTCAGAAATTGTTGCCGTTTCCTATGAAAGTAATTTTAAAGTTGAATCTCTAATTCTGGTTCTTAGTTGATTACTTTATTGCTCTGATAATGTTTTAGTCAACATCTCAGTATTTCTTAATATTATGAAAATTTATGAGCCCTTCCTTCCCAACTAGAAGAGAATTATTGGCACTGTCCAGTATCTAACATGAGGCAGGAAACAATAATGTTACATTATTGTTTTGAATTTCTGTAAAAAAAGTTTCTGGTTAAAGATCACTAAAATGATAACAAAGGAATTAGATTCACAATGACAAAGAGAATGGCAGAGGACAATGAGCAGATAAGAGATTTCAAGTAAAATCTTGAAGGTGAAAAGTGGTCAGAAAAGTGCTAGTTGCAATAGCAGATAGGGGATGGATGCTTTCAGAGGTTAGGAATCATGGTGCCCTACAGAATTTGTAAGAAACAATGGAGATTTGAAGGGAGACACAGAGCCAAAAACTGATGTGTTATTTGAGAAATGAACAGAACAGTGTGTGCCCTGCCCGTCAACCCACATCCTGACCATATGCAACCAGGCAGTCTCTCAGGGCAACCACTGCTGTCATTTTTTCCATCGTATCTTAATACTGCCCGCTACTGGATTTTGTATAAATGGGATAAAAGGTATATATGCTTTTGTGTCTGCCTTCTTTTGCTTATCATTCATGTTGATGTGTTGAACAGTAGTTTGTTCATTTTTGTTGTTGAGTGGCATTCCATTGTGTGAATATACCACAATCTGCTTATTCAGTTTTCTGTTCATGGTCATTGGAGTTGATTCCACTTTGAGACTAGTATAAATAAAATTGCTGCTCTTGTACAAGTCTTTTTGTGGCAAGATGTTTTCACTTATCTTGCATAAATATGTAGCAGTGGAATTGCTTGGTCATTGTGTAAGAGTACATTTAACCATTTAAGAACCTGCCAAACTGTTTTTCAAAGACTATCAGAGATAGCCTTTCTAGTTTTAGCCATTCCAGTGTGTGTGATGTGATATGTCATTTTCGTTTTAATTTGTATTTCTTTAATGATAAAATGATGTCAAGCACATTTTCATGTGTTAATTGGCAATTTATTTTTTGTAAAGTGTCTGTTCAAGTCTTTGGCCCATTTATATTATTCAATTTTACTTATTGATGGGTAGGCATTTTTTAAATATATTATGGATAGAAGTGTTTTGTCTGATTTATGTATGGTGAATATTTTCACCCAGTCTGTAGCTTCTCTTTCATTTTCTTAATCATGTCTTTTGATGGGAAGAAATCTGTAATTTTGATGAAATCCAATTTATTTTTTTTTCTTTTATAATTAATGACTTTAGTGTACTATCTAAGAAATATTTGCCTACTCCAAGGTCATGAAAATATTCAAAAAACAATTTACAATATTAGCATGGGTTTATATATGTACTTTCTATGCTATACCATTGATCTATTTGTCTACCCTTATGCTGGTAAGATTTTGCCTTAAATATCATGGCTTAACAAAAGTCTTGAAGTCAATTAGAAAAGATTGGCTTGGATTTTCTAGATTCTTTGCTTTTATACATTATCTTTTCAAATCAGTTTGTCAATTTCTTCAAGAAAAAACTTTAGGACTTTTTTTTGGATTTGAATTGAAGCTACAGATAAATTTGGGGGAGATGACAACAACATTGAGCTTCCAATCTGTTAACATTGTATATCTCTCCATTTACTTACATGTGTTTAATTTTACCCAGCACTGCTTATAGTTTTTAGAAGTCATGTACATCTTTCATTAAATTTATTCCTCTCCAAAAACCTATTGAAATAAAAAATTTAATTTAATTAAATTTAAAAAATAATAAATTTATTCCTAGTTATTTTATTGTTTTGGTGTTACTTTAAATGATAATGCTTTTCAAATTCCTTATTACTATTATATGAAAATATAATTGGTTTGAAACATATTAACCATGAATTTATGGCATTGCTAAATTCATGTAGTATTTCTAGTAAATTATTTATAGATTTCCTTTGTATTTTAAAGAAAATAATTATATCATGAACAAATAGACTGACTTACTGTTTCTTTCCAAACAATTATTTCTATTTTTTGGTCTCATTTCACTGGTTAGGAGTTTGAATACAATGTTGAAGAGAAGTGATGAGAGTGGACTTCCTTGCCTTATTTCCAATTTCAAGGAAGAAGCACTTAGCAGCACCATTAAGTGTGATGTTTGCTATACCTTTATACATATTCCTGCGTCTTTCTTTCCTTCCTTCCTTCTTTCCTTTCGAAAAGATTTGAAAATAACTACTGATTGAGTGAAATCAGACCTTATAAAACCTTATGTAACACTGAAAATAAAAATAAAAAGCAGACATAGTTTGCATTTTTAGAGAGATAAAACAAGGGAAACAATGAGTTGTAAAAGATAAAACAGGAAGTCCTAGCCCGAGCAGTCAGACAAAAGAAAGAAATAAAGGGCATCCTAATCGGTAAAGAGGAAGTCAAACTTGAGTCACTGTTCACCAATGATATGATTAGTATCCTAAGATATAGATCTGATAAATGAATTCAGTTAAGTTTCAGGATACAAAATCATAAGTAGCACTGCTATACACCAACAATGATCAAGCTGAGAATCAAATCAAATCCCTTTTACAACAGCTGCAAAAAAATAAATAAATAAAAAATAAACCAAAAAAACAAAGCAAAACAACAACAACAACAACAACAACAAAAATCCAAAAAACCTTAGGATATACCTAACCAAGGAGGTGAAAGATCTCTATGAGGAGAACTACAAAACACTGCTGAAAGAAATCACAGATGCCACAAGCAAATGGAAACACATTCCATGCTCATGGATGGGTAAAATCAATATTGTGAAAATGATCATACTGCCCAAAAGCAATCTACAGATTCAATGCAATTCCCATCAAAACACCATCATCATTATTCACAGAACTAGAAAAAACAATCCTAAAATTCATATGGAATCAAAAAAGGGCCCACATTGCCAAAGCAAGACTAAGCAAAAATTCCAGAATCTATAAATAACTCAAACAAATCAGCAAGAAAAAATTCAGATAATCTTATCAAAAAGTGGGCAAAGGATATGAATAGACAATTCTCAAAAGAAGATATGCAAATGGCCAAGAAATATATGAAAAAATTCTCAACATCACTAATTATCAGGGAAATGCAAATCAAAACCACAATGCGATACCACCTTACTTCTGCAAGAAAGACCATAATTAAAAAATAAAAACATGATAGATGTTGGCGTGGATGTGGTGAAAAGGGAACACTTTTACACTGCTGGTGGGAATGTAAACTATTACAACTGCTGTGGAAAACAGTATAAAGATTCCTTAAAGAACTATCATTTGATCCAGCAATCCCACTACTGGGTCTCTACCTAGAGGAAAATAAGTCATGATATGAAAAAGACATTTGCACACGCGTTTATAGCAGCACAATTAGCAATTGAGAAAATGTGGAACAAGCCTAAATGCCCACTAATCAATGAGTAGATAAAGAAATGTGATATATATATGTATATATACACATATACATGTATACACATATATATATACCATATGTGTGTGTGTGTGTGTGTGTGTGTGTGTGTGTGTGTGTATATATATACACCATGGAGTACTACTCAGCCATAAAAAGGAATGCAATAATGGCGTTCTCAGCATCCTGGATGGAGTTGGAGACCATTATTCTAAGTGAAGCAACTCAGGAATGGAACCAAGTATCGTTATGTTCTCACTTATTAGTGGGAGTTAAGCTATGAGAATGCAAAGGCATAAGAATGATACAATGGACCTTGGGGACTCAGGGGAAAGGGTGGGAGGGGAGTGACAGATAAAAGAATACACATTGAGTTCAGTGTACACTGCTTGGGTGACAGATGCACCAAAATCTCAGAAATCACCACTAATGAACTTATCTATGTAACCAAAACCACCTGTTCCCCCAAAACTACTGAAATGAAATAAAGACAAAATGGAAAAAGTATGAAAAATTATTTAAACAGAATGTAAAAGAAAAATGATATTGAAAGGCAATATTAATAATATTGAAAAAGAATCATCAATATTGATGATATCGATATTGACTGGAATCAAAGAGAATCCAACTAAAGACACAACTAAGAAAAAATGACACAAAAAATGTTGAAATTGAAAATCAGCAAGTTATGGTATGCAACTGTAAATAAAACAAAAAGCAAGACTGTTCCCATTTAATGTCAAATCAAAATTCAAGAAACAAATCATGAGACAAATGTTTTACAGGCATTGAAAAACAATTCACCCCTGTTTTTTGATTCTTTACATATACAAAAATGGACAAAGTATACAGGCTCTGGATAAATTAATGAGTGATTTAATATTTAATCTTGTGACTTAAAAACAGAGAACACGGCTGGGCGCAGTGGCTCATGCCTGTAATCCCAGAGCTTTAGGAGGCTGAGGCGGGCGGATCACGAGGTCAGGAGTTCAAGACCAGCCTGACCAACATAGTGAAATCCCATCTCACTAAAAATACAAAAATTAGCCAGGCATGGTGGTGCATGCCTGTAATCCCAGCTACTCGGGAGGCTGAGGCAGGAGAATTGCTTGAACCTGGGAGGTGGAGGATGCAGTGAGCCTCTGCACTCCAGCCTGGGTGACAGAGCAAGACTCTGTCCCAAACAACAACAACAACAAAACAAAACAAAACAAAAAAAACAAAGAAAAAACAGAGAACACATATTTCTCAATACCCTTGAAATATATATCAATATTCAGCATAATCTTAGCCACAAAAGAAGTCACAAAAAGTTATAATCACTAGAAGTGAAACAGACTTCATATAGAAAATAAATTACTTAAGATTTTAGAAAACAAAAGAAAATGCACTGTGTTGGATCAAAGATGAAATAAAACTTGTAGTTAGAGGTTATTTAGAACCAAGAAGAAAGAGAAAACCAATGACAATGAGATTGAATGAAACAAAAAAATAGTTCAACTTTAGAAAGTCTCTACAATTTTATACCAATAAATAAAAGGAGAAAACGTATTTAAACCTATTCATGAATGGGTTTAAAAGGGAATTTGATAAGTCCTAGCAGTTATTTTTTAAAAATTAAAACTATGAAATAAAAACTAACACAAAATGAAGTCTCTAAAATCAGCAAATGTTGTAGTAAACATTAATGGTGAAGTCATTTAAATAGAAAACAATATGGGGATGTCTACCATTACCACGGTCTTTTACATATATATGTGTGTGTGTGTATACACATATATATGTGTGTGTATACACATATATATGTGTGTGTATACACATATATGCGTGTGTGTATACACTTGTGTGTATACACATATATGCGTGTGTGTATACACATATATGTGTGTGTATACACATATACATATGTGTTCACATATACATATTTTAGAAGCTTTAGCTAATGCAATAGGACATGAAAATAAAATAATTGGTAGGAATACTAAAATAGTGTACAATATGTTCTATAATTATATATGTAGGAAACCTATAGACCTAATAAAATTCATAAGAACTAGAAAAAGAATTTACCAAGGAGTATATATTAGTCCATTTTCACACTGCTATAAAGAACTGCTCGAGACTGGGTAATTTATAAAGGAAAGAGGTTTAATTGACTTACAGTTCAGTGTGGCTGGATAGGCCTCAAGAAACTTACAATCATGGTGGAAGGCGAAGGGGAACCAAGGCACCTTCTTCACAAGGCAGCAGGAAGGAGAAGTGCCAGGTGAAGGCGGAAGAGGCCCTTATACCATCAGATCTCATGAGAACTCACTCATTATCATGAGAACAGAATGGGTGAAATTGCCCCATGATTCAATTACCTCCATCTGGTCTCTCCCTTAACACCTGGAGATTACGGGGATTACAATTCAAGATGAGATTTTGGGTGGGGACACAGCAAAACCATATGAGAGTATGAATAGAAAATAGATATATAAAACTTATAGCTTTTATTTGGAACGACATACATTGAAAAAAATACTCAGACTCAATAGCAAATACAAATGTATGTATTTATAAACATCTGAAAGGTATGAGACTTGTATGAAGAAAACTATAAAAATCTTATTGAAGAAAATTAAATAAGATCTAAATAAACAGAGATTATGAAAGGCCTCCAATTACAAAAAAGGTAGTAGTTTTAAAACATCCATTATTCTGAAATTATTATGTAAGTATAGTGCACTTGCAACCTGGAACCCCATTGAAACTGGATAAAATATTCCTGCATTAGTTTGCTAAGGATAATGGCCTCCAGCTTCATCCATGTCCCTGCAAAGGACATGATCTCATTCCTTTTTTATGGCTGCATAGTATTTCATAGTGTATATGTACCACATTTTCTTTCTCTAGTCTATAATTGATGGCGATTTAGGTTGATTCCATGTTTTTGCTATTGTGAATAGTGCTGACTGCATGTTCTCACTTATAAGTGGGAGCTAAATGATGAGAACACATGGACACAGGAGGAACAATGCACACTTGGGTGTTTCAGAGGGTGGGGGCTGGGAGGAGGGAGAGGATCAGGAAGAAGAGCTAGTGAATGCTTGTCTTAACACCTGTGTGATGGAATGAATCACACAGCGAATCACCATGGCACACTTTTGCCTGTGTAACAAATCTGCATATCCTGCACATGTACCCCCGAACTTAAATAAAAGTTGGAAAAAAAGCTGAATCAAATAATGTAAATATTTAAATGACAGAACAAATATCTGAGTCAGACAAAAAACATTTGAGAAGAGAATAGTTAAAGGAAGATTTCTCTTAATAGGTTAAAATGTTTTTAAAAAGCAATACAGATATAAAAGAGTGTAGAAAAGCATTTTCAATATATATGACAAAGGGTTAATATATCTGATATTAATGGGCAAAGACTACAGTCTATTAATAAAAAGCAACAAATAACTCCTCCAAAATGGACCTGAACAGGCAGCTTAAATAAGAGAAAATGAAAATGTCTAATAAACATATGAATACATAAAAACTAAAATATCAATGAGAAACCATTTCTCACCCATTAGATTGGCAAACACAATTTCATTAGTGACACTATGTCACGAGGGAGAAGATTCAGAAAAACAGACACTTACTCATCCCTGGTGTAAGCATGAATTACTACAGCCTTTTCAGAAAAGATGTGGCAACATCTACTAAATTTTAAGATATACTACAGACTGACCATGCAGATCCACTTTTGGAATCTATCGTATAGAAATAAAAAGACAACATCCATCTTATAAAAACAAGAACTGCAGAACTTTCAATGCTCCCAATTTCTTCATGAGTGAAAGCCAGATCCTTACACTGTTCAAAGGGTCTGAAATGATACATCCTTTGCTCCTCTCCTTTTGCTCATGTCTGTCGGGCCACACTCGCCTCTGCTGTTTCTTGACTACACCAGAGATTCTCTAGCCTTAGGGACTTGATACTGGCTATTTTCTCTACTTAGCATAGACACATATATCTATGTAGTGAACTAACTCCCTTGTCTCTTTTAGATCCTTGCTTCACTATCACCTTCTCAATGAGGCCTGCTTTGACCAACCTATCTAAAAATCACAATCACAATCCCCTTAGCCTGCCCCCACACTCCCAAGCTCCTAATCTGCCTCTATTTTTTTTTCTCATGCCCTTACTACTCCCTAACATGCTAAATGAATTACTTATTTGTGTATTTATTGTTTATCATATTCTTTATTGTCTCTTTTCCCCCAAAAATATATATGCCATGAGGGCAGAGATTTTGTCTGTTTTGTCCACTGATTTTTCTTGAGTATCTGATATATACAAGGTGTTCCATAAATATTTGTTGATTAGATGCTCATAAATGCAAAATTTTTGTTGAAGCATTGTTTTTACCAGCAAAAACCCCTCAACAATAACACATACTCCTCAACCTGAAAACAACCTAATTGTGTATTCAGCTGACTGGTTAAGTACATTATTGTAAATATACACTGTTGAACTATTACATAGCTATTTAATTCTAGTAATTTGGATAGACAGTCATAGTTTTGTTGTTCAGTGAAAACATCATGTTTAGATCAATATATTATGATCTAATTTTTATATAAATTAAACTAAAAAAGTCTTTCATTTGTATATAAAATTCAGAATAAATGTTAGGGAAGGCATGGAACCACTACACCCCAGGTGTCAACACTGGCTTAGTGGACAGTTTCAGGGTTCTAACCAGGTCCCTTCAGATCTTTCTTTTACCATTTTTTAGGTAATATCAGAGAAAAGAAATAATACAGTAAACAGAACAAGATTTTGAGTAAGTATATTTAATAACCCCATAACTTATTTAATAATATTGAGACCTAATAAGTTATGGGGTTATTAAATATACTTACTCAAAAGTCTATGACTCAATATTAGGTCAATATTATTCAATAATATTGAATAAGTTATGAATAATATTCAACCAACTAGGAAACTTAGGAATTTAAAAGTCGAGTTTGCAAATTCAAAAATAAAGGTAGGCAAAATAATAAAACATTTAAAAATAAATTGAACAAACAGAATGCAAGACTTGTATGTTGAAAATGGCAAAACATTGATGAGAGAAATTAAAGATCAAAATAGTGATGCCAATGTTCATGGATTGAAAGACTCAATATGTTTAACATGGTAATTCTCTCCAAATTGATCTAGAGACTCAGTATGATTCCTATCAAAATCTCCAATGGCCTTTTGCAGAAATTGAGAAGCTGATCCTAAAATTTACATGGAATTGCAAAGAACCCAGAATATCCAAAACAGTCTTGAAAAAGAAGAAAAAAGTTGGAAGACTTATACTTTGTGATTTCAACACTTACTATAAAGCTGCATGAATCAAGACAGTACTGGCATAAATATATATAAAAATCAATACAACAGAACTGAGAGTGCAGAAATAAATCCTTAGGTTTTTGGTCAATTGATTTTCAACAAAAGTGCCAAGGCAATTAAATGAGGAAAAGATAGTCTTTTCAACAAATAGTACTAGTATAACTGGATAGGCACATGCAAAAATATGAAATTAGACCCTTACCTCACACCATATGCATAAATCAACTCAAAATGGATCATGCATCTCTAAATGTAAAAGCAGGGATGGCTTTATGGGCATGCATCCTGTGCAGTCACAAAAGACTCTGTGCTTAGTTTAGTGTTCTGCTTTCACTGTTTTGAAATCCTTAATAATTTTTGAACAAGGATCCCCCCATTTTCATTTTTCACTGCGTTTCCCAAATTATGCAGTAGTCTTGTAAAACAGCAAAAATGATAAGACTTTTGGAAGAAAACACAGGAAAAATCTTTGTGACTTTAGGTAAGACAAAGAATTAGCTACCACAAAAGTATAATCATAAGAGAATAAATGATGTTAAAATTTAACAAAATTTAAATCTTTTGTGCCTCAAATATACCATAAAGAGAAAGAAAAGATTAGTCACAGTCTGGGAGAAAATATTAGCCAATCATATTTTTAATAAACTACTTGTATTCAGATATGTAAAGAATTCTGACAACTCAATAAGAAGACAAGCCAATTAAAAATGGACAAATGATTTGAACAGATATTTCTCCAAAAGACATATGAAAAATAAAAACATGTGAAAAGATGTTCAGTAGCATTCATTATTAGAGAAAAGCAAATCAAACCACAACAAAATACCAAAATATATTCACTGGAATGACTACAAAGACATAAAATAACAAATTTTAGCAAAACTTGAACCCTTATACATTGCTGTAAAATGGTCTTTCGGAAACACTGTAAGACAGATTTGAAAAAAGTGAAACATAATGCTACTATAGAACCCAATAGTTTCACTCCTAAATATCTACCTAGAAACGAACATGTATATCCACACAAAGGCTTGTATGCAAATACCCAGGACAGCATTATTCATAATAGTCAAAAAATAAAAACAATCCAAATTTCCATTGACTGGCAAATGAAAAAATACCATTGATAGAGCCATATAATGGAATACAATTCAGCAAGAAAAAGGAACAAAATATAAACACATGCTAAAACATGGATGAACTTCAAAATATTACGTTCGATGAAATAACCCAGATGTAAAAGACCGTATAATATATGGTCCATTTACATGAAATGGCCAGGAAAGGGAAAACTACAGAGATAGAAAGTATATTGATGGTTGCCTAGGGCTGGAGAATAGGAGCAGGAATTGATCCCAAATAGTCATGAAGAAGCTTTTAAGGGTAGTGAAAATATTCTACACTTGGATTGTGATGATGGTTGCACAACTCTGTAATTCTGTTAAAAATCATTGAGATACACACTTAAAACAGGAGAATTTTACAGTATGTAAATTATACCTCATTAAAGCTGTTAAAAAATAAAGGTGGGTGTGCAGAATAGACTCAGTTGAAGAGTAACTTAGTGAGCCACATTTTTCTTTCTGGAATATAGGCAGGGAAAGATATGGAAAATGTGAAAAAAGAAGGTTAAACTGCATAGGATGTTTCAACATTCTGCCAAGGGGAATTCCAGAAGAGAATAGAAAGAAAGAGAATAGGGAAATCAAGTAAAAAAAAATAGTCTTCCAGAGCTGAAGCTAGAACCTTAGATTTAAAAGGCACATCCAGGATGGGATGTCACTAAGATGGCAGAATAGGAGGTTTCTGGCTTTAGTCTCTCTCACAGAAAGACTAAGTAGCAACTATCCATAGACAAGGATGCCTTTGTGAAAATTTCAGAACCCAAGAGTGAAGCTGAACCACCTCCCTTGGACCACAAAACCTGAGAAAAACCACATTAGAAGGGGTAAGAGGAATGGATTCACTTTGACTGTGTTGCTCCTACCCCAGGCTGGCACAGCACCACACCAAGAGGTTTTCCCTGAGCCTAAGGTTTCTCCAGTGGGGAAAACAGAGCCTGAGGAGGACACCCAGCTTCCCTGGCATTCTGGGCTGCTTCTTAGGAGGCCCAATTCTGTCTTGCCTCATGGGAAACAAACAGGAAATCAGAGGGGCTGGACCACCTGGGTTTGATTAGAAATGAAGAAGTGAGGGCAGGGCTCACAGTGGCCAATGCAGAGATTGTCATGCTGGTACTGTGCTCCTGACATCAGCACCCTATCAGAGAGCTCAGCCAGCAGCTCTGTCCACCTGCAGAGGCAAGCTGGTGGCCCTATTTGGCCAGGTAGCATGGTCAGCAGTTCTAAGTAGCTTGGGTGCCTAGCCAGCAGCCCAGCCCACCTAAGACGTTTAGGTTTCTGTCTTGCCTGACCAGGGAACCCCCAAAGAAATTCTGCCCAGCCTCAGATCCTAGCATATGTCTTTGCCCAGGCAGGTAATCAAGCCAGCCACCCTGCCTAACTACAGAGTATGGTCTCTAACCCTGTTAACCAGGAAGTCCAAATTGAGACCCTGCCCAGGCACAAAGCCCAGCCAATGACCTGCATGGGCAGGAAACCAAGCCAATGACCTCTCTCAATGGTGGGCACAGCTTTGGGGCCCCAAGCAACCAGAGATCCCAGCCTATGGCCATGCCCAGGCAGGGAGTAGAACAAGTCACCCTGTCCAAATGTAGAACGTAGCCTGTGGTCCTACCCAATCACTCAGCCCAGCCAGTGACACTTCTGAACTGTGGGGCACAACTTGCAGCTTTGCCTGAACAGGGATTCCAGAAATTTATGCTACCTTCCTGATGAGCCCAGCTTGTAGCAAGGACCTAAGGGAGGGGCATATTCTGTGGTCCCACTGAACCTGGGCACCTGGTAGCAACTCTGATAAAGTTTGAAGCACAGCCAGTGGCCCTACTCTGGAGAATAACTAATCCAGTGGCAACACCCAACTGTGGAACACAGTCTTCAACCCTGCCTAATCACAGAGCCCAGCCTGTGACCATACCTAACAGTAGCTTAAGGCCTTGTCCCATCTTAGAGCCTGGCCGTTAGCCGCTGCCCAACAAAAGGGTCCAGTCAAAACATCCAAACAACCATAGAGAGCAGCAGTGGCCTTACCCAACCTCAGAGCACAGGCAATGATCTGACCCAGCTGGAGATCTCAACAGCAAGCTCTGCCTGTCCATGGATGCTACCAGCTGACCTGCCCAGAACTCCAGGCTGGACTGACTAGTGAAGGGCTTTCCCTGCCGAAACAAACTTATAAAGCCTGGAAGAGGTTATTGTTTCCTCAAATGTGCAGACACCAATGATAGGATGCATGGATCATAAAGAATCAGGAAAAAATAATATCACTAAAATAAACGAATATGCTCTAATAACTGACTCTAAAGAAATAATAATCTGTGAACTTACTGACATATAATTCAGAATAATTCTCTTTAAAAAGTTCAGTGAACTATAAGTAAACACAGATAGACAACTCAACAAAATTAGAAAACAATATATAAACAAAATTATAATGCCAAAAAGGAACAGGAACCATTTTTAAAAAGCCAGAAATCCTAGATCTGAAAAATACAATGACTGGATGGAAGAATTTAATAGAGAGCTTTAACAGATGACTCAATCAAGCAGAAGAAAGACTAAGTGAACTCAAAGATAGGTCATTTGATATTATTTACTCAGAGGAGCAAAAATAGCAAAGAATAAAAATGAATTAAAAAAAGCCTATGGGATTTATGGGACACCATCAAGTAAAACAACATACAAATTATGGGAATTACTGAAGGAGAAAAGAGAGAGAAAATGAACAGAAAGTACATTTAGAGAAGTAATGGCTGGAAACTTTCCACATTTGGGGAGAGAAATGAACATCTAGATTCACTGGGCTGAAAGGTGCCCAAGCAGACTGAACAATAAAATTTGACATCAAGAAATATTATAATTAAATTATCAAAAGATAAAGACAATATTTTGAAAGCAGCAAGGAAAATATAACTCATTACATATAAGAGAGCTCTCATAAGACTAGCAGCAAATTTCTCGGCAGAAACCTCCTCCTCTCAGCCCAGGAGAGATTAGGGTGATATGTTCAAAATGCTGAAAGAATAGAAACTCTACTGACCAAGAATGTTATACCTGGTAAAGCTGTCCTTCAGAAGTGAAGGAGAGATAAAAACCTTTCCAAAC
The DNA here is from genome assembly GCF_000001405.40 of Homo sapiens. Taxonomy (NCBI): domain Eukaryota; kingdom Metazoa; phylum Chordata; class Mammalia; order Primates; family Hominidae; genus Homo; species Homo sapiens. Next base: position 230,429,166 of record NC_000002.12, on the reverse strand, counting down.
AAACAAAAGCTAAAGGAATCCATCATCACTAGACCTGTCTTGCAAGAAATGCTAGAGGGGTTCTTCAAGCTGAAATGAGATGGTACTAATTCACAGCATAACAATATATAAATATACAAAATCTTACCAGTAAAGGTAAATATACAGTCAAAGTCAGAAATCTCTAATATTGTAATGATTGTGCATAAGTCACTTTCAATTCTGGTATAAAAGTTAAAAAACAAACTATTAAAAATAATTATATCTATAGCAATTAATATAGTTGGCTCCATGTCCCCACTGAAATCTCATGTTGAATTGTAATCCCCAGTGTTGGGGGAGGGCCCTGGTGGGAGGAACTGGATCATGGGGGTGCATTTCCCCCTTGCTGTTCTTGTGACAGTGAGTTCTTATGAGATCTAGTTTAAAAGTGTGTAGCACTTCTCGGCCAGGCGTGGTGGCTCACGCCTGTAATCCCAGCACTTTGGGAGGCCGAGGTGGGTGGATCATGAGGTCAGGAGATCGAGACCATCCTGGCTAACACAGTGAAACCCTGTCTCTACTAAAAATACAAAAAAATAGCTGGGTGTGGTGGCGGGCGCCTGTAGTCCCAGCTACTCGGGAGGCTGAGGCAGGAGAATGGCATGAACCTGGGAGGTGGAGTTTGCAGTGAGCTGAGATCGCGCCACCGCACTCCAGCCTGGGCGACAGAGCGAGACTCCGTCTCAAAAAAAAAAAAAAGTGTGTAGCACTTCTCCCTTCAGTCTCTTTCTCTTCTGTCACCATTTGAAGACGTGCTTGCTTCCCCTTCGCCCTTCCACCATGATTGTAAGTTTTCTGAGGCCTCCCCAGCCATGCCTCCTGTACAGCCTGTGGAACTGAGTCAATTAAACCTCTTTTCTTTATAAATTACACAGTCTCAGGTACTTCTATTTTATTTTTTATTTATTTATTTTTTTTGAGACAGAGTCTTGCTTTTGCTCTGTCAACCAGGCTGGAGTGCAATGGTGCTATCTTGGCTCACTGCCTCCTGGGTTTAAGTGATTCTCCTGTCTCAGCCTCCCGAGTAGCTGGGACTACAGGCACATGCCACCACGCCTGGCTAATTTTTGTAGTTTTAGTAGAGACAGGGTTTCACTATGTTGGCCAGGCTGATCTCAAACTCCTGACCTCAAGTGATCCACCCACCTCGGCCTCTCAAAGTGCTGGGATTACAGGCGTGAGCCACTGCAGCTGGCCTCAGGTAGTTCTTTAGAGCAGTGTGAGAATGTACTAATATAGTAATTTGTTATTGGAGACAGAATATAAAAAGTATGTAAATTGTAACATCAATTGACTGAAATGTGAGGGAGGGGAGAAGTAAAAGTGTAGAGTTTTGTATGTGTTTGAAGTTGTTGGCTTAAAATAGGATGGTATAGCTATAAAATATTTTATGTAAGCCTCATAGTAACCACTAAGTAGAAACCTGTAGTAGATAAGATTAAGAGAAAGGAATCAAAGTATATCATTTCAAAAGTGATCAAATCACAAAGGAAGGCAACAAGAAAAAAAGAAAGAAAAAAAGTACTACAAAGCTGTCAGAACACAATTAGCAAAGTGGCAATAGTAAGTTCTTACCTATCAATAAATGAATTAAATTCTCTAATCAAAAGAAATAGAGTGACTGAATGGATTAAAAAAAACCCCACAATATCAAACAATCTGCTGCATAGAAGAGTCTCATTTTAGGTTGGGCGCAGTGGCTCACACCTGTAATCCCAGCACTTTGGAAGGCCCAGGCGGATGATCACTTGAGGTCGGGAGCTCGAGACCAGCCTGGCCAACATAGTGAAACCCCGTCTCTACTAAAAATATAAAAATTAGCCGGGTGTGGTGGCAGGTACCTGTAATCCCAGCTACTCGGGAGGCTGAGGCAGGAGAATTGCTTGAACCCGGGAGGCAGAGGTTGCAATAAGCCGAGATAGCACCACTGCACTCCAACCTGGGTGACAGAGTGAGACTCTGCCAAAGGAAAAAAAAAGAGAGAGAGAGACTCCTTTTAGCTCTAAGAACACAGGTAGGCTGAAGGTGAAGGGATGAAAAAAGATATTCCATGCAAAAAGTGACCAAAAGACAGCAGAGGTGACTATATTTATACCAAATGAAATATACATTAAGTAAAAAATGGCCACAAGAGATACAGAAGATCAATATATAAAGATAAAGGGGACAGTTCATCAAGAGGATACAACAACTGTAAATATTTTTGCATACAGCACTGCAACATCTAAATAACTAAAGCAAATACTAACAGAACTGAAAAAAGAAAGAAACAGCAATACAATGTTAGTAGGAGACTGTAATACTCCACTGTCAATAATCATAGATCAATCAGACAGAAAAATATAAGGAAACATTGATCTTGAACCAGACTTTAGATCAAATAGACCTAACAAACATATATAGAACACTTCATTCAACAGCAGCAGAATACACATTCTACTCCAGTGTATATGAAACATTCTCCAGGAAAAAAATCATATGTTAGGCCACAAAAGAAGTCTTAACAAATTCAAGAGTGAAATCATATCAAGTGTCTTTCCTGGCCACAATATTATGAAACTAGAAATCCATAACAGGAGGAAATTTGAAGAATTCATAACTTCTGTACGGAATATATAATGTAAGGACATTAAACAACACATTCCTGAATAACCAATAGATCAAAGAAGAAGCCAAAAAGGTAACATAAATATCCTGAGGCAAACAAAAATGAAAACACAACATAGCAAAACTTAATGAGATGCAGGAAGAGCAATTCTAAGAGGCAAGTTTATAGCTATAAACACCTACATTAGGGAGAAAAATCTTAAACCATTTAGCTTTACAGTTGATGAAGAAAGATAAGGTAAACTCAAAGTTAGCAGCAGAAGGGAGAAAATAATGTAGATTAGAGCAGAAATAAATAGGTAATAGGAAAACAATAGAAAAGATCAACAAAACTCAGAACTTGTTCTTTGAAAAGATAAACAAAATTAGCAACTCTTTCACTAAACTAACCAAGTTAAAAAAGAGACAAGTCTCAAATAAATAAACTTATAAATGACAGAGGAAACATTACAACTGATAACATGATAATGCAAAGAATCGTGAGATTACTATGAACAATTATACATCAACAAATTGTATAGCCTAGAAAAAATAGATAAAGTCCTAGAAATACACAATCTATCAAAACTGAATCCTGAAAAAGCAGATAATCTGAACAGACCAATAATGAGTAAAAAGATTGAATAAGTAAACAACTTTCCATTAAAGAAAAACCAGTTGGCTATGCTAGTGAATTCTACCAAGCATTTAAGAAGAAACTAATACCAATCCTTCTAAAACTCTTCCAAAAAAAAAAATTAAGAGCAAGGAACAGTTCCAAACTAATTTTATGAGCATTACCTTGATACCTAAGCCAGATTAGTATACTACAAGAAAAAAAAAATTACAGGCCATTTCTCCAGATATACATAGATGCAACAATTCTCAACAAAATACTACCAAACCAAACCAAATTCAACAGTACACTAAAATGATCACTTACTATGATCAAGTGGGATTTATCCCTGGGATGCAAGGATGATGCAACATGTAAATCAATAATGGTGTTGTGCAACGTTAACAGAATGAAGGACAAAAATCATATGAACATTTTAATAGACACAGAAAAAGGATTTGAAAACTTCAGCATCCTTTCATGATAAAAAACATTTAACAAATTGGGTATAAATGAAATATACCATAAAGGCCATGTATGACAAGCCCATTGGTAGATTAGATTCAGACCGAGGAATCTAAAAAAGTTGAATCATAGAAACAGAGGGTCAAATAGCAGTTGCCAAAAGCTTGGAAGTCGGAGGAATGGGGAAATGTTGGTTAAAGGGCACAGACTTTCAGTTATAAGATGGATAAGTTCTGGGTATTTAATGTGTAGTATGGAAACTATAGTTAACAATAATGTATTACATATTTGAAATTTGCTGAGAGAGTAGATCTTAAATATTCTCATCACACACACGCAATGGTAACTATGTGACATGATGGATATGTTAACTAACTTCATTGTGGTAATCATTTCACAATATAAACATATATGAAATCATCATGTTTTACACCTTCAATTTATACAATTATACCTCAATAACACCAAAAGAAAGGTAATCACAACTAAATATTTTAACCTTAGGAGACTTTTAAATTCAAGCAATTATATCATGGTCTGTGTTCCTAAAGTACTGGATTGTTTTTACACATTTAGATGATTTCTGTAGGACGACAAATTTGAAGTTTTCAAATAGGGGCTACATTATGCCCCTATTACCATAAAACTTCCCTGGGGAAACCTCCCACTCCCATCACGGACCTGACACCACAGCAGTTCCAAATTAACCATATTTAGTTAAGAAAATGCTGGCACCCCAACTGGGAATTGCCCACTCATTACCCAGAAAATCCCTTCCCTGCTCCACCCCCACTTTTTTTTTTTTTTTTTGAGATGGAGTCTCACTCTGTTGCCCAGGCTGGAGTGCAGTGGTGCGATATCGGCTCACTACAACCTTCATCTCCTGTTTTCAAGCAATTCTCCCTGCCTCAGCCTCCTGAGTAGCTGGGATTACAGGTGCCTGCCACCACGCCCAGCTAATTTTTGTATTTTTCAGTAGAGATGTGGTTTCACCATGTTGGCCAGGCTGGTCTTGAACTCCTGACCTCAGGTGATCCGCCTGCCTCAGCTTCCCAAAGTACTGGGATTACAGGCCTGAGCCACCGCACCCAGCCAATCTCTCCTCTTATTATGTAATATTCCATGACTTCATTATGCTTATCCATATAGCATGTGAGCTCTGGCCAGGTTGGGCATGGCTCATTCTTTTGAGCATACTTGCAATCCTCTCTTGAGTGTGTATTTGCTTTTGCTCTGCAATCAATCTTCTGTACTTTCACTTTGGTCTGGCCTTCAAATTCTTTTCTGGGGCAAGGACAAGAACCTGTATCAGCCTGCTGGCAGCACCATTATTAATACCGTCATTTTACAGGGAAGAAACAAGGCTTGCCCCACCTCTACATGTATGCAGTGGCAGAGCTGGACTTCACATCACCCTTCCCCAATCATCCTAGTGTTGATCCTCCCTGCTCCTACCCTCTCTACTATCTGGCATTAGTTACTACACTCTTAATCATTGCACTATATTGCCTTTCAAATGTGGTGAAGCCTCAAAACTGATTATGCACTAGGCCACAAAAGAAACAACAATTGACTCTCACAAATGGAAATCTTAAGGAACACATTTTCTAACCACAATGTAATAGGATCAGAGTAAACAACCAAAGGACAGAGGACGACTTCCCCCACTCGTTCCACTGAGAAATTTTAAAAGCTACTCCCAAACACTTCTTAGGTTAACCAGGAAATCAAAATCAAAATAACAAATGGCTAAGAAATAAAATCCAATGAAAACACTATACGTTATAAAGGCCAAACATTTCCAAAGTGGCACAGAGATGAACATTCATGGCCTAAAATGCATTTATTAGAAAATAAGAAACACTGCAAGTAAATTAAGTTTTAAACCAACGTATTAGAAACAGAACACAAGGTAATCCCCTCAACAAAGGAGAAGTAAAGAATTAGGAAAGAAATATATAGAAAAATATAATAAAGAAAATCAAGATTTAATTAAATCTCAAACAGAAAATAAGAGTAGTGGATCAATAAAACCAAAAGGTGGTTCATTGAAAAGACCAACAAAATGGAAAGATTGATCAAGAAAACAAAGGAAAAAACAATAATAAACAATGGTAGGAATAGGAAAAAGGACACATCTTCAGAGAAGGAAAGGATTAAAACTTTATATAAGAAATTTCTATACAACTTTCTCCCAATAAGAAGAGAATCTAGGGAAATAGTTACTTTTTAGGACAATAAACAATCAAAACTGGCTCAAAGGTCAGCATAAGAACTAAAAATAACAGGAGAAATGCATAATATACTTCCAGAGCTTCACTAATCTGCTTTCTCCTAACAACTACACACACAGACATCAGTTTCAAATAATTTAATGGACAATTTTCTGCAATCTTTCAAGGAACAGATGATGTCTGTATTAAACAAATCATTCTAATACATATATGTGCATATATATAAATATATTCAAAATTTCAATCACCCTCAGTTATTTCATGAGGCTGCTATAGTTCTGCTATCAACCCTAGACAAATACAAAATAAGAAATGAAAATTGTAGGTCACAAAGTTGCTTATAAACACGTGAGGTAAAATCCCACAACAAAATATAAATAAATCCAACCCAGGAGTGGATGAAAGAGTCATATGGCATGACCATGTAGGTGTTATCTCAGGGATTCCAGGAAAGGTCACATTAGAGAACCAATCTATGCATTTGGTTAAGCCTGGCAGGTTGAACACACCTGCATTCATCTGTGTTCCTTCTGAAATCCCATGAAACCACCTATAAGAGAGAGTTAGAGGCAGAAAAGAAGCAAAGATCAGGGAATAGAAAAGGGCATCAAATAAGAGATAATCAAACATTTTGGAAGATAGGGGCATATATGGTAGCTAATTTCACAGAATGAAAAAACAAAAATCTTGATTACTTGCTTAGGGGAAGCTGACAAGGAGTAAGCCAGTGTACACTTTTGAACTCTGGAAGTTGTCAGGAATTAGAGGCACCATTCCTTTAGAAGGCGAGTTGGAAAATGAAAAATCAAAATGAGGCACAGTCAATGAGAGGCATTCCTTGCACAGAGCTCCTAATCAGATTTTTAGTGTCTCATTCCGAAATGTGAATGGACACCCAGTGGACACTTGATGAATTCTTCCAGAACAAGCAAATAATGGAGGAGGAGCTGGGAAAGAAACCTGGAAGGAACTAACACTTAAAACAACCTTGGAAGAAACGTAAAATTTAAAAAAAATTTTCATCCTCATTAGTAGAGAGAAAATTTCGGATTTCTTGAAACAAGATGCTATAAAAGAGAAACAACTTTTCAAAAGAGCTTTTGGAAATTAAAAATATAATGGCAGAAGTGTTTTAATCACTAGAAGGAATGAAGTTCCTCAGAAAATGTCATAGAAGTTAGATTCAAGAAAAGAAGACATATAAGATTTTCAAGAAAAAAAACCAGGGAGTCTCTAGAGGATCAATCTAGGAAAGCTAACATCCAACTAACAGGAATTCCAAAAGATAAAAGAGAGAGATAAAGCAGAAGGGAGAAACTATTCAAATAATATCACAAGCAAAATGGTCAGAATTGAAATAAAGTTGTCCATTTGAAAGGGCCCTGGAGAGCAAAGCACAACAAATGAATTTAACACCCACATCAAGGCAAACCATCATGAGATTTTAGAATCAAGGGATCAAAGAGAAGAGCCAGAAAATTTCAGACAGGCAAAACAGGTGACATAGAAAGACAGGATCAATAATCAGAATGGCATCAGGTTTCTTATTAGCAATGCTGGAAGTTGCAAGACAGTGAACTAAATTAATTTCCAAACTCTGCATTTATACTTACCAAATATTTATGCAGTTGTGAGGATTAAGGATAAAATTTTTTTTCCAGACATGTACAATTTATATATATATATATATAGTGTCTCTCAATTGAATCCCAGTAAGGTAGGATATATATATATATATATGTATATCTTCTATAAACTCTTAGTCAGGAGGCTACTGGATAATGTGGTAAACCAAAATGAGATAGTAAAGCAAGAAAGAGGTATACATGTAATCCACAAAACAAGACCCAACACAGGAGAGATGTCAAGCTTCAAGGTCAGCCTTGGAAGCTGAAACTAACCAGAACTGATGGAATCAGGGGAATGGATAATTCCAGGAGGGTTTCCCCAAGAAAGTAAAATGGACTTGATAAATTACCCAATGTGCCTCACTGTACTGAAAAGAATTTTAGAATTCTGCAGAGTGCTTGGGAAGAATTCATAATGAGGACACACAAAATCCAAGCAAATATATAAGAGGGCAATAGTTATTTGTGGGGTCGGCGGGGAGGGGCGGGAGGATGTTGCACAGGAAAGGAAATGTAATCATAATATAGTAGATGACTTGGTTATGAACAACATGTAAATAGTCATCATAATGGTAACACTGATTACTGATGAACCTCCAACTGTGATGTATTATGAGAATGGACAGGGAATGAAAAGGAGTGTTATGGAAAAAGTCTTCATCTTCTGTCCTATTATGTGAACAGATTAATGTCTGAAACTTGAAAAATTACAAAGAGCTGTATCAGCACATCATTTCAAAATACAGAAGTAAATACAAAAGTAAGAGCCAAAAAGTTAATCCATTAGGGAAACTGGACATGGGCTGGGAAGATGGCAGAAAGTACTACTTGTGTTTTTAAAGGTCTTATTGACTGATACTTTAAGCTATATATATATATATGTTTTACTTTGGTGAAATTAATAACCGAATTAATAAAATGTTTCAATATAATTTACTGTGGATAAATCAGATTAAAAGAGAAAAATGATACAATTCTCAAAGATTCTTTAGTAGGCATTTTGATAAATATCCTATACACAGGCCTGATTAAAATAAATAACTTTTAGTAAACCAGAGCCAGCAGGAAATGTCCTTAACTTGAAAAAAGGTGTCTATAAGAAAGCCTCAATTTAAACATTATAAGTATTCCCCTTGAAATCAGGAATAAAACTAAAATGTTCATTTTTACTGTTACTATTCAGTATTACACTGGCAGTCCTGGCTAATGCGCTAAGGCAAAAGAGAAAGAAAAAAGAAAGAAAAAGAAAAGTATACAGGTATAAATTCTGAAAAAGAGGAGACAAAGCTGCTACTATCTTTGAAGATGTAATTATTTCTCCAGAAAAACACAAGACAATATTAAGAGGGAGAAGACCACTTAGTAAGACTCCTATGCACAAGATCAGCTAACTAAAATGAATAGATTTCCCTTATGCCAGCAAGAAATAACTAGAAAATGTAAAAGGAAAATGAATTCCTGTTTACAAATACAATTTTAAAATGCCTAGAACTAAAGCGACCCAACAAGGTCCCAAGTTCAAACAATCATGAATAAATGGAGAGATTTACTATGTTTCTCACTGGGGCCATTCAGGATTTTTTTAAAACATAAATTCTTCCTAAATTTATCTGTTCATTTAGTGTCTCTCAATTCAATCCCAGTAAGGTAGGTTACAGAACACTACCTATAAAATCATAGTAACTAAAACATTTCAGTATTGAAACAAGAATGAAAATAGAACCATGGATCAGATCATGGGTCACCAACGCAAATTCATATGTAAAATTTAGCACACTAGTTCCCTTCTATCCACAGGGGATGCTTCCAAGAACCCCAGTGGATGCTTGAAACCGCAGATAGTACCAAACTCTGCATATACTATGTTTTCCCCAATCTGTACATAAATTAGGCACAATAAAAGATGAATAACAATATCTAATAATAAAGTAGATCAACTATAACAATGTAGTGTAATAAAAATTATGTAAATGTGGTCTCTTTTTGTCTCTCAAAACATCATACTGTAGATATTAACAACCTCAGCATATTATTTTTTTCTTTCAGGAAATTTCACATTTTCACCTAAAGGAAGCCCTTGACGGCTTCTCTTTGGCATATCTGAATTGCCAGCATCAACCTTCTTGTGCTTTGGGGCCATTATTGACTAAAATAAGGGTTCCTTGAACACAAGCTCTGTTATACCAGGACAGTCGATCTGATCACCAGGACAGCTACTCAGCGACTCATGGGCTGGTAGTGTCTACACTGTGGATACCCTGGATAAAGGGATGGTTCACATCCTGGGCAGGATGGAGAGGGACAGCATGAGATTTCATCACACTCCTCAGAACGCCAAGTATCTTAAAACTCATGAATTGTTTTCTGGAATTTTGCATTTAATGTTTTTGGACCAAGTTTTACTGCAAGTAACTGAAATCTCAGAAAGTAAAACTGTTGATAAGGGAGGACTACTTTAGTTAATAATGGCATAAAAATATCAAATATCTATGAAGGAATCTAGCAGAAGGGCAAAACCTTCAGAGAGAAAAATACAAATTTTAATAGGAGACATTTTTAAAGTAATAATATACATAAACCATATTCATGAGATGGAAGTCTCGTGAATGTAAAGATGTCCATTCTCTTCAAATTGATTTATAGATCCAGTGCAGTTCCACACAAAATCTCGAGATTTTGACAGGCAAATTTGGGAGTCTAAGACATTCTGGAGGAAGAGGAAGAGATTTGCTCCCTCAGATGTCAAGAGTTCCTGGGAAGCTGCCATCACTATGGCAGCGTGGTACTGGCATAAGGAGGGGCTGTCACCGGCCAAGGGGAGAGAAGAGAGAACACAGAAGCACACCCTGCCTCTATACTCCCAAAAAGGGTAGCACTGCGAATCAGCAGGGAAAAGGATAATTTAATCAATCAACGGTGAACTCAGAAAAATTGATAAGAATCAAAACAAAGACTTCAAACTGTAGCTCAGACAAAAAACAATTTGATCTCAGATAAAACAGGGAATGTTAAAAAAAAAAAGAAAAAAAGTTCATCCAGATTATGACTAAGCAAACGGGAAGTTTGGGGTGACCTGCCCTGGCCAAGCCTGGCTAGAGGAGCTGTAAAGCCACCACAGGCACGTGGAACACAAGATCAGACAGAATCAGTCTGGAAAAATAACTAAGAGACAACAAGGAGAATATCCCAAAGTTCTTAACAGCACAGGCAAACCTAAATAAAGCAAGACTGTGAAGACTGAATGACAAGAGGTTATGGAGCTTGCAGGCGTACAGAAACCAATTAAGATCCCTCCTCAAAAATAAACACTATCAATTTTTAAAAAATTAGAAATGACAAGAAACAAGAAACCTACTAGAAGGTAAATAATTGTCATGGAGGAAAAGTTTGAGACAACTATTATGAACACAAAGTGAAAGACTGAAAAGATGAAAACGGGGCAAATAAAAGCTGTGAAGGCTAAAGTGGCTCCAATGTAAGAATATTTTTGTTTAAAAATTTAAAAAATTTTCAGAGATATTAGAGGAGGAACTCTTCCTGGAATAGCGGTAGCAGCGAATCTGCCACCTTAACACAGAAATAATTGTAAAAACTAAGAGTGCTCACAGAGGGTGTCAGCATCACCTCGTTTATAACAAGGGTGCATCTATCTTAAAAAAATCTGTATCACAAGAGGCCTATATGTTAAGTTTTAAGCTTTAATAAGATAAAAGTCACCATAGACAAAGGTAATGGACAAGAAAAGTATATTTATACTTACAGAATATTTAGTGAATTCTCCCATATCACGAAAAAAAGGACAAACACCTCAACGGAATCATATTGGCAAAAAACAAACAAGCAATTTATAGAAGAGGGAATTTAAATGGCCAAGAAACATGAAAAGCTGATCAATTTTCCCATCGTAAGGAAAATACAAATTAAAACAAGACATAACTCTTCATTCATCACCTTTGCAAATCGTGGCTGTGTGCAGGAAGATGGTTCATCTCATTTGCTACTGGTGAAATACATTCATTCAGCCTCCTAGAAAGACAATTTGGCAGGACCAAGTAAATAACTGGACCCTTTGCCTCAATAATTACATTTTTAAGGTTTAGAGACAAGATAAATATTTGTTTAGATGTAAAAACCCAAAAAGAAATATATAATCATTGTTATGATAGCTTATTGGTAAATGTGAACAATTTAAAAACAATCTAAATGTCCTTCAATTGGAGAATAAATAATTATCATATATCAATTCTATGGAATAGCATGTATAAAAAGAATGAGGCAGATCTATATGTATTAAGGTTAAAAGATCTCTAAGTTTTCCACTATTAAAATAAGTAAAAATGCAAAATGCAGACTAGCACATGTAATATAATTTATTATAAATCAAGAACATAAATTACGTATTTACAAAAAATGCATTAGATATATAAATGCATAGAAAAATATAAGAAAAGCTGTGCCCAAGACTCTTCACAGGACTGGGAAGAGAAGCTACAAGAATGGCTGAGTGGCAAAGATGACTTTTTCCTTAATATACTTCTCCACTGTTTTAAATTTTATGAACAATAATGTACAGTGTATTTCTTTTGTATTAAAAAATTTAAAAGATTAAGTAATGTTATTTCTCAACTCACTACTAGAGAAAAGTTAGGATTTCCTTCTCTTTTCTGGTCAGAGGTATCCCCCATCTTGGGACAGGAAATTGAGGTAAAAATGAAAATATTTAGCCGTTTGTCACCCTGGGCCTTTTTCTTCCCTTTCCTTCTTTTGATCAAGGTTGATGGAATAAGAACTCAGACCCTGAGCCAGTCATGGGAACAGCCGGCAGAGGCCCCTTGCCAGGACAGGTGAGACCACAGCGTCTGATGTTTAAAAGTAAGCCAGGTGTTTACCCTGGAGTGTTTATTTTCTAAAGCACCTTTTTTGACATGACATATTTGAAGGTAGAGGAAGGCTGAGGGGTGAAAGGGTTCACAGATCATGAGGAAATAGTTAATCCCAGCCACCAACAACTGCTATGTTTAGAGTGTCCCGGTCAGCTGAGCAGTAAATCCAAAACAAGAAAGTCACGTGTGTTATGGCAAGTTGAACTCACACCAACAGCTGTCCTGCTCCTGTTTAAAAAATCTGATTTCCTCATTACTTGTCTTTCATTTCATTATATAACATCGCATACCTATGTTCTTGCAAAGAAGGATTAAAGTGAAGCCTTAGGCACAAACTGAACTAAAGGCATGAAAGCTGCAATATAGCCAGAGATAAAGGTTAAAGGAAGGGAGATAAAGACTCACCTGGTGCTCAGGTCGCCGCCCCCACCTGCCATCTTCCCACCCTAGGCCCTGCGTGGGCCTCAGAGCCTGGCCTCTGAGCCCCTCAGTCGGCCCAGCCTGCGTGCAGTGTGGCTGCCCAGGCCCCAAGCAGGAAGTCGGCCGACAGACTGACTCAGAAAGGGCTCCGCCCAAATGGGGAAAAGAGAAGTGAAAGTATTTAACCTCCTTCTGGGCTACGGACACTGTGTTTCTCCTCCTTTTTCACTCCAAGGGATTCTCAGCTTTTCTGAAATGTGGCAGAGGGTTGGAGGAGAGGCCTGACAAGCAGCAAGACCTGCAGGACCAGGGAAGGAGGGCCCAGGGGACGAGCAGGGCCAGCTCCCGGGTGTCCACTTGTTTGTGCAATACACAGCCAAAAAAAATGTCCTTGAAACAAAATTGTCCTTAGCTGCTCTGCCCTCTAAGAGGGGGCATAGTTTACATGGGAGTTGGGGGGGAAACTCCATGTTTGCCCCTTCCCCTTGCTGACATGGCTTGGGGTGGGAGTTGGAGGGTTGGAGGGAAAGCCAGAAACCTCAAATCTTCTCTCAGGCCCATGGGAGAGCATGGACTGGACTAAGGTAGGTCCTGACATTGGGACCCAGGGCTGGAGAGAACCAAAATGCTCAGCATTATAACCTGGGGAGAGTGTGCTTAGCCTTCCTGGAAATCAGCCAGAAGTAAGAGAGAACTCTCCACACCCCTGGGACCAGAGGCTGGAGCCAGCATGGTAAGAAAGGCAAACATTTTAAGGGGCAAGGGTTTAAGGAATCTTGACTATGGGGCCGCCTTGGAACAGCCAGGGGTGAAGAGACACCTAAGCTTCGGAGAAGTCACTGGAATCTTGAGAGAACAAAAGCTTCTCATTGGAGGAGGATGGAGGTTGGAACCCAGATGATCTAGACATGGAAGGGCAGGGTGGCTCCCGCGGGAGGTTCTATCTCTGCCCAGATTTTCCATTTAGATTCTGATTCATCATTCCTCAGAGAACAAGAAGCGACCGAGAAGACTCGCTTTACATCAGTATAAAGTCATAGGTAAAGAAACAGAAGCAAAGGGCGCATGAGAATGGGGCCACAGGACACAACCAGGGACCAGAACTCCAGGCCGGACCATGGGGCAGAGACAGGGAGGCAGCTGGGAGCCTGGGGGCGCTGGAATCCAGGGCCCAAGGTGAGCAGAGGGTGGAAGCTGGTGAGGATTCAGGGGCCAGAGGGGATGGCACTTCAGAACGGTGTTTTCCAAATGGCATTCTACTGAATCCAACTTCTTCCAGCTGTGAATAAGGATGCTTGTCCAGGTACATTTGAAAATGTGGGGGAAGGGGCTTTCTACCCTCACTCTACTTCTGCTCTTCTTTTCCCCATGAGTGAATGACCAGGCACCAGGACATTGGTGAGGACAGCTTTGCCGGTGGGCGAAGGTCACTGTTTCTATCAGGCACTGCACACCTGTAGGTCTCTCTCTCTTTCTCTCACCTGTAGGTCTCTCTCTCTTTCTCTCATTCTTCCTACCCCCCATGACTCCCCGACTTTATGGGGCTGAAGGGCTGGTAAGCTGAGCCTCTTTTGGGCACAGCTGTCCTTTGATCCCAGTCTCCATGAGGCACATTGGTCCCAAGAAGTCCTGGCATGGACCACACAGTATGCTTTGGTGTGGTTCACGTTCTCCCCTCTCGCTGCCTCTGGGCAGCAGGCAGGCTCAGGCCATTGAGTGGCACTGACATAAACGTGCCAGCTTTTCCCTGGATGTGCTTAGGGGCTACTAAGAGCAGCACCTGGAATTCCAGACCAATGAGCCACAGGCTGGCAGGGAATTCCTTACGGGTTGAACTTCACGGGCAGACATGCCCATGCTGGGGCACCTCCTGGCAGCAGGGAAGGAGATGTTCTCATCAGATGAGGTTGGAGACAGATGAGCATGCACCATGCTCCGCTGGTATATGGAGAATCTGTAGGCCTCTGTGAAGAAAGCAAAGTTTCTCTGATCCAGAAAACAATGTCAGACACACTGGGGTTGGGAAAGGGACGGGACCACATTAAGAAGACATGTGAGCTAAAAATCCTGCTGGACTGTTTAGAAGGAAATAATGGAACTCCTGGGGCATTTTCCATGGCTGCAAGGAGCACAGGCAATAGGGAATATTTCTGTTGTCAAGAAGTAGTTCCAGTTACTGGAGCCTGGAAAACTCAAAAGCAGGGGAGGCAGTGATTGAGGAAGGACCACAGGCAGGGCACCCAGCCAGATGATGGGCCTCTTACATTTCACCAAGAGCAGCTTCAGTTCAGACTTCAGTGGTGTGGGTGAGGCAGGAGAATAGGGTCTGGAGGCAGGGAACCTAAGGCCATTTCATGCTAACTTCCTAGAACTAAATTGAAAGGAAAACCCTAACTTTCCATGCCTAAGTAACAAAAGGTCCAGAGGCTACTCCCTTTGCAAACCCCCACCTTTTCTGTGGGGCAATGGGAAATGGAAAGTACCTGTGTATAGTTGTTTTTTGCATAGGAGTGTAACTTTGTAACTTTACTTCAGCCTCTGATGGGTTGCTGTCTGCAACCAATCAGACTGATTGCAGGCCAAGTCTTCCTTTGCATAGAAGTACAACTTTGTAATTTCACTTTAGCCTCTGATTGGTTGCTTTCTGCAACCAATGAGATGTTTGCACAGGAGTGTGACCTTTGTAACTTCACTTCAGCCTCTGGTTGGTTGCTTTCCTCAACCAATCAGACTGATTGCAGGCCGCCACTTCATTTACATGAGGTGAGCACCAAGTGGTCAATGGGAAACCTCCAGGGGGTATTTGGACCAGAGAAGATTCTGTATGCGGGACCGTTGAATACTGCTTGGGCCTGCTCCCACACTGTGGAGTGTACTTCTATTTTCAATAAATCCCTGCTTTCGTTCTTTTGTTGCTTCATTCTTTTCTTGCTTTGCTGTGCGCTTTGTCCAATTCTTTGTTCAAAACGCCAAGAACCTGGACAACTTGCAGTCAAGACCCTCTACTGGTAACATGGTGGGGGGTGATTCTTCAACCTGGGACCCCCATGTGAGAACCAGAGGTCTGTACCTGAGATGAGGTCATTGGCATCATGGACCAGAGAGTTTCAGGGCAGGAGGCAGCTACAGGAACAGTGCCACTGGGGCATGAGAATAGAGAACCTGGCCACCCTCCAAGGGACGTAGAAGTGACGAGTGAAGGGCAGGCGCCTGGGATCTTTAGTGGGAGCACCCAGTCCTGCCGAACTGTCTCCTTCTAGGAGGTGGAACATCAATCAGTCAAGGCCCGGTCCCTTCCGGTCCCCGCCCATCTTCTAGGGGACGCTTCTCTGACTGGGAGTGGGAGTGAGCCTGCTCTTTGCTGGGTGTCCCTGGAGTCATCCTGCCTGCAGAGACCAAGACTCTGTTGGCTCCTCCAAGCTCAAGTGCACAAGGACAGGGGCCTGCATAGCGTGGGGGAGAGTTGGAACAGCCTGAGGCCATGCGGATAAGCCCAATTCTGGAGTTCAGTGTTAGGGGTCCCTTTACTGCCACATATCTAAGCCACATCCCCAATCCAGCTTTTATCCGGAATAAAGCTGGTATTTTGATCGCCGTCTGTCTCTCCATTTTGCCTATATTTCAAAGGGTTCAAGCACATGGGTATACATCTCTCTTCTGAGGTTCTTTTCTATCTGTGCCGCAGATGGGTAGAGGCTGGGGTCATAGCTCCTTGCAATTGCATGATTGTGATGCAATTATCCCCCGGGCTCAGCGGGCATTTGGTAGCAATATTTCAGCTTTTAGGAAGTTGGGTGAGACCAGGCTGGTCTGATCCTCCCTGGCCCACTCACCAGGGTCCCCTGCTCAGCAGAGCCTCAGTGACTGGCCTAAAGAGGCTATGGGTGAAGGATTGTAGGGAGTCAGAAAGACAAGGGGAGCATTGGACAACACAGGAAGTCCCTCTGGCCACCTTCTGAAGGTGGGGACCATTCATGAGAAATCCGGAGGACGCCCTCAGTCCTTGTGCAGCACCAGGAAGAAACCGACTGGCCCAGGGCCACCCCTGAGTCCGCATCATCACGCAGGGTCCTTCAGCTGAGCCCCTGTTGTATCCGCAGATGAACATCCGCAGATCCCTGTCCCCTGGTAACTGACGGACAGCACAGGGTCCTGGTGGCCCATGGACGCCACCTCATGCCTCCTTTCCGAGGCCACCTAGCCGGCGAGGCCCGCCACGGACACACCGTGAGCACGCGCAACGAGCAGGGGTCGGTGATCGCCATCCCCCGTGTCCGCCTCCCGCGTTCCCGTTCCCGCGGCCGCCCCGCGCTCCTCCGGGCTCCGCCCCCGCCCGGCCGGCGCCCAGTCTCCCGGCAGCGCGTAGCGCTGCAGCCTCTTCAGGGCTGGGCAGAAACAGAAACCGAAAATCCTCCTCTTATCGGGATTCTAGCTCACCAAACACTTCGAATTGTGTGGTAGAAGAGCCGTAGTTCCTTCTAAATAAAGTCGAACCCATGTAAGGTCTGGGTTCTGAGATCATTTTGCCCTCTGGCAGCTCACGAGCACCACCGGGTCGCCGCCTGCCCTCTGTTCAGCCCGTGAGGGGCGGGGGACTCTGCCCTTCGCTCCTCCTGGTCTCTGTCCTCTTCCCTAAGAGTTTCATTCCGTCCGGAGCCACAAGCCGCCCTGCCTTCTGCACCTCCCCGGAGGCTGAAGCCCTTAAGCCTGCCCCGCACCCTAAGGCCCTGCAGGACACTCCTGCTGTCCTTGCGGGGCACACTGATATGACTCGATGCTGAGCAGTTGAAAGGATTAAAAAATAGTGGGCAAACGGCAAAAACGGGTGGCATGGAGTGAATTAGAAGACACGAGACTTCAGAGAAGTGCGTTTCATGCACAGAAGTTTGTCAATGCCCCCCACCCCGAAACCCAGTCTCCCTGAGTGAGGGAGAGGGGGCTTCACCTTCCCTTTCGTTTCACTTTGAGCCCCAACTGCTGGACTGCAACAGAACGACCCTACAGGCTCACTATGTTTCACATTCTGGGGATTCCTGGTGGCACCTTCCTGTGTTCACCAGTGGGTCCCCGTTAGACTTGGGGCTGTCACCTGACATATGGAACCAGGCAGCTCCATGTTGGATGCCTCCACAAGCATGGAACTAAGGCTGCGGGGTCAGACCTACCCTCAGAAAGGAGGAGGAATGTCTTTCGAGCTGTGGTCGGCCTGGGGTCTCCTTGTGAGCCTCAGGGTGCCAAGGAGGCAGGGCTGAACACCACCAGGAGCGGAGGGAGCCTGGTGGCTGGGGCTGGAGCCAGGAAAGGCTTGAATGAACAATGCAGCCTTTTACCAAGTCTGCACTCCTAATGTTTCTGCAAACCTCCATATGTCTATTACTTTTACCATGGTGAGCTGGAATGGCCCGCAGACTGTCCTAGATCTTAGGACTGCCAGGTGATGCATGTGTGGCGAGGGAAGGAGATACCTGGTGGCCCCTCCAGATGGTCTCCACCAGCACCTGCTGGGCAGCAGCTTCTGCTTCTTTGGGCTTGCAAGTGGGTGCTTCTATGAAGAGGAGGGTCCCTGGCAGGTTCCTCAGTATTGCTGAACAGAATAAAGGAAGCGCAGGGTTGGAAAGTGTAGCTTCATGAAGATTTAGTGGTTACGAGACAGGTTATGAGACAGGAGGTACAGTTCCAGCAAAGGCCAATGCCCATCTGCCAACCATTGTCTGGCGGAGATGTGCAGGGAAGGGGTGGAGTCTGCCTTTCCACAGGTGCTCCTCCTGGAAATGTGGGTGGGAGACAGCTGACCAGAGCACTGGGGGGCTCTCCCAGGGCACCTTTGCCTAGCAAGGGCTGAGAAGACCCTGTTTTGAGGATGAGGTGGGTCTTGTTAGACTGTCAGTCATAACATCTGCTCTAGGGGAAATCCAAAATAAAGTCTAATGAGCTCTTCCCAGGGCCAAGGATGACTCCAGAACTGGTGGGACAGCCCTGTGCATTTCTCCTAACTGGTGCACCTGTTTCTCATGGGTACAAATGCTGTGCTCAGGGAACAGGTTGACATCCTATGGGGCCCCAGCCCACTAACACAGGATGACCGCCTGGTCCGGCCAGGTCATGAAGTGGCCCTGGGAACCAGGTTTTGCTGGATATCCTGTGTCTTACCTTGGGATAAGGCTCTCAGGGGCAGGTGGGCTATAAAACTGCCAGGTAGAATAGTTTTTTGGGGAGCAGATGGCTTCCAGGGTGTTCTGGTCTGATGTTTTTCTGGGCAACATACTGGCACAGTTTTGCTGGTTTCCAAAACAATGGCATTGAAGTTGGAAACTCATTCATCTCATCTGCTACTGATCCATTTTCTTGGTGTATAAGGGAATAAAGTGTTCCCTGACGTAGATCCATTTCTGCAGCTATTAGCCACTTGGGAATGGCCAGTGGACTCAGTCTAGTAGGTGACACTCTCCTTTCCAGAGAGAATTGGAGACCCCTCTGCCCATACCATCTATGGTCTATCACACCCTCTCTCATGAATAATTCTAAAGGGTGTTCAGCCCATTGAATGTGGAGCTATGGAAGTGAGGGGCTCACATTTATCCCAGAGCCTGGATTCCAGGCTGAGCTGTGATGACAATAATGATAGTCTTGAGCTGTGCTTGTAAGAATCCAGAATTGGAAATTAGGTGCTTCCCCACTGGGGGGTGCATGAGGAAGTGGGGCCGGGATTTACCATTTATCATTCAGACAATGGCACAATGCAGGAACCCAGGAGTTATTTCTTGTATTTCCTGAATAAGCACAAAACAAAAAGCACCAGCCAGCTCCTGTACAGCACTCTGGGCCACATGTACTGACACAGACGTTACAAAAACATCTAAGAGCAGACCTATCCACTGGCATGCAGAGTGCACCAGTCATGGGCACAATCCCATTCTGTGAGACTCAGAGGAGTGAAAACAGACACCAGAGAGAGCCAGAAGTGGTGGCTACATCATTATATGGCCAAGACTCAAGGTCCTGAGATCTCAAGGCTGAGATCCTACATCCTCCTCCCCATCCAGACTCAGGCAACTGTGGATGAACCCTCTGGAGGATGAGGTGATCAGGGGATGGAAAGTGGTCCTACCCACCTTCCCAGCAGCTCCAGCAGGACACAGTTAAAGATGTAATCAAGTGTCTCAGCAGAGGAGTCACCCCCTTCCCTGAACACACCATACCCTAGTTTCCAGCTTAACATTCCTGGGGCCACACTACACGACCATGGAGTGTGCCGTCCTTGTATGAACCAGTGTAGACTCTTTCAGTCCCACACACCACGGGGTTCAGGGGAAAATGTGAACAAATATTTCAGGAGAGAAATATCTCGGTGTTGATATAATGTAGTAAGGGGTAGTTTCATGTCAGATGAACAGTGACCAACTCAGTCTTTGCCTCCGCAGCACAGGACAATGGCGAAACAGTTACCTGCTCCTGTGTACCCAAGGAACTTGGCATCCCCCAGCAATTCCACCTCTCTGACTGGCCTGGAATTGCCCCTATTCCTCCATTAGACAGCAGTGGTCTAGGCTGTGAGTGTCCCAGGTGGGTTTCCTCAGTCAGCTGTGATTTCCTTGGCTGTCCAGCCTCCTCCATCCCCCTTGCCTAACAGTCCCTGGTTCCTTTGGGTGAAGGAGCTCTCCCTTCTGGGTGTAGGAGTGAGGGGCTGTTAATCACAATGCTGGCCATTGAGCAGGCCAGGCCAGCCAGATGCTGTTTGGGGGGAGTTGAGCTTTTGAGTGAAGTATTGTGAGAGGTTAAAAAAATCAACAACAACATTTAGTAAAATCTTAACATCCTTAGGGAATGGCTGTGTCATTCCTGTTGCATGATTGCCTGGAAATGCTCTGATTCCTGCCCTTTTCCAGGGCCATTTGCCAACTCTGTAACCCTGCCTTCCGGCCCTTTCTGTGAGGCACTGTGATATCATCATCGAAGTAACTTTTGTCTACCCTAGATAAATTGGGTCTCTCTCTTTTTTATTTTTTTAACAGCTTTATTGAGATACAATTAACATACCATACGATTTACCCATTTAAATTGTACAATTCAAATTTATGTAGTATGTTCATAGGGCTTTTTAACATCACCACAATCAATTTCAGAACATTTTTGTCACCATAAAAAGAAACCACATACCCATTTCCCCTCAACCTCCCAGCATTAGGCAACCACCAATCAATCTACTTTCTGTCTCTATGGATTTACCTATTCTAAACATTTCATATAAATGGAATAATAAATTATGTGGTCTTTTGTGATTGGATTCTTTTCTTTTTTTTTCTAAATTTAATTTAATTTTAAGCTCTGGGATACATGTGCAGGACGTGCAGGTTTGTTACACAGGTAAATGTGTGCCATGGTGGTTTGCACCACCTATCAACCCATCACCAAGATATGAAGCCCTGCATGCATTAGCTATTTATCCTGATCCTCTCTCTTCCCCTGCCCCCAACAACAGTCCCCAGTGTGTTGTTCCCCTCCCTATGTCCATGTGTTCTCGTTGTTCAGCTCCCACTTACAAGTGAGAACATATGGTACTTGATTTTCTGTTCCTGCATTAGTTTGCTAAGGATAATGGCTTCGAGCTCCATCCATGCCCCTGCAAAGGACATGATCTAGTTTCTTTTTATGGCTGTATAGTATTCCATGGTGTATATGTACCACATTTTCTTTATCCAGTCTATCACTGATGTGCATTTGGGTTGATTGAATGTTTTTGCTATTGTGAATAGTGCTGCAATGAATACACACATGCATGTATCTTTATCATAGAATGATTTCTATTCTTTTGGGTATATATTGGGTTTTTCTTGACAGCAAAGAGCCTGAATTGATACAAAGGTGTTTATGTTAATCTTTTAAGTTTGCTTGTTTATTACATATGTATTGCATGGAGGGCCAGCACTTTCTAAGTGCATAATAAATATTAACTCTTTAATCCTCACAATAATCCAGTGAGCTATTTACTACTAGTATCTCCTTTTTACAGATGAAACAGTACAGGGGAAGGATGAGTAGGTTGCCCAAGGACACACCGTCAGCAAGTGGAGAAGTGCAGGAACTGGGCTTCCACTTACAGAGGCTGTGCTACTGAATGCTAGTCTGTGCTGCCCCTCAGTACAAATTACTATGCTTACCAGACCAAAAATAATCAAAGAGCCAACTGTCATCCAGTTTTGAGGATAAATGAAAGGTAAGGCACAGATGATGTAGAGCTGTATTTACTGATGTGACAATGTCCATCTTATATTGTTAAGTGAAAAACATTGATTAGCACATTTTTATTTATGAAGATGGTATACCCACTGCCTCCCCACTCCCTGCCTCCCAAACACACAACCACATTACAAAGCCTAGAATCACTTTCATCAGAATGTCAACCACGGTGATTCTCCTCACTTGGAGAGGACCACCAAGCTCTGGGTTTCTTAGTGGCAGGAGGTATGAAGTGCAACAGCTTGGAGCTTTGGAGGGGATGCTCTGACACGTTCCAGACCATTGAACCCCTGAAAGCTTACCTATATGGCATATCTCTGTATCTTTGTAACGTTTTTCTCCCACCATCTGCAGTGTTTATGACTTACTAAGTCATTCAGAATAGTCAACATTTCTCGCTTATCAGGCTCATGAACATACTGTCATCAATACAGTTGACCAATGTAATGTATTGCAGAGTGTCCAGAAAGCCTATATTGTAACACAGAGCAGGATTCACCTTGCCCTGGAGCAAGACTGTAAAGATATACTCTTGTCCAATCCTTGAGAATGTGAATTTCCTCTCAACCTACATCCTGCCGGATCCTTTAAAAGTGGCATTTCCGTATTAATAGTTGCATATCACTTGCTAAGGCTGTGCTAACCCGTTATAATAAAGATACCACGTTTGACACAGCAACTGTAATAGGGGCTACTCCTTGGTTAAGTTTTAGGAGCCATTTAGCAGCATGAACCACCAGGAGATACCAGAGGGCAGACTGCTGAATTAAAATGGAGGTGTAACTGGGGTAACAACCCCTGCCTCCTCCATGTCTTTGTAGGTGGCACTAATCTCTATCATTCCCCAAGAATGTGATATTGCTTTTAACTTACTTGTTTTCACCATGAAACTTCAGTTTCAGAGGCTTCTGCTTGGCCTTCCCTAAAACAGTCATTGTTATTTCATAGGTTAGGAAACCAGAGGTTAAGGAACCAGGTCAGCCAATTGCTATATTTTATGATGTATGTATGAATGTATATCCTGATTATACATTCAGGAAATGGGGAAATGATTGCTGGGTGGCCTGTGGATCCAGAGGGCCCATTGTGAGATGGACATTACCTCACCTCCACGTACTCTACTCTAACAGGGGCTACGAAAGGGCTTTGAGTCCTCAGGGATTAGCATCAACTGTGATATTGTACTCAACATCCCTTGAAAGATCTGTGTATTTTCCTTTCCCCGGCATGTGAGTAACTCAAAAAATTTGGCCATAGAGCCCTCCCGTGAAAACTTGAGGGAATCAGTGATGCGCACACTTACAAGGTTCTTCCTTATGAGAAACTGCCCTCATTTCCATCAGTGAGTTCTGGATTCCACTGAGAACTGGCTGAGGTTTGGAAGCTGGGCAAGGGGTCTAAGACTTTACCTTTAGATAGCTGACCTCAGCCTTCTGCTCATCTATTTTCAATCTCTTTTGATTATATGTCTAAAGCAATATGTGTCTTGCCTAGAGGAACAGCATGTCCTAAGAGCCATCTTCATGGACACCTACAGGTCAGGCCTCCCAGTTGTCACTCTAACGTTGATGCCCCTTACGGAAATTACTTTATCTTGTCCTCACAGTTAAATGCTGCCACTTGGCCCCTGTTATTCTGGAACTCTATCATTTTACTCACTACTGGGGGATCCAGTTCTATAAAACATCCCTAGCATTATTCCAGCCTGCAGGGGACAGCCACCATTGAGCTTCTTAAGGATGTGCTGCCCCCTCAACAGTGCATTCCTTCTCACCTTAGTTAGTGTCTGAGACACATTAGTAGTGTCCCCTTTGGAGGAACTCAGTCACCTGATGGATGGATTCTCCAGTTGTAGAGTGCAGAGTCATTCTAGCACACCAACTTCTCTATCCTTGGGACCCACTTTTCCAGACTCTGCCACAGTAGTTCTGGTATCTCTGCTTCCACTTGATTTAATGTGTACCATGGCTTATACTTAGTCTCTAGGAGCCACCCAGGAGTATATCAGAATCATCACCTTTGGCCCAAGCCAGGCTAGTTAAACTCTGTGGTAGAGAAGCTTGCCCCTTTGCCAATAATCGTCACTTATCTGGTTTCACATTTCACCCTTCCTGGACCAGGATCCACTCCCAGACACAATCTCCTTGCTCCTGCTGATGCACGCTGGCCAGTCCTACAGCTCCTTCGGAGGATAAATGCTCTCTTCATTTGCTGCCCTCCCCATGATTGTTCACTTTCATTGTCCTGAGCGGTCTCTATACAGTCTTCATTCTAGAAAAATCGGGAGTTGGGTGGGGGTGGTAGCTCTCTCTTCCAACAAGGGGCAGAAAGACTTTTCTGCAAACCCAGTAGGTTCAGGGGGCATCTGGAGTTCAAAGTTCTCATGTACATCTACCTAGATAGCCCCATGCTGAGTTTGAAGGCCTTGACTTTGGCATAAGAGACCATCCTGAGCTTAGAATTCAGTGTTCTCTGAAGTTCTGCGATTCATAAAATCAGGTCTGTACCAGACCTTCCTTGCTGTCTGCCTTCCAGCTCCAGGTATGAGGGTCTCTTCTCTTTAGGTTGGTAATGAATAGATCTAAGCCTGTCATTTACTCTTTTCAAGACATTAATGGCACTTAGTAATACCCACCAAAACCCATATTTCTTATAGTTACTTTTCCTCACTTCTTAAATGCCAGACAATTGTACCAGCTATTTTAGTACATAGCTGTACTAAAATAGCTTGACCTGCAGCTCATCCAATTTACTACAGGTGAAAATTTGGGCAACTGCTCAGTGATAGCACTTCTGGGACTATCCATATTCCACCCAGCATCACTGGGCTAGACAGTGATCCAACTCCAGAATCCTGTCCTCAGAGCTCGCTTCCTGGGGCCATTACTTTAGGTTGCATTCCCCAGAAGCACATTCTGGGATGAAGTCCATTAAGCAAGAGATTGATGGTGAGGGTTTGCTCAGAAGGGAGTGGGGGAAGCTCATCATGTGGGCAAAAGCTAAGCCACGATGTGGCCACAGCTGGAGACTAGCTCCAGCCTGATACCTGGGAGCACAGAGTAGCCACACACCACACCCTTGGTCCTGCTTTGAGGCAAAGGGGCCGGCCTCAGGCCACGGGGCGTCACTTCCAGGTGAAGCTGATTCCATTTAACGAAGGGTAATACTCTGGGGACTGCTGGCATCAGCAGCCACCACTCAGCAGCTGGGGATGAAAAGACCTGGTCAGAAGAGGAGATGGTGCCAGGATGCCAACCGCTTTGCAGGGGAGGGAAAAATGGCTTCCCTCTACCCTGCTAGGTTCTTTGGCTGAGCTACGAATGAATTAAATTGACATAAGTAGATTGACAGGAGGAAAAAAAATTTAATAATATATGTTTGCACAGGAGTTCCACGAAATATGAGACTCCAAGAAGGGTCAGATGATTGACACTCATACACCATCGTGAGCTATCGAAAAGAACGGCAGTTTGGGAGTTCTGCAGGGAGTTGACCACAGAAGTGGGAGAGTGAAGGGAAGAAGTGTGTCGTGAATAAAGCTTGGCTGGTTTTCAGATAAAAGGTCTTGCGAGTGGCCAGGTGTGGTGGCTCACTCCTGTCACGTCCCAGCACTTTGGGAGGCCAAGGCGGGCGGCTCATGAGGTCAGGAGTTCGAGACCAGCCTGGCCAACATAGTGAAACCCCGTCTCTACTAAAAATGCAAAAAATTAGCTGGGCATGGTGGCAGGCACTGTAATCCCAGCTACTTGGGAGGCTGAGACAGGAGAATCACTTGAATCCGGGAGGCAGAGGTTGCAGTGAGCTGAGATCGCGCCATTGCATTCCAATCCCGGGTGACTGTGTGAGACTCCATCTCAAAAAAAAAACGGAGGAAAAAGGTCTTGTGAGTAATAAATGTTGTCTGGAGCAGACCTCAGGAGAAGAGGTGAGAGTCTGTCTGTGCTGGTATCACCTCCAATCTCCTTCCCTGTGATCTCAGTTCCTCTTCCCTGGTTGATGAGATTCTTGGGGATGGGATTCATGATGATCAAATTTCTTTTGAGGATTTGTTTTTGGGCAGATGAGGGAGGCTCAGAGAAAAGCCTCTCCCTGCATGTGCTATTTCCCAAGTGCTCTCAGTTTGAAGTCAGTGGCAACCAGTAGCATATTTCCTGAAGGCCTTCAGCATCCACTAAACCAGTCAACTGTTCCCATTTGTTTCCTGAATAGCAAACACTTCCTTGAAATCCTTCTCAAATTCAGCCTCCAGTCTAAGTCCCATTTGGCCAAAATCCTTATACTGGAAAAAAGTAATAAAGACAAAAACGATGTTCCTTATCATTAGTGTCATTAGATACCTTTCAACTGAGAATGATCAGGACTCTTGTCTTTAAAAAATAAAAACTGTAAGTTGACAATTTATAATGGTATGTATTTTGGAGTACAAAGCAGTGTTGTGATTTATGACTGCTATGTGGAATAATTAAATCAAACTAATTAACATATTCATCATCTCAAAGAGCCATCATTTTTTGTGGTGAGAACATTTGATATTTACTCTCTTAACAATGTTGAAGTGTGAAATACACTATTATTAAGTAGGACTCTTATCTTAAACACCCTAAGTAACATTAACCAGATTAAACTTGAAAACTCATGCAGCTAAGAGTAACTTCCGTTTCTCACCAGCATGATCCTTTCTTATTAACAGGGCAGAAAAGTGAAATCATTTCCACAGTTGGGATTATTACTTTTTTGCCTTTGGTTGCTTATTTCAGTGGGTTAGAAAAGCAATCTAGGTTCTTTCAACAATTCAGATAGTGGAAGGGTATAAGGTAAGATCACTGATCTGTTCCTTTCTCTGTCACTTCTACTCCTTGCTGGCAATCCTTGTTGGGATATGGTCTATTCACATGCAAAGAATCTGGAGTTTGGGATTTCTGGGATTGGGAGCAGATAAGAAGCACAATACCACTTTAAGATGAAATTCTCTTCTCTTTATATGCTGCAGCAGGCAGGACTCAATTGCTCTCTCTGAGCTCCTGTCTCCTCTGGGGCAGGTGGGGGAGGAGCTCTCAGAGACCTGGGGTTCTGGTTGCAGGGACACCTTTTGATTCAATGTTTCTTTGCTAAGAAGAGCTTAAGTTCTGAACTGAAACCAATCAATCACTTCCAGAACCCTTGCTCGTGCAAGCTTATTACAGGATGAGGGAAACTAAATTTTTCTAGGCACCAGAAAATGAGGGGAAGGATGGAAAGAAATGAAATGGAAGCAGGAAGAGCCACCTACCTTGTAAGAGGCCCTGTGGTTCTGGAAGATGAGGCGCATGTCTTGTACAAACCCCTCCACTTGGGGGTAACCGTGCTCATTCAGCCTTTTCTTGATTTTATCCAACCACATGGGCTCCTTCAGGCCTTGACACGCCTCTCTAATCTGGTGACAAATATACCAATGGAAAAGCTACCAGCATAGTTCAGTGTCTACCTTCTGTGGATTCCCATAAAATCCAGCAGAAATACAACAAGGTGAAGGCAACTAATGACAGCGTGTGCTCTTGCCCCGTGGGATTAAGATCACAAATCTCACGAGGGCCCATTTCAGGGTCAGGTAATGTCATGGCAGCCTGTAATCATGGGTTGCTGTTGTTACTTACATAATAATAGTATGGAATCTTGGCAAAAAAGGAGCTCTCAGAACAGCAATAGACTTTCAAGAGGAGGAACTCACATTTCTGCAAAAGAAAGAGGCCGTAAATGAAAAGCAGCTTGGAGAGAATGAGCCCACATGCATGAGACACAGCACACGACTCACACCCTTCTTCCTCAAGTTTCTCTAACATGTGTGGCTCTTGGAAACAGACATGTCATGGCTGAGTTATTTTTTGTGCAAACAAGGTGTGGTGTTCTATCAGTGCCATTGAAGTGTGGCGCGGAAGAGCAGGCTCCTTTCAGTACATTCCCCTGCCCTTGCGCTTGTTCATGGTTCTCACGTGTGAGGGGAAAGGAGAAGGCTTGGGGTTTGCATCTGATTTACCAACTGTTCCTCAGGACACATCTGCCTCTCCAGGACCTCAGATTCCTGACAACACTGTTGGCTTCCCGGAGACTCCTTCATCCTGCAGAAGATGCAATTCCACGGGGTCCTGAGAGATTGGACATGGGTGAGCAGAGGGCAGGGAGCTTGGAAATGGCCACCGTTCCTGTGGCTACCACTGTCTTCCTTCAGGAATGGCTGATGGGCTCAGTCATGGGAGGGAGGGGAACACCTCCCAGAGTATCCAAGAACTGCACATGGGGTCTCCAGCCACTGGCCTTTCCCTCGCATCAGTGGTAGCAGCAGGAGGGAAGCCTCAGGAAGGTGGTGTCACCGTGAGTGGGGACTATCCTTTCCCTGTCTGAGCTGCTGGGAGCACAAGGAGTCCTGCCTGCCAGGCCTGTGTGTCAGAAACTGGGCTTTCAACTCCAGGGACGTCAGGCCTCCATCCGCCTAAGACCGTGCTTCCTGTCTTGTATGAATAAGCACAAAATATAAACAACTGGTGTTTTTTTTCCTCAACCCCCTGGGACAGGAGACCCTACTGCAAAACTTCAAGGAAAGGACAATACCAGTATGTAGGCAAAGGTCCCCAACACTGGCCTCAGCATATCAGAGGAGGTGTCCCTGAGAGCACAGAGAGCATTTACCTCCTGCTGCCAGCGTCTCCCACTGCTCTCTGGATCACACTGCTGGGTCCCAGTACCCGATGAACCTGCTCCTTCCCCATCTAGACACAAGCAGACATTCTGCTGGAGAGTGCGCATGGCAGGTGGAAGGTCCCTTAAAGGATGAAAGAGAGGTGCCTGCATGTCACTTACTTCTCACTTTCCACAGGTGGGATGTGGCAGTCCTCATGGAAGACTCTTGAACAAGTGTCGCAACAGAACAGCTCCCCTCCGTCCCGGCACACCTCACACTCATCCAAGTTTCTCATCTAGAAGGTAAAACAGTGTCCACGTCACTGGGAATCACAAGAT
Source organism: Homo sapiens (assembly GCF_000001405.40). NCBI lineage: Eukaryota > Metazoa > Chordata > Mammalia > Primates > Hominidae > Homo > Homo sapiens. The sequence continues at coordinate 230,400,083 of NC_000002.12, read as the reverse complement.
TCAGGAAGGCCACCCCTCTGGGCATCTAGAACACACTGCTTATGTGTGAGCCTGTATAGACAGGCATATGCTTCTCCCTGGGATATGAAGGAAAAATATGGCATGGAGATTTCAGAACAAATCCTGGTCTGCAGTGAAGTTCAGGAGGAAGGGGTATATGTCAGAATAAAAACGTTTTCCTTATAAAACCAGAGATTATGACACAGAAAGCCTAGCAACAAAGCAAGAGGATGATCTTATAGGAATCTGAATAATTGTATTATGCTGCAGATAAAACCAGGTTTTGAAGTAAAGTGTTAAATCCATTTGTCTATACTACAAATCAACTCATGAAAGGGAGACCCAGAGAATTACATATGATGGAATAACCTTCTAAGATATCATCACATCCCATATTCTTGGCCATAAGTTCCCCATGAGTTGAAGACAGGGCCTAGTTAGGGGTTCCTAGGCTGTAGGTTTTGTGCCTAGAGGGCTGTGCACCTACCTTTGAGGGGGAAGGACCATGAGTACACATGACCAGGTGGGCCACAGGGAGCACAGAGCTCTTCGGCTCTGGGATCCTGGCAGAAGATCTCCCATGACTTAGCTAATTTGGATTGTAAGGTGCAAAGGTGTCATCTCTAATGACCAAGGACCATGGTAACAGTACCATACAGTGTTGAAGATGGAGACCCTCTCCTCATTTCCTGGGCCCATAAAAGAGCTGGTGCTTTGTTCTATAAAAGGAATGGTAAATCAATGAATTCTCCATTTCTCACAAGTCTCAATATGTGAGACCTTTAGCAAGATTTAATTTCATTTGGGGAAATTAAAATATGATAGTATTTGCATCCATGTGTTGTGGAACAAATCCCAGTCATTAAAAACCAACAGAATTTATAGAGCAAATATAGAGACCAATACATTATATGCTGTATTGTAGACAAATGCAAGTGTATTCATGACAAAGAACCGGTCTGTGACAGAGCCCTTTGCCGTTCAAGGGAAAAGTGCTGTAAGGACTAAAATTAGAGTTCAATATTACGTGCAGCCTGGACATCTGGTAACACTGGGAAGGCCTAGAATGGTCTATCTACAAGTCCTCCGCCGGCTCTGCTCCTGCAGATAAGGTTTCCTACCAACACTTCTGATCAAGAGGACCGCTTGCACCTTCTGCTTATTTTTGAATAGCTGATTTCATTTCCCTGCCAGCCATGGAATTATTCAAACAAGCCAATCACACTCTCCCTCTGGAAGCCGGGGACAGCCCACCCTCCACAGCCACTGGCTGTTTCCTCTGTTCCTGAGCGCAGCCCCCATGTGGCCCTATGTGGAGTGCCTACAGGGCTCTTTCTGCTGCTACTTCTACTTTTATATTTTGCCCAGCTCTCTAAATTCATTTCAGCTCTAGCTTAGGTGAAATCCTTCTCCCGTGATCTGGATTTTCAGGTTCCCCAGTGAGGATACACGTTCAGAGGTGGACTTTTTCCCTCTCACACTTTGAGAACTCACAGTTTTTTGGCTGTCTCACAGAGTTTGCAGTGGCAAGCCACTTCTTTCAAAGGGTCTGTGAATTCCTTGTTTTGCTGGAATGTTCCTGTGGTGGTTCTTGTAGCAAATGTTCACAATTGAGTCTCAACACGCTGTTCTGTCTGAGTTGGAGGTGGAAGTTAGTCCTGCCTCTTATCTGCCCTTTTTTTTCTCCAAACTTATATCTTTTCAAGAAGAGATTTGATTTCTCTGGTTCTTTAGTTGTTGGCCTGGCTGTACATTAGACTCATCTCAGGAGAGTATATAAAATGCTAATGTCCTGAACCCAACACCAGAGATTCTGAATCACTGGGTCAGGGTTGAGGCACAGGCACTGGTATTCTTCTTTAGGTGACAGAATAGGCAATTCTATGTATCAGCATCATCTGGGGACCTTGAAAAAATCCTAATGTTCAAGTCATACATAGTCCAGATTGATTAATTTAGAATTTCCCTAAAGTGGGATCCAGGCAACAATATTTTTTAAAGCTCTTCAGGTGACTCCAAGATGCAAGATAATTTGAGACTCAGCCTGAGCAAAGTCTGGTTATGGAAGCATGGGGATATTATAAATCAATGTTCTTATTGGCCTTGGAAAAATTATTAATAGGGGTGACCATACCTTTGCTGGATCTGTTTTCCTCTTTTTCCCACAGACATCTGGCTGTGGGCTGTGAGACATAAACCTCCATGTCAAGCTCATACAAAATCAGCCACGCAAACACTGACCTCCAGGGCTGTTTTAACCATTCGTGAGTCCCTGAGTTGGCCGGGCATCAAAATCAGTGTGGAAAAGACCTAAATCTGATTGGAGGACTGCTTTGGAGGTAAGGTGTGTATAAAACTATTTGAGCATCCCTCCTCTGCTAACTATTATGTGTCAGTGCTATTGCATGATATTCTATGTGAGTCCTGCCCCCTGGAGTTGTGCAAGAAGGTGACCTTGCCTAAAATTGGCATCTCACTGCAATGAAAAGGAGCAAACCAGAATTTCATTTAAAGAAAGAACTCATCCATGATTTCAGCAGAACCCAAAGCAGGCAGTCATATAGCAAGCAGAGAATGGATGGGGCCCAGGGGATCAGAAAGTTTGCATAGTACTGAGCACCAGATAAGCAGTTGAGTTAAAATGCCTCAGGATTTGCTAGGTCGTGATGGTTTCAGTCCTAACCAGCTCAGCACCCTAATGGCTTCCCTGAGACTGGTGATAGGGGCTCTGTAAAGGACCTCTTGTCCTGTATGTACTCCTTTACAGGACTAATGACAGGCTCCACACCTTAAACATAATAGCTTGGCCTGGTCTGTTCCTTCTGGCTGATGCTTAAGACCATCTTCGCTCCACCTGCACCTTGGAGTGCATTTTTGGGATTTTCCCTTTCATCCATACCCCTTACTTGAGAATGCTGTTATCCTCTCACATTTACTCCTTCCCCTTAATCACCAGGCCAGCCCTATCCATTACCACTTCAAGCTCTGTTTCAAGAGACCTCAGTGGTCTAGAGCTCAGCCTCCCATACTCACTACCCAAGGGAATAAGGAAGTAAGGATATTGGAGGGTTTCCACTGAAACAGATGGAAAGAGTGCTTTCACACTGCAAGACATCCAAGGCCCAAGCACATCTACCTGGCTTGGGTGATGCAACTGAATTCACACAGCCACATACTCCAACTGAGACTGAACATGCTTCAGGCAACAGCAGTCATGACACAGAACATATGCCTGGAGAAAGAAGTGGAATATTCTGGGGGTTGTAGTTCAGAATTTATACTTACACAAGGGTCAACTGAGCTATTGTTTTGAGACTTCAGTATTCTCTGTTGAAAAAACAGAAAGATTGATTTATGATATTGAATGCATTGTTTCCATCTATCACTTACTTAAATTTAAATAGTCATCTTTGAAGGGATTCAGGAACCAGTTGTAAAAAAATAATTGGGAGGAGATGAAGGCCAGTAGGCTGGGGTGGCTCCAGTGCTTTAATTTCCTATGTAAGCAAACTGAAACCTGATGTAAACAGTAAAATGAAACTAGAGAATTTACCAACTGGAATCCGTCATCTACCTCTAATTAGCATCTTTCCATGATAATCCATTAAATATAATTTCTCTGTCTTACTCCTGTGTTGGCCTCACCATCTGGGCTGCTACAGCATAGCTCTCTGAACCTCTTCTTGTTCTGAGTGCTGCCCAATTCATGAATTGCTCTTTGCTCCAATAAATGCTATTAAATTTATTTTGTCTAAAGTTTTATTTTTTTAAACAGTCTTCCCTTTACCTCATATCTGATTTTTTGGACCTATATATCTACTGAGGGAAGAAAAAGTGCCCAAGTACTACTGTTCAGCCCAATGCAAGTCCCATTCCCTGCAGGGAGTCTGGACCTAGTTTGCCCAGGCCAAGTCAGAGAAGCTCTACTTGTCCTCTTACTCCAAGGGGCCCTCAGGCATATTTCCTAAACTTGGCCTTTGTGTCATCCCACCCAGAGGAGTTGCAATAATAATCAGGCTGAGAATTTATCCCCCACAGCCTACAGGGACCACAGGGCCCAGAGTCCTGGAGGCCATGAAAGTGTCCCAGAGAAGAGCACTGCTTTCTGCAGCTCCCCTAGGGACACAGCCCTGGTGATAAAATGACTCCAAGGTCCTCTGTGCTGCAGCTCTTCTTCCTGAGAGTCTCCTGCTCTCCCTTCTATCCAAATCACAAGATGTCAGGTTGACTGTCTTTTAAGAGGTAACCCACTAGATTTATTTAGATTGCTTTTGGATATCCATTGCAGGAGTTGGCACCTTTCCCTTCTGGGATACAGGCAGCCTCAGCTTTTGTCTGTAGCCCAGGGCACAGGGCTATAAACAAGTGTGATCTAAAGCACAAGCACCTGAGAGGTGACCTTGTCACTGAGTGCGTCTCTGACTAGCCTAAATCTCCTACTCCACCCATTTGTAATTCATCCATGTTTACAATAAAATTGAAACAATTTTTTTTTCTTTTTTTTGAGACAGGGTTTCACTCTGTCACCCAGGCTAGAATGCCATGATAAAATCACAGCTCACTATAGCCTCGACCTCCCAGGCTTGAGTGATCCTCCCACCTCAGCCTCCTGAGTAGGTGGGACTACAGGTATGCACCACAATGCCTGGGTATTTTTCTATTTTTTTTTGGTAGAGATGATATCTCACGATGTGTCCAGGTTGGTCTCAAATTCCTGAGCTCAAGTCATCCTCCCATCTCAGCCTCTCAAAATGCTGGCATTATAGGCTCTAGTCACCATGCCTGGCTTGAAATGATTTTTGAGGTCAATCTTCTGTAATGCCATTGGAATTTAGTATATGCTTGATAAGTATATGTTCAATGGGTGAATAAATGAATATTGTTTCAAGAGTTCAAGACCAGCCTGTCCAACATGGCAAAACCCTGTCTCTACTAAAAATACAAATAATTAGCCAGGTGTGGTGACAGGCACCTGTAATCCCAGCCACTTGGGAGGCTGAGGCAGGAGAATTGCTTGAACCTGCGAGGCTGAGATTGCTCCACCGCACTCCAGTCTGAATGACAAGAGTGAAACTCCGTCTCAAAAAAAAAAATTACTGGAGTCTCTTAAGCAAGCATTAGCACACAACGATTATTCTGGGTGAGTGTATCAGATTGTTTTACAACACCGCAGCTACCACCAAAAGGTTTATGTGGCCCTTGTCATGAGCCTGAGCAGAGACATTATCATGTGGCACTGATAGTGACACTGAAGTTTCCAGAAGCCAAGTGGCTCTGCAAGGAAGAGAAGCTCTGAGAGGCACAGAGGACCCATGGAGTTCATAATGGATCCTGGATCTGCCACTCGGGGGACCTCTGTTCTCCCCATGAGGAGACATAACATATAGAGGCAACTGTAGCTTGTTGCTGCTAAGTGTTGCACCCCTGAATAGAGGGAGAGTCGGTTGGTTGGAAATTGCCAGCTCATTTGGGTCACCCAGGCTGAGTTACTCTTGGCACCTGGGGAAAGGTAGAGTTGCTGGTCTTTAGTGTACTCACTGAATAGGTGACATCATAGTTTCCCTTCGGGAAACCCAGTGGATGAAATGTCTCAGTGGCTGAGAATTCAAATCAGCCAGTATATCAGATAATGTAAAGGCCTGGATCTCAGGTTCCCAGTGGAATATGAAGCTTAGTGGCTAGCTATGTGTGAGCTGTTTTAGAAGTCTGTGAATGTCTTGAATGCATATTTCTACCTGAAGTGCATAAGGATGACATTTTTCTCTTTCCCCTCCTCAGGTTCTCATTCACACCCAGTCTTCGAAAAACCATCACCTTGTCCTGAATCTACACTGCACTTAACCTATTTGTTTGTTGCGTTCTTAAGTGAAGGAAAAATCACTTTCACAGATAAAAAGCAGGTCTGCACAGTCCCTCTGGTAGAACCAAAGAGGTGGCATCAACATAAAAGATTTTCCTGGTCAGCTCCTCCTGTAAAATACGTTTGCCTCTGGAGATCTTCCTCCCCAATGGCACCATCTTGACAAAGGTAAATAATTTCCCATTGAGAAAGAATTCTGTGTATCTGTGTGTACATTTTTTTGGAAGGTGAAAGAGGATGTGAAAGATCAGAAAAGAAATATTATTTTTATTACCTATTTCATGAAATGATATATGGTTTCATACATGTCTCAAGTGACTGTGAGGAGACGTTTGCTCTATCAATTTCACAAAAGTTAGAAAATAATAACATCAATGAAAAAAATCTGATTTTGAGTTGGAGATGATACTCTCACCTTATTATGAAATATTTTTATGTATTCCATGACCGTGTTGGATTTTCCAACTTTGACACTCTTACAACATCTGTATCTATTGCTGAAACACATTCAGGAGGTTTGTTTTGAGGGCTCCTCAGCATCTCCATCTGATACGGTTTAATCCAAAGAGGACCTAGCTTTATATACACAAAGTATTCAAAGTAGTAACTCTGAAAGTGTATATTAAAAAAATTTATATGTGGGAAGTGGAGAAGGTGAAAGCTTAATTATAGTTACCCAATTGGAGACTCCATAAAATAAGATGTTGTACATGTTAAATCTGTTGTGTGACAAGAATCTGTAGAAAATTATGTAATAATCACCTTTTTGTTCCTGTAATATATTCTTGGAGGATTAGGTAGAGATCCTTCCTGAAAGATAAAAAGACCAAGGTACATAGTCAGCCTGCGTTTCTGTTTTGTGAGTCTGGCATTTCCAACCTCTTCCCAAATACTTCTACCTGAGTGTTCCAATGCCAGCTCAAACCCAGTGTGTCTGAATGAGAAACCATCTCCCTGTCTTCACCTGTGCTTCTAGACTCCAATCAATAGAAGCCAGAAAATCATTTTCAGGACCATTTTCCCTTCTCTTGTGCTTCTTTCCTAAGTCCTAAGAGGTTTTCATTCATAATCTCATACCATCTATCACTTCTTTTCCAGTTGCACCAGTGCCACTCCAGCTGGAGTTCCTACACCAGAGCTATCCAAGCAGCACACACTTATTGCATGCTACTGGGTGTCAGTCACTCTGATCAATCTTGGGTACATGAAGATGGGAAAACCTAAAGGGGTCTGCAGACAAAAAGCACTCACAGAAGGATAAATATAAATAGTGAAAAAAGGGCATTAGTAGGGGCTCAGGAACCCTGGGAAGGGAGGACCCATGGCTATAGGTCAGTGAATATTTAAGGAAGAGGGTAACATTTGAGCTAAGCATTCTAGACTGAGTATAGGTTTGCTAGCAGGGGAGACAGTGAAGGCATTTCAAAGCCCCATTGCTGTCTAAAATACTGTTTTAAATGTCATTTCCAATCTCAGAAGATTTCACTGATTGTTGCTATCAATTACAGATTTGAATTACTTAGCCCGGCATTAAAGTGCTCCACAGACAACCCCAGTTGCTGAATTGTGCCTTATTGTACACAACCCATCTACCTAAATCCACAGAGCTGTTAATATTTTTACTATGGTTCTTGTTTTCATGCCATTCTGGTTTTCAGGTCATTCTTTCTCTGAAGTGTCTTCTTGCCCTGCTTGACTATCGACTCTCTTCTTTTTCTCAGTGCACAAAATTGTCCACATGCACCCTAGTCAGAATTACCCTTTCCTCCTCCAAGCTGCTGAGTCTATCCTGATGGAGCCCCTGGTACAACATCAGTGTGTTGCACTGTAGTGTGGTTATGGATATGGGGTCCCTCTCTCCTGAGTGAGAGGATAAACTCACTGGCATCAAGGCTTTAGCTATAACCTAACAAATATTTGGTGAATAAACAGTCTCCTCATTATTAGGGAACAAGAAGAATGGGCACAGGTCTGGCCTCTTGTCATTGGAATACCTCCATCAGCCGTCGTAGGGGCCACCCGCCACAGCGCACACTCAGCCTCCAGTTCTTTGATCTTGCGTAGCCTCCTTTGATTTCAAATTCCATGGGGGTGAACCATTTTCCATCCTCAGTCTGTATACACTTTGCCAAGGTTCCTGTAAGACCAGGGTAACTTGATCCTGAGCCCTCTTTGTTCCCAGCGCTCAGACTGTGGCCACTCACCACATTGGATCTAGAGCCACCCAATTTGTGATGAAGATCAATAGCAGGAGGGTCTGGCCTTCCCTCTCAGACTTCAGAGGCCCCAAATCCAGCCTGAAAGTCCCCTCTAAGTATATTTCCTGGTGGGGGTGCACATGTCTTTGACCTTCACCCATGAGGAGAGTGATGGTTATCAGCAAGAGCAACCTTTTAAGCATTTCAAAAGCACTTACAGAAGGAAAAGCAAGTGATTCTGAAAGATGAGAGGACTCCAACTTGCTGTTGAATTCTGGGAGTAGAGACCAGGCCTGAGTCTGCAGATGGCTCTGGAGGCAATGTGGAGGCAGAATCCTTACTTAGGGGTACAGTCTGAGATAGGTGCCCTGTGGCTCAGGAGGCCACACTGGCAACATATGCACCTTCTATTACAACATTTTTCATTCAGTTTTAGGGCATTATTGAACAGAGATTTTCTCATCTGTGCAATCATGGGCAGCTGATATTAAAAAATAATTGTGAAATGTTACCTAATAGAAAAATTAAGTTATATATAAAAGATAGTCAACCCCATCAGCCATTAGGGAAATGCAAAGCAAAACCACAATGAGATACCACATCACACTCACTAGGATGATCATAATAAAAAAGACAAACAATAACAAGTGTTGGTGAGTGTGTAGAGAAATGGGAGCCTTCATACATTTCTGGTGGGAATATAGAATAGTGCAGCTACTGTGGAAAACACTTTGGTGTTTCCTCAATAAGTTAAGAATAGAATTACCATTTGACTCAGCAATTCCTTTCTTGAATATACACTCCAAAGAGCTGAAATATGTTCACACCAAATTTGTTACATAAATGTTCAAAACAGCATTATTTATAACAGCCAAAGAGTGAAAATAACCCAAGTTGATGAATGGATAAACAAAATGTGGTATATCTATACAATGAAATATATGATTTATCAAGAAAAGAAATGAAGTACTAATACAATATGAATGAACTTTGAAAACATCATGCTGATTAAAAGCAGCCAGTCATGAAAGGGGATGTATGATAGGATTCCATTTGCAGAAAATGCCTAGAATAAGCAAATTTATAGAGCAGAAAATAGATTAGCAGCTGCTTAGGGCTGGGCATTGGGGTGAGGTGGGAATGGGCATTGACTACTAATTGACATGGGGTTTTCTTTAGTGAAGGACAAATTGTTCTAAAATTAGGTGATAATAATGGCTGTACAATCCTGTGAAAATACAAAAAAAATCATTGATTGGTATACTCTAAGTGGTGAGTTACATGATACATGAACTGTATTTCAGTTAAGCTGTTAAAAAAAGTCACAATGAAAATGTTTATATTAATTGGTGCTCAAAGAGCCAAGTTAAGAGAGGTCTGAGATGAAGGCCATTCTGATAGACATTTTTGACAGTTTTATAATTTTCAATCGTAAAATATTTTACATTAATATGTAAATTAATTCTCACAGCTACATCATGAGGTAGGTTTTTAATTATTGTTCCCTCTCTTGGATGAGAGATTTCACATTCAGAAAGGTCCCCTTCTCTACTCAGAATGGAACAGTCATTCCTGGCACAGCCAAGGCTGGAACTCAGGCTTCCTAATGTTAAAACCTGTGATCATCACCCAAGCCAAGCACCCTGCCTTGGTGACAGCACTCCAGAAGGGAGAGAGAATATGAAGCTTGAGGTTGAGGGCCTCTTCCCTTTTCTGTCTGATTCAAAGTAAAATACCTGACATTTTCCATCTGTGAATTGACGTTCCTGCCTTCTCTTTTGTTCTTTGGGTACCCCCTGGACACTCCATGTGCGAGTCAGCGTCTAATGGGTGTGATTTCTTAAAGTCTTAAAATGTCATCTTAGGGATCCCTTCCTCCTTCCCTCAAGCTAAACTGGGCCCAAAACTCCTTGAATGATGTGTAATTCACACAAATAATTTCACCACTTCTTGTGATGCCTTCAGATAGGAGCTGCAAATTAAAGAAGACTATGAAACCCACCTTGTTCCAATTTCTCCTTATGTAAAATTCCCTTCACCCCACCACAGGTCACTGGAAGTAAAGGAGCCTGAAAATCCACAGTTTCATCTTTGTGCTTTCTTGAAGCTGAAAGAGAGGATTTCTTCATTCTGTCTCACTTTGCAAAGGCACATCCCCCCTTCCCACTGAGGTAAATCCTATAAAGGCACAAAGAGTACTTAGGAAATTCTATTCCATAAATCTCTAGAGTTTCAAAGTCTTTCTTCCAAGTGGCATTTTTGATCGGTAACTACAGAATGTGTGCCCCAATTTCACCTTTCAAATTTCACAGAAAATTGAATGCTTTATCAGAGAAATTAGACTTCAGTAAAACTGTTTTAACTTCCAGTGTAGTAAGCTCCACTGATTCTTATATGACAATGAAACATACAGTTGTTGTCATTGGTTTGATGGGCGCTCTCCAGCTATTCTGTTTTGCTGCAGTTAGGTAGCCAGAGATGAAGCCAGAGACCATAATCAGTCTCCCATTTGGGCACTGACTGGTCAAGGAGGGAGAGGCTAATGATGAGATAACCTAATGGAGACAGCACCTGCCTTCTACTTTTATTCTCTGCTTTGCTCCATTTTCCCCTCCTATCAGCTTTCTCCACAGCTGAGAAAGGAGCTCAGGGAGCTCTAGAATAATCTGAAAATTGTACCTAGCAGGGGGTGGGGAACTGAGAACCGGATACTACAGAAGTAGGTGTGAAAGTTTTTCAAAGAAAAACTCCAGGAGGATGAGCAGCTAATCCTGCCCTTCCAAACAGAGGTGTAGAGGCCATGATGGGCAGGGGAAGCGGTCTTTGGTCCTGAGACTGGTTTTGAAAAGGGCACACTATTTAGACTGGGATGGACTAATAAGAAGGGTGGTTGGCCTAATTCATCCTCTAGCTTCTCAGATGAGGAAACCAAGGCAAAGAAGGCCAAGTGGTCAGCACAAGATCACACAGTCAAAGATTTTTTAAAAAGCCAAAAAGCCTTAGGACACAGATCTCTAACCACAACTCTGGTTCAACCTTAGTGTGCAACATGTGGCTTTCTGTGTAGCCAGAGGAAGATCAGCTAAATCACTTACGGGTTATACCCTTTATACAGCAATGGCCTATCTTCAGCCTTGAAATTTATCATTTCAGTGGAAGTAGCACTTTAGTGACCCCCTGGGGCCCCAGGGTCTGGTTGTAGATCCATCACCAACTTACTTCCTTCTTTCCTTGATACATTTTGGAAAATGACTTAATAAGATATGTTTTTCAATAGTTAGTATAGCTTCATAAAACAATTAAAGAAATAGGTTTATTACTGAAAATACAGCATAAAGCACAGGAAATTAGATGTTTAGTTATTGAAAGTGCATTCCTCTTTTCTTTTTTACCTCTTGATCGGACTCTTTTCTGTGGAGCTCTGTCACTCTGAGTAAAGTGGGTTCCAGGTTTGCCTCTCTTTCTCCCTGAGAAAGTAGAATAATAAAATCACAGTTACAAATGAGCAGCTGTGTTACATATATTGCTGCTTTTCAAAAATTCCATTTAAATGTAACTTTCCAAAAGCCTGTTTAATATATAAATAAAAAGATTTAAACCCTAGCCTTTAAGGTATGAAGAATTAGATAGCTAATGTTAGGTTCACTTTATATTTCATTTTCCTATTCTTACATTAGAAAAAAACTAATTGAAATCAGTATTTCACATATAACTCAAACAACAGTATAAATACTTCATTCCATATTTTGAAGGTTCATTTCATATTTTGAAGTTTCATTTCATATTTCATTTCAAATATATATTTGAAATATATATATGGCATATAATATATGTTAAACACACATCCACTAATTTAATCTTTGCAAGATCAAAATGATGATTACTGTCATTACAGAGACTAAAATATTCAGAGAAAATTGAGACAAAACTACAAAATTAAGTGAAGGTGTTTGGGTTTCTCTTAGCAGAGACACAAATAAATGGCAGTTCTGTGAGTTAAGGGAAACCCTATTAGGTGCTCCATAGGTGAGATGTATGCTGCACATATCACATTGGGGGAAGATATTTGTACCCTTGTGCTGAAAGTAATAGTAAATGTGACCAGGGCTTCGTTCACATGGCTTTGGAAAAAATAAATATTAGGATCTAAGAAACTAATCAGAAGAAGGTTAACCATGAGGAATGGGTAGAATTGAGACTTCCACAGCCTTCATTCCAAATAGTAATTAAGGATTGACATGGCAGACACTGCAGCCGACGACGTTCTCCCAAGTGCATGTTAATTGGCTGTGAGTGGGCATCTCAATGTTTACTAATGTTCAAATGTGTTTTATTTTCCAAAGCAGGAAAGCAAAATGTTCCTTCCTCCTTGTGCTGGATGTCCACCATCCAATGACCACCATCTAGGGATGCTGGTCAGGGTCATGTAGGCCCCATGGAAAAATATTTTCCAACCTACTTATTCCTAAGTGCTCTAAACTCTAAGCATATTATGAGCATATTAGGCCAGCAAAGTAGAAAGGACCAATCGGACCCAAAGTAGACCTATGGCTTGGTAATATAATTCCACTTTCTGGTCTTTAGACTACACAGTTACTGACCAGGTTTTTACCCATTTAAGACCCAAATGGCCCAAGGAACCAATATTGATAATTACAGACATCTTATCCCAAGATCAAACAAGTTTCAAATTTGCAAGTTGTCATCCTGTTAATATTTAACCAAGATAACAGGCACTCAAAGAAGAGCTTTAGAAGAGTTTAATAAACTTGTATAGGGAGGTAGGAGGCTTGTATAGTAACAGCCAAGGGCTAAGAAAAACTACTAAAGAGGTGGAACTGTGGTTCTCCAAGACGCATGTTAATCTTTTTGCTCCATCTTGCTGCCTGCCTCTGGAAGATGAGGTTTCCAGGCAATAGAACATCAGCCACACAGGTGTGGCTCTCTGAGAAGCTCTCCTCCCCTCCTCTCCCACGCAAGATGCCAAGTGGACTCTGGAAGTCCAGGACATCTCCAGGTCTCTCCTCTTCAATGCTTCACCCCTCCCTCCTCTCCTGAGGGTCCGCACTCACCGTACAGTGAGAATAGATCCAGATGTCATATCCTTGCTGCTCTTTTCCCTCCTATATTCCAGCCAGGCTTGGCACTAGAGCTCTGGCCACAACCTTGAACAGTCCAGCTAATACAGAGTTATTTCTTCCTTTCTCTCTAGCTGTTTCTGTCTGGTTACATCTTTTCTGGGACTAGTGGGTATGTCGGATTTAGCTTTCATTAAATCTGTTTAGGCCTCATATTTTTAGGGAGAAAAAAGAAACAACATGAAGTCTACTCTAGTCTATGGAGGTTTTGGTACAGAACAAACTGGAGCTTAAATCCAGCAAATTCATAATACAGCACTACTGTGTTTTACTCTCAGAATCAAGTGGCTGAGCAAGGCAGGATTCAAATATTATTGTGTCTCAGGCTGTAATACCCATTTAACAATACTGAAACCCTAACATAAACCTTAATAAATACTATGGTGGTCAGAATATAATTTAAAGTTGTTTTAAAATAATTGTTATGGTTGGTATTAACCTCTAGAAAGAAGTGTGACAGAGTTTTCAATTTCCTCCTGTTTTCTCAAAATTTCACTTCAAGTCCCAATGGTTGGGAACAATCCAATAAGTACCAAGTAGAATGACCAATTGTCCTGGTCTGTCCAGGACTAAGGGGGTGCCCAGGACATGAGAGTTTCACTGGCAAAATTGAGAAAGTCCCAAGCAAGTAGGTTGAGTTGATTACCCAAGTTCCAAGCACCCGCATCCTAGGACAATGCACCAGTCCACCTATGGGACCATAGAAAGAGTTGGTGGAACTGATTATGCCAGGTTCAGCCCTTCACTCACACCCAGGTTGTAGAAGAAAAGCTCTATTTCTTTCAAAATAAGTCAAGCTGTGATGCCTGACCCCTCCCCTTCCCTTGCAGTGGACTTGATGAAAGCATCTCACGGAAGAAAGAGCTAGTGATTGTGCATCAACCACTTGCAATGTCATTTCACGGCTGCACCTGTCAGGCAAGACACTTCCACACTCTGATCTCACCCCTTTCTCTCACCTCCCCAATCCTGGATGGGACCAAGCCAACAGCTATGGAGTGGGGGTAGGGCCAAGACAGAATAAGAGAAGACACTGGCCATGTCACCCCCCAACTATATGTGTTCCAGACTAAGGCTTGCCCAGGCTGAAGGAGGGAAGGTGCTTTAAACTGGGGAGGACATTGGAGTTTTAATACTTGGTCAGAAAGACTCTCAATTACTGAAATGAGACTCTTATTGTTGTGAAAAGGGAACAGGAAAGCGATAGGGCTTGCTCAGGACAAGAAATAACTTATCTAGGAGGAGGACTTCAAAGGGCAGTGGGAAAATAAACCTGTATTCTGCTTACAATTTACCAGGTCCAGCCATTTTAATTAGCCAATGATTTAAGGCAAAGGAATTCCCAGGAAAATCAGATAAAACACAGAGGAAAACAACTTTAGAACTTGGACAGATAAGATCTATGATATGAATACAATCAACTTACAACTCTGGCTTCTAATGGGTTTGCTGTTTTTTAGATTTCACTGCTCTGAAATTGACTAAGTTTGACTAGTAAACAATAAAGCTTCTAGGCTCCTCAAAACCTCAACATGTGCATTGACCTGCAGGGCAAATGAAAAGTGGTACCAACTTTATCTTACCCCTAATCTTGGAAAGGTCTTTCAGATTCATGTTCGCCTTCTTTTCACTCGAGACCAGCTGGCCATCGGCTTTGCTGTTATCTGGGGATAGGCAAGGGAAAATGTATTAATAGAACTGGGCAGAACAACAGCTCACAGGCTGGACCAAACGCAAGTGAGGGAGTCCTGGGTTTCACTCTGGATCCCCTCGAGCAGGTGTCCAGAGCATTTTCTGCTTTGGGGAGTGTTGACTTCTAAATTACACACAGAATTTAACCGTACATTGAAGTCTCTTAGAATGTGTTAGGATAATACACACAGACTTAAATGAAAATGTTATAATGACTCAGTCCAAATAATTTTTTAATTTGAAAACACCCATTCTTGTTTTTTGTTTGTTTGTT
Organism: Homo sapiens; assembly: GCF_000001405.40. Classification (NCBI taxonomy): domain Eukaryota; kingdom Metazoa; phylum Chordata; class Mammalia; order Primates; family Hominidae; genus Homo; species Homo sapiens. The sequence continues at coordinate 230,384,921 of NC_000002.12, read as the reverse complement.
TTGTTTTTTAAAGACAGAGTGTTTCTCTGCCTCCCAGACTGGAGTGCAGTGGCACAATTTTGACTTGCTGCAACCTCTGCCTTTTGGGTTCAAGTGATTCTCCTGCCTCAGCCTCCCGAGTAGCTGGGATTATAGGCGCCCGCCACCACATCCAGCGAAATTTTGTATTTTAAGTAGAGACAGGGTTTCACTATGTTGACCAGGCTGTTCTCGAACTCCAACCTCAAGTGATCCATCCGCCTCAGCCTCCCAAAGTGTTGGGGTTACAGGCATGAGCCACCATGCCCGGCCAAAAACACCCATTCTTAAAATAAATGCAACCACTTGTTTTTCTTTCCAAACACAAATGTACATCCACAAGCCGGGCAGACACTTAAACTGGCAAGAACAGAAGAGCAGAAGATAGATGATTGGTGAAAAGAAACAATTTTCAATAGGACTCTAAAATCTTACTATACAGATCCACTGATTCAAAACTGAGCATCATTTGGAAAATAAGACAGCCTTCATTGACTAGGAGAAAGGAAATCCTTAGACCATGACTAAAATAAATAACATATATAATTATGGAAAATTCAGAAAATAAAATGGTCTAAAACATCATCATCTAGAGATAGCCACAGATGAGGATGGCTGTCTCCAGATGGTGATTTGTTAACAAATATTCTCCTAGGCTTTTCTTTTTGCATATGTTGCCTTTTAAAGACCATTTTTTCATTATAAAAGTTGAAGATTTTTAAAATTTTAATACAACACATATACTTAAATACCACAAATAAAAATATAAACATCACCTCTATTATACTGACTAAATGTAACCACTGCATATATCTTTATAAATGAACAGCCACTGATTTTTCTATAGCTTTATATCTCTTCATACACACAGATAAATAATTGCATATATCTATGTAAGGATTGATAGATACATAAAAACATACTTTCACAAGTATAAATATTTCACATAAAATATGGTTATATATATGTATATATATATTTTACAGTTGCACACACATACACATACACCTTGCTTTCTTCACTTAACCCTCTTAAGAACATTTTTCCAAATTAATAAAAATTTCTTGAGCTACTGAAGAAAGTCATACTGAGGATGATAAGACCTCCCTATTAACTGTGGGCCTCTGGACTATTACATGCATTAGAAACCATTTTGTTGAAGCCATTGCATTCTCAGGCCTCTTTGTCACAGCCTGTTGGTCTACATCCTAACGGATACAGGAAGTACAGAACTCTCCTGGCCCTCGTGAACTGCAGGCCTTCCAGAATACAATGGACAGCGCCTTAATAAACTCAAAAGCTGTAACTACTTCACTTTGCCTGCTTACCATTTTGTTGGTTGTTTTTCTGCGTTCTCGTTCCCATTCTGCTCCAGCCATGCCCCTTCTTTTTTCCTTCAAACCAAAGAGAATAAAGTTAATTATACAGAGGAATAAATATAATTATTTGAGCTTTATATGCTAGTAGTATACAAGATTTTTTCATACTTTGGTCCACAGGAATGGGGCAAAATTCTTTATGATCAGTGTAGCAGTGTGGAAGTTGAGTACAGAGTCCTATTTTAATTCTGCATGAGCCTTGGGCCATGGGCTTGGGAGAGACTATAAGAGATGACCTTCCTTTGAAACAACATTTTTAATGGAAAATTAACTCTTGCTGGCACCTTAAAGTGAATGATAACTGCTATTTCATGTTGCTTTTTCAAGTGTTTGTTGTGTAAATTCACATGTGCAATGAGAGGACATCCTCCTTGAGGTTGATGGTGTTATGGATAATATTCTGTACTGGAAATTGGGAGATATTCTGAACTCTGATATGGAGAGTTTTCATTATGCAATTACATAATCATTATAGAATTTCTATATAATTTCATTAAGTAATAGCAGTGACTCCACACTGTCAGCCCTCCTTCAGGCTGCAGAGCAGCTGACTCCAGGGATGCTATGGTGACCCCAGAAACTCATCAGTGTCCTGAATCTGGCTGTCTGGACCATTTGCAGTCTGATGTGCCCTTTATCAGAAAAGTGACTCCACAATGCACTGATTTTCTGACGTCCCTCATCTCCTCCTGTCTGCACACTATGGGAGGGCAGTAGGCTCACTGAAGGGAGCAGTCCCCAGAAAGGGATCATCTCCTTCCCGGATAGTGACCAGGACAAAAGTGGTGGGGATTGCAAGTGTTCTGTAGACCTATCTTGAAAATTCAGGATTCTGTTGTGACCCTGGTCATTCCTAGGGATGATGCCTCATTCTTTCCCCATCAGCCTGGTAGGCACAGCCTTCTGAGTGCCCAGGGGATTCAGATTTCACTCCAGACACAGCTAATGAAAATGCTTTTGCTCTACTTGTATCTAATTTTGTGGATGGAAGATCTAAGTGAGAAAAGAGACAATTAGGAGAAAAAGATGAAGGTACAGCCACCAGAATGGTACAGACAGATTTTGCAGCAGTGAAGCAAGAGCAAAAATCCAGAGATCTAAGGCAGGAACACCTCCAACCCTAGGAGGTATGGAGGAAGCAGGAGCATTGGTGATATCTGTCTCTCAGAACTACCCTGGATCCTTTGTCCAGAAGGAAAACACCCTGCTCCAGTGCTCCCACCTCTGAGAATGCTGAGTCAGCCTCTCCGCACCAGGCATGAGACGGCAGGGGCTGGGCCCAGCTTCTGAGGTCCCACATAGAACCCTCTAGACATTGTCCCTACCCCTGTTCTCAGTCATTTGTTGGGGTGGGTGGGGGGGTGACTGTTACCTGGTTGGTGTCATGGACAAAGAGGATAGATTGGACAGACTGTCCTCAAGCAGTCCCCTCACATGCCCACCTCTCCCCAGCCACACACACAAACAAATCAAGGACTGGACACAACGAACAGAACTGGGAACCCCAAGGCTTACAGACAGCCAGGAGCCATGTAGGAGGAGGCACTGTTCACCTTCCCCCTGACAAATGTACATCCCACTCAGGGAAGCTCAACAATTGTAAACACTTCCCTTCTTCGAACACCTTGTGTGCTCTGGGGATTGTGCTTATTGTATGAAAGCCAGGCATTAACTTGCTTGCCTCACATAAAGTGACTTGTACCTTAGAGGTGGTCAGCTGGTCATAAGGGACCTAAAGACCTAAAGCATTCACGGTTTATGAAATGTGTGTGTGTGTGTGTGTGTGTGTGTGTGTGTGTGTGTGTGTGTGTGTAGAGAGACAGGGTCCCACTATCTTGCCCAGGCTTGTTTTGGTTGTTTTGCTTGTTTTTGGACTCCTGGCCTCAAGTGATCCTTCTGCCTTGGTCTCCCAAAGTGCTGAGATAACATGAGTGAGCCACTGCACCTACATTTGCAATTTGTTCCTACAACATTTAACAAATCAAATATATCTGGACCCATGGGTCAAATTAATCAGAGTGGCTGATGGGGTAGTGTCTTCATGAGGAAATTTGCCAGAAGCAAAAATGTGGGAAGAATTTGTTGAGAAGCTATTCTCCATGGCATTTCTGTACTCACGGTATCAGGGTATTGCTTCAAGGATGTCAGAATAGCAAGCAGCCTTGGAAGCTAGAGATCATGTAGCCTCCAGATTATAGGGCAAATTTATTCCCTGACCAGTATAAAGTGGAGAACATCTCCCTCCTTAGAAATTTTCCAGAGGAGATGTCCCCAGGAGAGATTTGCTTAATATCCCCAGAGGTGAGTTGCTTACGTTCCAGCTAAAAAGATAATATCTCCCTCGGAGGTAAGGTTTGGGCAGGTTTGCTAGCAGTCGCCTAGCTAGCAAACCCCATGGGTTTCCTCAGTGAAGCATTCCTCCACTGCAGCACACACTTGTGAGTGCACCATCCACCTGGGCTTCCTCTGCACCATCCTTTTCTTGGGTCTTGAGGGGAAAGAACTGATGCGTCTACTCTATATCCCAGCAATTTTGCTCCTAGGTATTTAGATAAGAGATATGAAAAAACAGGAAGACTTCTACAAGAATGTGCTGAGGAGAGTTTTCCTAATAGCAAAAAACTGAAAATACTTGAGGTGACGTTCATCAGGAGAATTATAAACAAAATTCAGTATATTCAGACAATGGACACTAGCAATGAAAACAAACAAATTACTGATACATCCAATGATATGAATGAATCTCAAAAACATGCTGAGTGAAATAAATCTCACAATAAAGAGAACACGCTGTAAAACCTTATTTATATAAAGTTTTTTAAAAACCCAAATTAAGTTATCATGGAAAAACAAAGAGTAGTGATTGCCCTGATAGGTAGTGGGTGGAGATATACCAGAAAGGATATAAGGAACCTTTCCAGGGTGATGATCATGTTCTGTATCTTGATAAAGATTTCGATGGTGCAGAAAAGTGTGGTTGTAAGAACTCATCCAATGGTACTCTTAATACTTGTGCATTTCATTGTAAATTTTATCTTAAAAAAAGAATGCATGCAGAAGTATTTGAGGGGGAAGGGTACTGATGTCTGCAACCCTGAAATGTTTCAAACTTGACCATGAGTTATTGAGCGGATAAAAAAATGTATATATGGATAGTGACATGGTTTGTCTGTGTCCCTACTCAAATCTCATCCTGAATTGTAGCTCCCTTATTCTCATGTGGGAGGGACCCAGTGGGAGATAAAATTGAATCGGGGGGCAGTTTCCCCTGTACTGTTCTCATGGTAGTGAACAAGTCTCACGAGATCTGATGGTTTTATAAAGGAAACCCCTTTCACTTGTTTTTCACTCTGTCTTTGCCTGCTGCCATGTAAGACGTGCCTTTCACCTTCTGCCATGATTGTGAAGCCTCCCCAGTCACATGGTACTGTGAGTTAATTAAACCTGTATTCTTTTTCCTTACAAATTACCCAGTCTTGGGTATGTTTTTATCAGCAGTGTAAAAATGGGCTAATACAGATAGAAAAGCGATAAAGCAGGAATGATACAATGTTATTTGTGAATCTGTGTGAAAGTATATTGATGTTTAGTATACAATTCTCCCAAGACTTCTGCATGCTTGAAATTTTCATGATTAAAAATTGGGGAAAAAAGCTTTTAGAGAGAAAGGACAGAATATTTACCAAAAAGTTATAGTTACAATAAAAGAATGATTTTTATTAGCCATACCATAGATTCCAGAAGACAATGTAGTAATCACTTTACTATACTGAGAATAAATAAATATCAACCTAAAATTTTTAACTTAGCTAAAAATTTCTATCAAAAGAAAGACAAATTTGTACATACAACACTTAGAGAATTTACCACTTAGAGATCACTCACTAGAAAAACTAAAGAATTCACTTCAGCTAGACAAAAAGTGAAACCAAAGAAAAAGAACAATGGTGAGTACATAAAATGATTTAAAAAATTGATTTAAGTAAATATCAACTGTAAAAATAATAGTTTCAAAATTTATAGTTAAAAATTAAATATTAAACAATAATAGCCAAATGGTAGAGATGGGGTATTCAATTTGTAGTGAAACCATTACAAGATCCTTGTCATCTCTGGGGTTTGGGGCATGATTAATAAGATTACAGAAATTTTGTCTTTAATTTCCAAACCAGCAGGGGGAAAAGGGAGAATATAGAATTTTATATCAATCCATCAGAAATCAGGAAAGAGACACACAAAAAAACACAAATTAAGAATGGTCAACACTACCACAGAAGATACAGGTCCATATACATCTGGAATCATAATAAATGAAAACAAATAAAAATTCATTAAAAAGCTAAGATTATCAGATAAAATTGCAAAAGCTAAGTGCTGTTACAAGAGACATAAAACAAAGCTGCACAAGATGGCTTAACATAAATTGAGTGAAAAATATGAAAAAAAAGTTTATATAACAACATTAGCACTTGGTAAAAGAGATTTTAAGGCAAAAGCACCAATATGGATAAAGCAGAATGCTGTATAATGATAAAAGAAAAGAAATCCACTAAGAGGTTATAAAGTCATTAATGGTCTCAACATATTTAAAGAAAATGAACAAAATAAGGAGGAATTGGCAAATATACAACCTTGTGTGAGAATTTAACAAGTTTCTATACAAATTTGATGGAGGAAATAAATTACTATGAACCCATATTTAAACAACAAAGTTTTGCTTTATAAAGATATGCATGGAGTGAAGCCAGAGCCTAACAAATAGCTCAAATGTACATTATTCTCAAGTGGCATAGAACATTTACAAATAATGACCACACATTAGGATGCAAAGGAACATTTAACACATTTTAAATAATTGGCGAAGTCAATTCATATTGTTTTCCACATATCTACTTTCCACTCCTGATCAACTAAAAGAATACCTCCAAGACTGCAGACATCGATATTTCCAGAGAAAAACCACAGTTCATAACCTCTCTCACACCTGACATGGCCACCAGTTTAAGATCTGACCACTAAGATGAGAGCAGAATATTGTGGGAGGAGGGGAGTTCCGGAGAAAACTTCTCGCAAAAGTAATAGGCCTCTGGGGAAGATAATTTTGCTCTTCACCCTTTCTCCTTCTGACTGCCTAGAACATGGACATTGTGGCTGGAGCTTAGCAGGCACCTTGGACAATGATGTAATCTTGACAGTAGCTGAGCTGCAAGATAGAAGAATCTTCAAAATGCACGGGTCTGAAATAGCCAAAACAATTCTGAAAAACAAAACTGGAGGTCTTACACTACCTGATTTCAGGATTTGTAAAACTGTAGTAATCAAGATGGTGTATTGGCATAAGAATAGACATACAGATAAATGGAACAGAAAAAAAGTCAAGTAATAGACCTAAACATATATGGCCAACTGACTTTCAACAAGGACGTCAAAGTAACTAATTCAATGCAGAAAGGATACTTTTTTCAACAAATTATGATGGAATGATTGAGTATCCACATGCAAAAAAAGAAAAGAAATCAATCTTTAGCTCAAACTATATGCAAAAACTAACTCAAAATGGGTTATAGATCTCAATAAGCGCTAACACCAAAAACTTGAAGAAAACATAGGTTCTTGAGTTAGGAAAAGATTCCTTAAATAGGACCTCAAAATCACAGATTATAAAGGAAAAATGGTAAATGTAGACTTTATAAAAAAATTAAAGTTTTACTAACACTATCAAGTATTGGTGAGTATGTGGAGCAATGAGAAGCTTCACACATTACTGGTGGGAATGCAAGAGGGCATAATCATTTTGAAAAACATTTTGGCAGAATCTCAAAATACTGAACATACATGTATGTTCATATGACCCAATAGCACCACTCCTGGGCATTCACTCCCCAAAATAAAACATGCCCAACCCAAAGATTTGTGTTCAGATGTTCCTGTCAGCTTTATTTGTAATAGCTGAAACTGGAAACACCTCAATGCCTATCAACAGGTGAATAAACTATCTGTAATGTATTCATATAAAGAAATACTTCTCAGCGATGAAAAACAGAGTAACTATGAACACACACAATAACATGGATGTATCTCAAAAGCATTATGTTAATTGACAGGGGCTAAACATAAGTAAATTCAATACTGTATGAATTCATTTATATGAAACTCCAGAAACGGCAAAACTAGAGTGATGTAAACAGATCAGCATTTAAAAAAAACAACCTGGGTTGGTGAGTTGTACATGCCTGTATTCCCATTTACTCTGGAATCTGAGGCATGAGGATCACTTGCTCAGGAGTTTGAGGCCATCCTGGACAACGTAGTGAGGCCTCATTTCTTAAAAGACAAACGAACAGAAAACAGATCAGCTGTTGTCAAGAATCAGAGACAGCTGAGAAGAACACAAGTGGACTTTGGGGTGATGGAAATGATACATATCATGATAGTGGAGGTATTTATATAACTGCACACATTTGTTAAAACAAATTCAGTTATACCTTAAGGTGATGAATTTGTTTTATATATAGCTCTATAAAGCAGATAAGAAAAATGAAAATGTGGAACATTTACATAAAGAAAATCCTATTGTTGGTGCCCTTATCAAAGATTACTTGAACATACATTCATGAGTTTATTTCCGGGTTCCCTATTCTATTCCATTGGTTTATGTGTGTTTTTATGCCAGCACTGTTTTGATTACTCTTGCTTTGTAATATAGTTTAAAATCATACGGTGTGATGCCTCCAGGTTTGTTCCTTTTTTTCAAGATTACTTTTAGTATTTGGGTCTTTATGGTTCTATACAAATTTTAGGATTCCTTTTTCCTATTTCTGTGAAAAATGTCATTGAAATTTTGATAGAGATTTCATTGACTATCCAGATCACTTTGGATGGTATGAACATTTTAACAATATTCTTCCAGTTTATGAACAGGATATGTCTTTCCATTTATTTGCATCTTTTTCAATTTCTTTCATCAGTGTCATAGTTGTCAGTGTGCAAATATTTCACCTCTGGTTAAATTTGTTCCCATTTTATTCTTTTTGTTGCTATTGTAAATGGGATTATTTTCTTAATTTCTTTTTGGATAGTTCATTGTTAGTGTGTAGAAACACAACTGATCTTTAAATCTTGCAACTTTACTGAATTCATTTATTAGTTCCAACAGTTTTTTGGTGGAGTCTATAGGGTTTTCTACGTAGAAGATAATGTCACCTGGAAACAGAGACATTTTAACTTCTTTCCAATTTGGATGACTTTTTTTTCTTGCCTAATTGCTCTGACTAGGACTTCCAGCAGTGTGATAAATACAAATGTCAAGAAGGGGCACTTAATCTTGACAAGGGTGCCAAGAATAAATAATGGAGAAAGGATAGCCTCTTCAATAAGTGGTGCTAAGAAAACTGAATATCCACAAGCAAAATAATGAAATGAGATATTTGGCTTGCATCATATACAACAATTAACTCCAAATAGATTAAAGGCTTAAATGTCAAACATGAAACCATAAAATTCAAAGAAGAAAACAGGGAAAAACTCCTCGATTTTGGTCTGGGCAATTATCTTTTAGATAAGACACCAGAAACACAGGCAACAAACGCAGAAATAAGCAAGTGGAACTGCATCAAACTAAAAGATTTGTACAGCAAAGGAAATAATTTTAAAAATGAAAAGGCAACCTATGGAATAGGAGAAAATATTTGCAAACCATGTATTTGATAAGGGTTATTGCCCAGAATATATAAGGAACTCACATAACTCAATAGCAAAAAACAAAACAAAATCATGTCATAACCTAATTTAAAAATGGGCAAAGGATCTGAATAAACTTTTTCCCAAAGAAGACATATAAATAGCCAATGGGTTATAAAAAAGCACTCAATATCACTAACCATCCATGAGAGAAATGTAACTCAAAACTATAATGAAATATCACCTCACACCTATTAGGATAGCTATTATCAAAAAGGCAAGAGATAACAAGTATAGGTGAGGGTGTGGAGAAAAGGAACCCCTGTATGCTGTAAGTGGGAATGTAAATTGGTACAGCCATTACAGAAAAGAGTATGGAGGTTTCTCCAAAAATTAAAAATAGAAAAACATGCCATTCAGAAATCTAATTTGGGGGTATGTATCCAAAGGAAATGAAACCAAAGAGATATCTGCACCCCCATGTTCATTGCAGCATAATTCACAGTAGTTAAGACATAGAAACAACCTAAGTCTCCATCAACAGATGAATGGATAAAGAAATGTGATAAGACACAGATCTGTGTATATTGGAAAATATATATAAAATCATGTTTCAAATCAAGAAGAAAAAAGTATTGGGGTTATATCTCTTAATTATCATCTCACATCATACACCAATAAATGAATTCTATGTGTGTTATAGATTTAAACATTAAAAAGTATTTCAAATATTCTACAAGCAAGTAAAAATGTTTTCAAATTATGAGGAGGATAATATATTTGTAAATTGTACACAAAACCTGGAAACCATAAATGAAAAGACTGACAGATTTGATCAGATAAAAATTTCAAACATCTTTGGGATAAAACATATAGGTATATCTTAGAAATATTGCACGTTTGGTTTCAGAACACTGCAATGAAGTGAATATTGCAATAAAGCAAGACACAATTTTTTTGGTTTCCCAGTGCATATGAAAATTATGTTTATACTATACTGTAGTCTATTAAGTATTCAATAGCATTATGTCTTAAAAAATCAATGGGCATACCTTAATTAAAAATACTTTATAGCTCAAAAAATGCTCACAATCATTTGAGCCTTCAGAAAATCATAATTTCTTTGCTGGTAAAGGGTCTTGCCTGGGTGTGGATGGCTGCTGACTGATCATGGTGGTGGTTGATAAATGTTGAGGTGGCTGTGACAATTTCTTAAAATAAGACAGTAAAGAAGTTTGCTGTGTTGATGGACTTCATGAAAGATTTCTCTGTAACATGTAAAGCTATTGATAGCATTTTACCACAGTAGATTCTCTCAAAACCTGCTGCTGCTTTATCAACTAATATATTCTAAATCCTTTGTTGTCATTTCAACAATGTTCACAGCATCTTTCCCAGGAGCAGATTCCATCTCAAGAAACCACTTTCTTTAATCATCCATAATAAACAACTCCTTATCACTCAGTTTTATCATGAGATCACAGCGATTCAGTCACATCATCAGGCTCCACATCTTTTTTTTTTTTTTTGAGATGGAGTCTTACTCTATTGCCCAGGCTGGAGTGCAGTGGTGCAACCTCTGCTCAGTGCAACCTCTGCCTCCCGGGTTCAAGCGATTCTCCTGCCTCAGCCTCCTAACTAACTGGGACTACAAGCACAAGCCACCACGCCCAGCTAATTTTTGTATTTTTAGTAGAGACAGGGTTTCACCATATTGGCCAGGCTGGTCTTGAACTTCTGATGTCAGGTGATCTGCCCGCCTTGGCCTCCCAAAGTGCTGGGATTACAGGTGGGAACCACTGCAACCTCCACTTCTAATTCTAGTTTTCTTGATATTTCCATCACATCTACAGTGACTTCCTCCACTGAAGTCTTAAACCCATCAAAGTCATCAATAAGGGTTGTAATCAACTTCTTCCAAATTCCTGCTAATGTTGATATTTTGACCTCCTCTCATGAATCATGAATGTTCTTAATCGCAATGTGAAATGGTGAATCCTTTCCAGAAGGTTTCCAATTGACTTTGCCCAGATTCATCAGAGGAATCACTATATATAAAGACAGCTATAGCATTACAACATGTATTTCTTAAATATTAAGACTTGCTAGTTGAAATTACTCTTTGACTCATGGGCTTGCTGAATGGATGTTGTGTTAGCAGGCATGGAAATAGCATTAATCACCTTGTATACCTCCATCAGAGCTCCTGTATGACTACGTGCACTGTCAATGAACAGTGATATTTTGAAAAGAGTCTTTTTTTCTGAGGAATATGTCTCAATGGTGGGTTTAAAATATTCAGTAAACCATGCTGTAAACAGATGTGCTCTCATCTGGGCTTTATTCCAATTATAGAGCACAGGCAGAGTAGATTTAGAATAATTCTTAAGGGCCCTAGGACTTTCAGAATGGTAAATGAGCATTGGCTTCAAGAGAAAGTCACCTGCTCCATTAGCCTCTAACAAGAGACTCCTCCTGTCCTATGGAGCTTTGAATCCAGGCATTGACTTCTCCTCTCTACCTATGACAGTTCTAGACAGAATCTTCTTTCAATGGAAGGCTGTTTAGTCTACACTGTAAATCTGTTGTTTAGTGTTGCCAACTCTATCAGTGACCTAAGCTAGAGCTTCTGGACAACCTGCTGTAGCTTCTACATCAGCATTTGCTGCTTCACCTTGCCCTTTAATGTTATGAAACAGCTTCTTTCCTTCAACCTCATGAACCAACTGGTGTTACCTTCAGACTTTTCTTATGAAGCTTTCTACATCTCACAGCCTTCAGAGAAGTGAAGAGAGTTAAGACCTTACTCTGGATTAGGCTTTGGCTTAAGGGAATGTTGTGGCTGATTTGATCTTTCATCCAGACCACTCAAACTTTCTCCACATCAGCAATAAGACTGTTCTGCTTTATCATTAAAGTGTTCACTGGAGTAGCACTTTTAATTTCCTTCAAGAACTTTTCCTTTGCATTCATAACTTGGCCAATTATTTTCTGCAAAAGGCCTAATTTTCAGCCTATGTCAACTTTTGACATAGCTTCCTCACTAAACTTCATCATTTCTAGATTTTTATTTAAAGTGAGTACATGTGACTCTTTCTTTTTTTTTTTTTTTTTTTTTTTGAGACGGAGTCTCGCTGTGTCTCCCAGGTTGGAGTGCAGTGGCGCGATCCTGGCTCACTGCAAGCTCCGCCTCCCAGGTTCATGCCATTCTCCTGCCTCAGCCTCCCAAGCAGCTGGGACTACAGGTGCCCGCCAACACGCCCGGCTAATTTTTTGTATTTTTAGTAGAAACGGGGTTTCACCGTGTTAGCCAAGATGGTCTCGATCTCCTGACCTCGTGATCCGCCCGTCTCGGCCTCCCAAAGTGCTAGGATTACAGGCGTGAGCCACCGCGCCCGGCCGACTCTTTCTTTAACTTGAGCACTTACAGGCCATTGTAGGGTTATTAATTGACTTAATTTCCATTTTTTCATCTAGGATTTTCCTATCACTCTATTTAAAATTCTTCCAACCTCTTTCCACTGCGCAATCTCAAAGACACCCCAACACTTTCAGGAATATGTGATAGCCACACCCCACTGCCAAGTACTAAAATCCGTATTACTCTTAATTGCTGCCATAACAAATTACCACAAATTTAGTGGTTTAAAACAACACAAATATATTATCTTCCAGTTATGTCAGTGAGAAGTGTGACACGGGTCTTACTGCCTAAAGTCAAGGTGTAGGCCTTCATTCCTTTCTGGGGGCTGGAAAGGACAAACTATTTCCTTGTTTTTTCAGCTTCTAGAGGTCATCCACATTCCTTGGTTCCCTCTTCCATCTTCAAAGCCTGCAACATTACATGTTTCTGATGACTCTTCCATAGTCACATTTTCCTTTCTCCACAGCCAGGAAAAGTTCTCCACTCTTTAAAGCCTACAAGATTAGATTGGGCCCACCACATAACCCAGGATCATCTCCCCATTTCAAGGTCTCTAAATTAATTGTATCTGTAAAGTCCCGTTTGCCATGTAAGATAGCAGATTACAGGTCCAGGGATTAGGAGGTGGACGTTTTTTGGGGTGGCCATCATTCTCTCTACCACAGTATTGCAAATAATAACAGAAACAGTAACAATGACAAAAAGAAAACTCTGGCATTAAAAATGTATTTGTAACATCAAAAGCAAGTAAATTCTTATTTATTCTTACTTCTTTTCCTCTTGGGTTTTCCCAAAGTAGAGTTGTTTGCAATATCCACAGTATCTAGAAAATAACAAGTGGTAGTGAGGAAACAGAAATTAATAAATAAAAGTTATAGATTTTAGGACAATTCATACTATAGAAGGCTTGAGTTTATAAAGATGTTTGGTTACTCATTTCTCTCTTTCTTCTAGAGGAACCAAAAACCCACTGAACTGAGAACTAGGAGTCTAGGATGGGCCCTGGGTCTTCTATCAAAAATACGTGTTGGGCTAAGAGTAGACCTGCAGTCTTCCCCCCTGACAATTAATACCAGGATTAGTTGTCTTTTGGGTGAGGCCTTTCTAAGGTGTAGCAAAATGACACTATTATCTACTAGCAGAAGTTCACTGGGTTATCTTGGGTTCCATGGAATATTGAGTGTGACTTAACATATTAATGCAATAAACAGGATAACTGCCACTTTAAAGAGCAGCACCATTCTATGACGTCATCCATATGTAATCAACAGAGCCCATCTTGATAAGTAAAACTTTATAATGATCTCTTGCCTCTCTGCAGTTCCCCAAAGGCTTGGGTGAGGCAAATGCACAGAACAGGATTCTGGGCGGACTGGAGCACCTGCCTCCACTCTTCCCAGGGTCTGTGGGGCCCACTGAGCCACCCCATCCCACAGCCCTCAGGCAGCCTTACCCATTTTGCCACATGCTTGGTCACTTTCCTTCCTTGCTTCCGGGCTTTCTGGCACTTCTCCTGAGAAACACATGACATAGGAACACTTCTCATTTTCACATGCTGGTCGCTCTGCTCCCGGGGCAAAATTGTGATTTATGAACTTTTAATTTGCCCCAATAACCCTCTTTTCTGCACCCTGGTTGCTGCCCTCTTCTCTACTTTTTCCTCCGAAATCTTCTTTCACTTCTCCTCCCTATATTTGACTCTTCCTTTAAGTCTCCCTTTTTGTCCTCTTTTGTCTTTTTTTCATTATCAGAACTCTGTTTCTGTTTTTAATATTTTTAAGTCATAATTACTTGGTACATCACATCATAGCAAGCTAGAAGCAAGCTCTTCTGATTCTCCTTCTTTGGTCATTTGGTAATTTTCTAGTTCACCAGATACTAATGAGAAACAAAAAAGTTATTTTATTTTTATTTTTGTATTTTATTATCTTCCAGTTATGTCAGTGAGAAGTGTGACACAGGTCTCACTGCCTAAAGTCATTATGTTAGTAGGCCTTTATTCCTTTCTGGGGTCTGGAGAGGACAACCTATTTCCTTGTCTTTTCAGCTTCTAGAGGTCACACACATTCCTCGGGTGACCTCTAGACAGTGACCAGAGAAGAGTTCCCAGTGCTGTGATGCTGGACACTAATATTCTGAGCCAAGGTGAAGTGCTCTCTGGAAAAAAATATACCCGCTCCAATAATCACGCCTGACACATAACAGCCATGCTCTCCCCATGTTTTGCACCTCCTTCTCCTTTTCTTTACTTTTATTTTTCTACTTGTAGTCCTGAGAGTAAAATAGAAAAAATTAAAAAGCTCTTATCATTCCAGAAAATACTAATGTTCTTTGAAAACAGTAAGAAGTGGCAGGGTGCGGTGGCTCATGCCTGTAATCCCAGCACTTTGGGAGGCTGAGGTGGGCAAATCACTAAGTCAGGAATTCAAGACCAGCCTGGCCAACAGGGTGAAACTCTGTCTCTACTAAAAATACAAAAATTAGCTGGGTGTGGTGGCGTGCGCCTGTAATCCCAGCTACTTGGGAGGCTGAGGCAGGAGAATCACTTGAACCCAGGAGGCAGAGGCTGCAGTGAGTGAGCCAAGATTGTGCCACTGCACTCCAGTCTGGGTGACAGAGAGAGAGACTCAGTCTCAAAAACAAGAAAACAAACAAACAAAAAGAAAGTAGTAAGAAGTAACTGTTTCAACTTGTCCTAATTGGCCATTGATTACTTATATCACTAATCATTTCTGAGAGCTAGCCCATCAGTGGCAGTCCTACACATCTGAAGGCCAGCCAATCAGCCGCAGCCCCCTCCAGAAAGCCCGTGTTGATGGCTAAATGCTAAACTATTCATACACTCCTGTTTCTGAAAGTCTGTAGTGCCTGAACTATGTTTCCTAAAACTCTATATAAAATCAGCAGTTTCCTTATTTGTAGATACTCCAGCTGGTACACATGGTCTGAACCTCCAAGCTCACACTGAACCCAGGCTGAATCCTGAATCCCCAGGCTCCAGGCCAGCCCTTACAGATGCAGTCTTCAGCCTGCCCCAGCACTACTTCAGCCTCAGTGAACCCAGACTACTACCAGTGGCTCTGGCCTTCAGTCTCATCCCAGTACCAAGCTGCCTCTCATGCACTGGTCTTCAGGCTCACTGAAGTGCCTGAAGATGGCTGCACCAGTGGTGTAGATCCCTGCAGACTCTGGCTCAAGGCCTGCCCCAGCATAGACCTGCCCACTGATTATCCTAGGCACCTTCAGCAGCAAGCCTTTCTTTGGTCTATGCAAGATGTAATTCCTAGAATTTCTAAGTAGGGTGAAAGGCTTTCCCAGACAAAGCCAATCTACAGAGGCTGAAATAAGTCCTTACTTCCTTAAATGCACAGATATAAATGCAAGGTAATAAGAAATGTGAAAAGCCAAAGAGACATAACACCATCAAAAAGACACAATAATCTCCTCATAGCTCACCCCAAAGCAATGAAGATAACAAACTGCTTCACAAAGAATTTACAATGATTGTTTTAAGGAATCTCAGCAAACTTCAAGAATATACCAAGAAACAATTCACTGAAATCAGGAAGACAATAAATGACCAAAATGAGAAATTTAACAGAGATTGAAATTATTTTTAAAAAGAAACAGAAATTCTGGAGCTGAAAAATACAATGAATAAAATGAAAAAATGCAACAAAGAGCATCAATATCAGAATTAATCATGTAGAGGAAAGAATTTGAACTCAGACAGGTTGTCTGAAAATACAGCTAGAGAAGGAAAAAGAAAAAAGAATGAAAAGTAATAAGGAACACTTACAGGATTTATGAGACTGTGAAAAGAGCAAATGTTTGAGTTGCAGAAATTCATAGAGGAGAAGAGAAAGACAAAGGGATAGAAAGATTATTTAAAGAGATAATAGCATAAAACTTTGCAAATCTGATGAAAAACATAAATCTTCAGGTACCAGAAGGTCAAAAGATTCAATCTAAACAAGACTACACCAACATGAGCTGTCAAGATTCAAGAACTTAGAGAGGATCCTGAAAGCAGCAAGAGAACAGAAGCAAATAACATATACGGGAGTTTCAATAAAGATAGCAATGAACTTTTTTGGCAAAAACCTTACACACCAGGAAACCGTGAAATGACATATTAAAGGTGCTGAAGAAAAAAACTGCCCACCAAAATACTGTATTTGGCAAAGGTGTCCTTCAGAAATGAAGGAGAGGTAAAGACTTTCCTAGGCAAACAAAAGCTAAGAAAGTTCATTACCACTAGACCTGCTTTACAAGAAATACTAAAGGGAATTATTTAAGCTGAAAGAAGAAGATGCTAACTAATAAAATAAAAACACAAGAAAATACAAAATTCACGGTTAAAATAAGTCCACAGTCAAAATACAGTATATGCTAATACTGTAATGGTGGTGTGTAAACCACTTACATCTCTAGTATAAAAGTTAAAAGACAAAACTTAAAAATAATACCTACAATATATTTATTTTTGAGATGGAGTCTCTCTCTCTGTTGCCAGGCTGGAGTGCAGTGGTGTGATCTCAGCTCACAGCAACCTCCAGCTCCCTGGTTCAAGCGATTCTCCTGCCTCAGCCTTCCCAGTAGCTGGGGTTACAGGCACGTGCCACCATGCCCAGCTAATTTTTGTATTTTTCATAGAGATGGTGTTTTACCATGTTGGCCAGGATGGCCTCGTGATCTGCCCACCTTAACCTCCCAAAGTGCTGGGATTACAGTCATGAGCCACCGCACCCAGCCTAGCTACAATAATTTGTTAAGGAACACACAATATAAAAAGATGTAAATTGTGATATAAAAAATTTAATATGAGACTGGGTGCAGTGGCTCACATCTGTAATTTCAGCACTTTGGGAAGCTGAGGTGGGAGGATCATTGAAGCCCAGGAGTTCAAGACCACTCTGGTCAACACAGTGATACACTGTCTCTACAAATAATTTTTAAAATTAGCCATGTGTGGTGGCACGCACCTGTGGTCTCAGCTACTTGGACGGCTGAGGCAGGAGGGTAGCCTGAGCCTAGGAGATCAAGGCTACAGTGAGACATAATAATGCCCCTGCACTCCAGCCTGGGTGACAGAGTGAGACTCTGTCTCAAAAAAAAAAAAAAAGAAAAAAAAGAAAGAAAGGAAAAAAAAGAAAAGAAAAGAAAATGAGAAGTTAGAGTAAAAGTACAGTACAGAGTTTTTGTAGGCTATCAGCTTAAAACAGCCTATTATAACTATAAGATATTTTTTGTAAGCTTCATGTTAACCACAAAGCAAAAACCTATAGTATTTACACAAAAGCTAAAGAGGAGTCAAAGCATACCACTAGAGGAAATCACTTAATCACAAACGAAGGAAGAGAGAAAGAAAGGAATAAAGAATCTACAAAGCAGGCTGGGCATGGTGGCTCACGCCTGTAATCCTAGCACTTTGGGAGGCCGAGGTGGACAGATTGCCTCAGGAGTTCGAGACCAGCCTGGGTAACATGGTGAAACCCCATCTCACCTAAAATACAAAAAATTAGCCAGGCTTGGTGGCATGCGCCTGTAGTCCCAGCTACTCAGGAGGCTGAGGCAGGAGAATTACTTGAATCCGGAGACGAAGGTTGCAGTGAGCCAAGATCATGCCACTGCAATCTAGCCTGGGTGACAGAGTGAGACTCTGTCTCCAAAAATAATAATAATAATAATAATAATAATAATAATAATAGATAATAATCCACAAAACAACCAGAAAACAATGAACAAAATAGTTGTAGTAGGTACTTGCCTAGCAATAATTATATTAAGTATAAATAGTTATGTTAAGTATGGATTAAATTCTCCAATCAAAAGACAGAGTGGCTGAATGAATAATAATAAAAAAAAACTCAAGTATCTATGGCCTACAAGACACTCACTTCACTTTTAAGGATACATATAGACTGAAAATGACAAGATAGAAGTGAATATTCCACGCAAATGCAAACCAAAGAAGGAAGGAGTAGCTATACTTATATCAGATGAGATAAATTCAAATTGAATACTAAAACAAGACAAAGAAGATCATTATATAATGATGAAGCAGTCAATTTGTTAAGATGACATAATAATTGCACACTAATATATATGCACCCAACATCTGAGCAACCAAATATATATTAAATAAATATTAATAGATTTGTAGGTGAGACAGACTGTAATACAATAATAGTAAAAGACTTTCATACCCTACTTTCAGCACTGGATAGATCATTAAGACAGAAAATCCACAAAGACAAATAAAATGTAAACTATATTTTATACCAAATAGACCTAACAGCATCATAAAGAACATTCTATTCTACAGGAGTGAAATATACATTCTTCTCACTTGTACATGGAACATTCTCCAAGATAAATCATACATTAGGCTACAAACTTAAAGTCACGAAGGTTGAAATTATATCAGGTATCTTTTCTGACCACAATGATATAAAAGTAGAAATCAATAACAAGAAGAGTTTTTTAATTTTGTAAATACATGGAAATTAAACACACTCTTGAGCAGCCAATAGGCCAATGAATAAATTAAAAGGAAATTTAAAAAAATATTGAGACAAATGAAAATGGAAACACAACATAACAAAACTGATGGGATACAGCAAAAGCAGTTCAAAGAAGAGGAGTTTGTAGCAATAAACACCTACATCAAGAAAGAAGAAAGATCTCAAACAGCCTAATGTTACACCTTAGGAAACTTCAGACAAAAAAGGAAAACTAAAGCCAAGATTAGTAGAAAGAAGGAAATAATAAATATTAGATCAGAAATAAATGAGATAAAGACTAGAAAAACAATGAAAAGATAAACTAAACAGAGTTGGTTTTTGAAAAGGTAAACAAAATTGACAAACATTTAGCTAGACTAAAAAAAAAGAAAAGACTCAAATGAATAATATCAGAAATAAAAGAGAAGACGCTGTAACTCATACTACAGACATACAAAGGACCATAAGAGATTGCTATGAACAATTATACACCAAAGAATTGGATAACCTAGAAGAAATGGGTAAATTCCTAGACAGATACAACCTACCAACACAAATATAAAAACCTGAGCAGACCAATAATGAATAAGGAGATGTAATCCAGAATTGAATACCACCCATCAAACAAAAGCCCAGGACCAGATGGTTTCACTGCTGAATTCTGCCAAACATTTAAATAATAAATACTGATACTTTTCAAACTCGTCTAAAAAATTGAATAAGGGGTCTATTTGTAGGCTTAGTCTATGAAGCCAACATTACCCTGATACCAAAGTAAGGCAAGGACACTATAAGAAAAGAAAACTACAGGCCAGTATCCCTGATAAACATATATGATATCCCTGATATCCCTGATAAACATATGTGAAAAATCCTCAAAAAATACTATCAAATCAAATTCAACAGCACACTCACCATGATCAAGTAAGCTTTATCACTGGGATGCATGGATGGTTCAACACACAAATCTTAAAAGGTCATACGTTGCATTAATAGAATGAAGGACAAAAATTATATGATTATCCCAATAGATGCAGAAAAAGCATTGGACAAAATTCAACTTTTTTCATGATAAAAATTTTCAACAAAATAGTTATAGAAGAAATGTACCTCAGAACACTACCATCTACATATGACAAGCCTACAGCTAACATCATAGTCATTAGTAAAATGTTGAAAGTTTTCCCTCTAAGATCAGAAACAAGAGTAGGGTGTCCATTCTCGTCACTTCTAGTCAACACAGTACTGCAAGTCCTAGACAGAACAATTAGGCAAGAAAAAGAAATAAAAGACATCCAAAGTGGAAAGGAAGAAGTTAAATTGTTCTTAATTGTAGATGACATGATCTTATATAGAGAAAACCCTGAAGACTCTACCAAAAAACTGCTAGAACTAATAAATTTGGTAAAGTTGCAGGATACAAAATCAACATAAAAAATCTGTTGCATTTCTATACGCTAACAATGAACTATCTGAAAAAGGCATCAATAAAACAATCCAATTTACAATGAAAATACTTAAGAATAAATTTAACCAAGGAGGTGAAATATTTGTACACTGAAAACTCTAAAATGTTGATTAAAGAAATAGAAGAAGAACAAAAAATGGAAAGATACCCCATGTTCATGGATTGGATTAATTAATATTCTTAACATGTTCATACTATCCACAGTGCTCTAAAGATTCAGCGCAAATCATATAAAAGTTCCAAAGACATTTTTTTCTGAAATAGAAAAACAATTAAAAATTTGTATAAAAGCACAAGAGACCCCAACTAGCCAAAGCAATTTTAAGCAAAAAGAACAAAGCTGAAAGCATCACACTACCTGACTTCAATATATACTACAAAGCTATAATAATCAAAAGAACATGGTACTTGCATAAAATAGACACATAGACAAATGGAACAAAATAGAGAGCTTGAATCCATGCATTTTTGGTCAACTGATTTTCAACAAAGGTGCCAAGAACACGCAATGGGGAAAGGACAGTCTCTTTAATAAATGATGTTGGGACAACTGGATCTTCACGTGCAGAAGAATGAAATTAGACCCTATTTCATGCCATATTAAAAAATCAACCCAACATGGATTAAATATTTAAATTTAATACCTGAAGCTGCAAAATTACTGGAAGAAAACAGGGGAAAAGCTCCATGACATTGGTCTGAGCAATTATGTTTTTGGTATGACACCAAAAACACAATCACAAAAGCAAAAATAAAGAAGTGAGACTACATCAAACTAAAAAGTTTCTGCATGGGCAAGGAAACAATCAGCAGAGTGAAGAGACAACCTACAGAAGGGAGAAAATATTTGCAAACCATATGTCTGATAAGGGCTAATATCTAAAATATGTAAGGAACTCAACCAACTCCATACTAAAAAAAAAAACAAAAACAAATAAACAGATTATAAAGTGGGCAAAGGATTCAAACAGATATTTCTCAAAGGAACACATACAAATGACCATCAGGTATGTGAAAAAATGCCCAGCATCACAAATCATCAAGAAAATACAAATTGAAACCACAATGACTATCACCACATACAGGTTAGAATGGCTATTATCAAAAAGACTAAAGATGATAAATGGTGAGGATATGGTGAAAAGGAAACTCTTGTACACTGTTAATGGAAATGTAAATTAGTACAGCCATTATGGAAAACAGTACGGAGTTTCCTCAAAAAAAGTAAAAATAGAACTGCCATATGATCCATCAGTCCCACTGCTGAATATATATCCAAAGGATAAATCAGCACAGATGCTCCTACAGTTATGATGGGGCTACACCTCCATAAACCCAACATAAATTGAAAATCTCATAAGTCAAAAATGCACTTAATACCTCAATAAAGCCATTGTAAAGCTGAAAAATCATAAGCCCTGGATGTCTTGTCCTTATGTGCGTTTACACCACACCCTCCCACTCCACATCTGTTCACATTTTCTGGTTGGTCTTTCTATGAGGATTCTGTGTCTGAGTTGCCACCATTTCCTCCAGTCATGTTATTCTTTTTTTTTTTTCTGTATCTTTCTTTCTGCATAAATTTCCTCATTTGCGTTTTATGTTTCTGCTTTTATTATTAGGTTCCCTGGATATCACAGAGTTAAGAACAAGGCTCTGGCTTAGAATGCCTAGGGGGGTTCTTCCTTGCTCATCTGACCCTAGGCAAACTTCGTAAGTGGTTTGTCCAGATTTCAGTTTCTTATCTGCAAAATGGACAATAAGGAATACAAATCTCCATGGCAGTCAGGAGCATTAAACTCACAATTGCCATAGAATAGACGTTTAATCAAAGTGAGCTGTTAATAACATGGTTATTTTTGTTGTCCTTTATGCCTTTTTCACTCTTTCTTTAACTTCCCCTCCTTCCTTCTCTCTCTCTCTCTCAATACCTACATCCTCTCCACATCTGCACCACTTCCTCTCTGAGTCTCTCTACATGAGTGCATTTCTCTTTGAATATTCCTGCTCTTGAACAACATCCCCACATTTAAATGGGTCCCCTCTTCTGCCATCACCAATTATCTCCTGTGATATAATAAGAAATATATATTTCAGTCTTCATCCCCTGCTCCTGGCCAGAGCTCCTAAAACCCTTGAAACATCCTAAGTGATGAAAGTCAAAAGAGCACTTCCTGTTATGCATAACAACCCCATTTCAACCAAACCTGAGTTTATGTTAATAAGGTGACTTTTGGAAAGCCCTTAAGGATGGGGTACACAATTCTGCAGGGAACTGAAGAACTGGTTGGTGTGGGGAGGTTCTCCACATGTTTGGTGTCAAAAGTGTTGAGAATGTGAGAGTACAGATAAAACAGGAGCTTTTCTTCCCCTAAGGGTCTCCTCTTTGATGTTGACCATGGGCCATGGGCTGTGGTTCTTAACACTTCACAGCTTCATACTGACCTCCCACAGGGACCTTTCTAAATCACAATTACATCTAGGTAGTTAGCATCTGTAAATCTGGCCTACTGACACACTTGGCTCTGGTTCCTTCATGGTTATTGAGCCAACAATGTCTTGTTATGGCCACTTCTCCAGGACCCTGCATCTGATTAGGAGCTCATACAACCCCCTCCTTGACTTCTCCATGGTCCTTCCCTGTGTCTTCCCTGTTTCACAATTTCCCCTCAGGACCTTGGGCCCTCACCTCCCTTGTCTCCTTTTCCTCTTAGCGGATGAGAAACCGTTTTTATTCTGTCATTTTTACCTTGTTTAAGACTTAGTTTGATGTCAGGCCTCTCTTCCCTTTCTTTTCGATCACTTTCTTGGAAAGACAATTTGTCTTGGATTGCTGAAGAGTGGGAGAGAGAAGAAAGCAATTAAAGATCTGTGAGAACCAGGGACAACACCTGGAAATTGGCTTTTAGGAATTTCCAGCATTAGGCTGACTCAGAAGTCAGACTTAAACTTCTCCTATCATCTTCTGGGACAGAGAAGAGATGACCTCAACAATGAGCTTTTATGTGTCCTACACAGAAAGGGGATACTCAAGATTTAAGGATAAAGGAGTAATGGAAACATAGTGAGCTGTGTTACCCGCAAAATTGTCAGATGGCAGGGTAGGCATACATCAAGTGTTAAGGAAGAAACAGAGGGATTCCCTGGAAGGATGGTCTCAAGTCCTAGAGAGATTCCATTATAAAAGAGAAAACTGGCCAGGTGCAGTGGCTCATGCTTGTAATCGTAGAACTGTGGGATGGTGACGCAGGAGCATCTCCTGAACCTAGGATTTCGAGACCAGCCTAGACCACATAGCAAGACCTTGTGTCTGAAAAAAATTTAGCAAAATCAGCCTGATGTGGTTGTGTGCACCTGTGGTCCCAGCTACTCAGAAGGCTGAAGCGGGAGAACTGCTTGAGTCCAGGAAGTCAAGGTTGTAGTGAGCAGAGATAGCTCACTAGCCTGCCATCTAACCTGGGCAACAGAGTGAGACCCTATCTCCAAAAACATGCCTAAATAAAAACTAAAAGAGAAAACCCAAACAGCTTTAAAGATGAGGCTAGAAAACAGGAGAACGTTGGCTTAATTGGGTCAGGGAGGATGAACAGTTCCCAGATAAACATAACAGAGGACACAGGGGCAGCCTGTGTGGACTTCAGCATCTCCCTGAAGGTGGGTAGGCTGCTGTGCTGGGTGGGGCGGTGGGCAGTGCTGCCCCAGGCAGGTGACAGTGAGCCTCAGTGCAGGTCACCCAAGCATAAGGAGTGCCAGAAACTAACATGTGAGTTGTGGGCACTGGGGCTAGGAAGGGAATCCCTGCAGTCCATGCAGAGGAACAGAGCCCCTGAGAATGTGGGCAGTAAATGTAACACTATTCCCTTCATCCCCGCAGCCTGGACCATCCTGCTTACAAACATAACATTGACTCGAAATTTGTGCCCAGATATGTGATTTCCTTTTATTCACTTTCTGACTTGAATGACTTGTTACAAAAATTATTTTATTTTTAATCTAGATATTGTTAGTATTAACACAAATCAATAAGCCAAAACATATATAGCTGCCTAAACTTTTTTCCTTGTTTATAAACCTGTAGTATTTCTTTATTGCCTAGTAAATAAACTTCAAATTCCTTAGCTTTCAATTCCAGACCGTTCACCATCTTCCTCCAATTGATCTCTCTTAAGTCAGCTCCTATACTGCTTCTCACTCTGTGATTTAGCCAAATCCAGTTTGTCCTGTTTTGCAGACATGCTTTTACTCTTTCCAGTCCCCATAGCATCCACCCTCTTCAGGGCATGTCCCTGTTTTTCTTGTGATGTCTCTATCTCTTATTTGGAGAACTGGGTTGAGATCAAACTGTGAGGAGAATAAAAGTTTTCCAGGCAAGTAAAACAAAATAGAGGGCACCTTCTTTACTGTGTACCATTATAATAGTATAAATTATGCCTTCTCAGGAAAAAAGTCAAGAATCAAAACTTTAGTTTGGTATAGCACCAATACCAAACTTTAGTTTGGTATAGCACCAATACCAAACTTTAATTTGGTATAGTCCCTGTCCGAGCAATCAGTTTTGTGATTATTTGATTAATGTTTCTTTTATCCCTTGTGGGTAAAGGGTTAACAAAACTATTTATCCTTCACTAAAGGCAAACTTGACCCAGGGTTAATTTTCTTGTTCATTATTCTAGAAACCTAATAAAGGTAGCATTTTCCTGGTTTTACTGGGCAAACTCTGGGCTTAGAAATGACCCATGACTGTTTGCCTGAAACTATACATGAACTATAAATACCTGTAGGGAAAGAATAATTGTGGTCTTCCTTCAACTGATAACTCTTATAACTCAGATTGTCCCTGTGGCACCCTGAAAGCTATGACTATGGGGTTGTTACAAGAGATATTGACTCCCACAGATATGTGGTGTTATGCCAAAGTGGATCCTGCACCCACAGCTAAACTGTCACTCAAGGCAGGTAGTAGTCAATTTAGTGGACTGCTGTGTAGGTCACTGCAAAAACTCCCACTAAAGAGAAGAAACAACTGATGCTGCCCCGTTGGTGTTCTGTGTTTCTTATCTTCTAAGTAAATCTGATGCCAGTGTGGCTCTGGTTGTCCTGTGAGTCTAAGTGGCCAGTGAAGCAGACCTCCAGATGTTTGTTTTGCCATAGCCATATACCATGGGCTTCAAGAAGACTCATGACACGTCTATTTTGTTAACTACTCTATGCCCACTGCCCAACACAATGTATCGCACATGGTAGGAGCTCAAACATATGCTTATTGAAAAAAATTGGCCCCGGAAATCAAAAGGTAGATAATAAACCTAATTACCATTTTTGAAGCTTTTATAAATGTGAATTAAATCGGGGTATTCCTGCATGTTGACCTCGCTGAACAGTGCTTCCAAAACTGACAGGTTAAATGTCTTCTCCAGTTCACTGAGAACATTGTACACCACTCTTTGTACAGGGACCAGGTTTCTACAAGAATCTTCAGAATCCTTTAAAAATATTGAATGGAGAAAATACAAATACAGACTTTCAAGTTACAGAAGAGCCATAAAAACAAATTTTATGGTTACTGAATTTCAATTTCTCTTCAGAGGTATCTTCTCATGTAAAGTTTTATAATTTTTACATATTTGTATAGCCAGTAATGAAAGAAGTAAATCCCATCTCCTTAAAAATACCCACTGATGAGCCTGATTGCTTCACCCTCATTTACATTAGATGTAAAAAGGAGCAACTTTGAAGGATAAAAGTGGGCTCAAAGTTCTTTAAGAGCCTGATTGATACATTTTTGGGATAGATGTAGCAGGCAATCAATGAGTGGCTGTTTTGTTGGCTGGGCAACCCCTGCTCTTCCCCCAAGACTGATTTGGCCTGAAGGGCTCAAAGAAACTAGGTGACCATTCTCCCCTTGCTGTGAACTTGGCCACAGAGGAAGCATATTCATAGCCAGAGATGACTCGCTGTTCTGTATCTCCAACAGGGCCTATGGGTGGAATTTACTCATATTCCAAGACTCCAGAAATGCACAAAAAAAGGAAAGACAAGAAAACAAATGTGTTGGAGAAAGAATAACAAGCATCTACTTCCAAATTTGTCCTCTCTAGACACCAATTCCCTGTGGGTTTTAATGTTCTCAGATCTAGGTATTTTAAATTGATGTTAATTGAAATAAAATGCTCTGTCAATTATGATTTCAGTAAATCAATTCATTAAAATTATTTTTAAATTTTAGTTTATGTTATAGTGTATGAATTCTACAAAACATTGTACATTTATGGAGAACAGCTGTTTCCGTTCCAGTTTCTCCAGTACCATTCACCCCAACTCCAGAGGGTGCCATGGAACACCATTTCCTCAGCTGGAAGTAGGACCATCTCTGGTGACCTCTGCTTCTCCTCTCCTTTTCTACTTTACAGGAGCACTTACAGAAATACTTGTAAAATATGAAAGCATATCTGCCAGGTTGTGAAATAAACTTTACTTACTTCAAACATTTTATTTGTGATGAGTTCCCGATCGCGGAGGCCCTCAAGGAATGGAAATGTCTTTTTTATTGCATTTGATATCTCCAGCTTATGTCTTTTGAAGTGCTTGAATACAGTGTCATAGACAAGTCCCTCATCTACATCCTGGTCTTCCGTGAACAGCCTAAGGAAAAAGGACACCAAATGAAAATGGTCATCAAGATTCTGAGATGTTTGTGGAGATGGTAAGATTTTATGTATAACGGATAAGCTATGAAGAACCAACATATATAAAATAGGTGGTCCTCAGTAGAGCCCAGAATAAATGGAATTGAAGCAACAAACAAAAATGTAATAGAAGATATCATGGAGCCTATGCAAGACTAATATAGAGGGCACTGAAAAAGCCCAGTCTAAACTGAACAAAGTCATTGTAAAGATATCTTCACCTAACCATATCTGGAATATTTTTCAAAATAAAAATATTGAATTCCTACAGAATCTAGATGGAGTAAGCAGGTCATCCACAGAGAAATGAAAGTCAATGGAATATAAATAAAAATCTAACCTTGAAAATGCAGCTTAATCAACAACTGAGAGAATTTGACAAAATAAAAATAAGATGTCCTTCTCTAATCTGTAGCTGCTAGGAAGGAAATACCATCATATATCATAAAATTAATTCATAAATAATACAATGTGGTTTAATAATGATAATAATACCACATTATTGAGAATTTCATGAGAATATCAGTGATATCTCCTGGAACATCTGGTTCTGCTTTGTGTTAATATAAATCTGTCCATACTATTGCTATATACAGTTAATCATTTTAGGCATCTGAATTTCAGAAATCGCTGCCGTTTCCTTTTAAAGCAATTTTAAAGCTGAGTCTCTAATTCTAGTTCTTAGTTGATCATGTTATTGCTCTGATAATGTTTTAATCAACATCTCAGTATTCCTAAATGTTATGAAAACTTGGGAGCTCTTTTTATCCAACCAGAAGAGAATTATTGGCACTTCCCAGTACACAACATAAAGCAGGAAACAATGTCGCATTATTGTTTTGAATTCCTGTAAAAAAAAGTTTCTGGTTAAAGTTCATTAAAATGATAATAAAGGAATTAGATTTACAGTGACAAAGAGAATGGTGGAGGACAATGAGCACATAAGAGATTTCAAATAAAACCTTGAAGACAAAAAGTGGTCAGAAAAGTGCTAGTTGCAATAGTAGGTAGGGGATGCTCCTAGAGGTTAGGAAAGCAATCGTGGTGCCCTACAGAATTCGGAAGAAACAGTGGAGATTTGAAGGGAGACACACAGCTAAAAACTGATTTGTTATTTGAAAAATGAACAGAGCAATGCATATACTGCCTGTGAACCTGCATACTGAACACATGCAGCCAGGCAGCCTCTCAGGGGGCAACCATTGCTGTCATTTATTCTGTCAGATGTTAATACTGCCTGCTCTTGGATTTCATATAAATGAGCAAAACATATACATGCTTTTGTGTCTGGCTTCTTTTGCTTATCATCTATGTTGCTGTGTTGAACAGTTAGTTTGTTCATTTTTGTTGTTGAGTGGTATTCCATTGTGTGAATCTACCACAGTCTGCGTACTCATTTTTCTCTTGATGGACATTGGAGTGGATTCAGTTTGAGACTAGTATGAATAAAACTGCTGTTCTTGTGCAAGTCTTTTTGTGGCAAAATGCTTTCATTTCTCTTGGGTAAATATGTGGGAATGGAATTACTGGGTCATTGTGTAAGAGTACATTTAACCATTTTAAAACCTGCCAAACTGTTTTTGCAAAGACTACCAGTGATGGCCTTTCTAGTTTTAGCCATTCCAGTGTGTACGATGTGATAGCTAATTTTAGTTTTAATTTGTATTTCTTTAATCAGGAAATTATGTCAAGCATGTTTTCATGTGTTTACTGGCAATTTATTTATTTTTTGGTGAAGTGTCTGTTCAAATGTTTGACCCATTTATATTATAGAATTTTATTTTATTTATTGACAGGTAGGAGTCCTTTTACAGATTATGGATAGAAGTGTTTTGTCTGATTTATGTATTGTAAATATTTTCACCCAGTCTGTAGCTTCCCTTTTATTTTCTTAATTATGTCTTTTGATAGGAAAAAATCTTTAATTTTGATGAAGTCCAATTTATTATTTTTTCTTTTATAATTAATGACTTTAGTGTACTAAGAAGAATTTGCCACTCCAAGGTCACGAAAATATTCAAAAAGCAATTTACAATATGAACATGGGTTTATATCTGTACTTTCTATGCCATACCATTGATCTGTTTGTCTATCCTTATGCTGATATGATTTTGTGTTGAATACCATGGCTTAAAGAAAGTCTTGAAGTCAATTAGAAAAGATTGTCTTGGACTTTCTAGATTCTTTGATTTTCCACATATCTTTTCAAATCAATTTGTCAATTTCTATGAGAAAAGCCTTTTGGATTTTTCTTGGGTTTGATTTGAAACTATAGATAAATTTGGGGGAGCTGACAACAATATTGAGCTTGCAATCTGTTAGCATCGTTTGCTTCTCCACTTATTTAGATTAATTTTAAAAATCAAGCACATCTTTCATTAAATTTATTTCTAGTTATTTTATTCTCTCTGGTGCTACTTTAAAGGATACTGCTTTTCAAATTCCTTATTGCCATTGTAGGAGATATGATTGGTTTGAAAACTATTAACCATGTATTTATGGCATTGCTAAATTCATGTATTAGTTCTAGTAAAGTATTTATAGATTTCCTTTATATTTTAAAGAAAATAAATATGTCATCAGCAAATAAAGACGGATTCACTGTTTCTTTCCCCAAAATAACAATTATTTCCTTTTTTTGGATCTTATTTCGCTGGTCAGGAGTTTAAATACGATGTTGAAGAGAAGAAGTGAGAGACAACTTCCTTGTCTTATTTCCAATTTTAGGGAAAAAGCAACTAGCAATATCACTAAGTGTGATGTCTGTTAGACCTTTATACATATTCTTACCTCTTTCCCTTTCTTTCTCTTTCTTTCTTTTTCTTTTTCTTTTTTCTTTCTTTTTCTTTCTTCTTTCTCTTTCCTTTCTTTCTTTCTTTCTTTCTTTCTTTCTTTCTTTCTTTCTTTCTTTCCTTTCTTTCTTTCTTGTCTCTTTCTTTCTTTTTCTTTCTCTCTCTCTCTCTTCCCCCGCCCCCACCCCTTCTTTCTTTGAAGGTTTTACTCTGTTTTCCAGGCTGGAGTGCAGTAGCACAATCATAGTTCATGGCAGCCTCAAGCTCCTGGGCTCAAGTAATACCCCCCAACTCAGCTTCCTGAATAGCTAGGACTACAGATGTCACCATGCCCAGCTAATTTTTTATTTTATTTTTATATTTTGTAGAGATAGAGTCTTGCTTTGTGGCCTATGCTGGTCTTGAACTCCTGGCTTCAAGTGATCCTCCCACCTTGGCCTCCCAAAGAATTGGGATCACAGCTGTTAGCCACTGTGCTTTGCATTCCTACCTATTTCTAACTTGCTGAGAATTTTATCATGAACTACTAATTTTATCAAACGCATCTACCAAGGTAGTCATATGACTTTCCTACCTATCTATTTCTAATTTGCTGAGTTCCTATCTATTCCTAATATGCTGGGAATTTTATCATGAACAGATGTTAAATTTTATCAAATGCATTAATGAGATATTCATATGATTTTCCTTCTTTATTTTTTAATTGGTGAATCACATTGATTGATTTCCAAAGTCTTCTCTTATGTAGAAACAAATAACCACAGATCAATAGACATTTGAGGAAATACTTCAATATTAGAAAGAAAGACTAGTGTAAGGAAAAAGAGGAAAAAGTTACCCCAGGAGAAACAGAAATATTATGGGAAATGGGGGGAAATTCCAAATGGTAACTATTTGAATTAAAGCTTCAAATTATATCAACAAACTTAAAATTTTGAGCAGGGTTGGTGAAGAAAAACTGAGTTAAGGAATTTGTTTCAAGTATGAAAATGATATGGTGGAACAATATGGTTTCAGATTCAACTGTAACAATTACAGAAATACAGATTAAACAATGAATTTGAAAAGTTGAAGGTAACTACTGATTGAGTGAAATCAGATCTTATAAAACCTATGAAACTCTGAAAATAAAAATAAAGAGCAAACATAGTTTGCATTTTTAGAGAAATAAAACAAGAAAAACAATGAATTATAAAAGGTAAAACAGAAAAAAGGTTGAAAAATTATAACACTGAATATACATGAAGAAATGATCCTGAAAGGTAATATTAGTGATATCGAAGGTATCGTCAATATTGATGATATTGATACTAATTGGAATCAAAGATAGAATCCAACTAAAGATGCAGTGACACAAAATATATTGAAATCAAAAATAGGCAATTTATGGTATGCAACTTTAAATAAAACAAAAAGCAGAACATTTCCCATTAATGTCAATTCAAAATTCAAGAAACAAATAATAGGACAAATGTTTTATGGGCATTGCAAAACAATTCACCCTTAGTTTTTTTACTCTTTCCATATACCAAAAATGGACAAAATATACAGGTTCTAGATAAATTAATAAGAATGATTTATTATTTAATCTTGTGACTTAAAAACAGAGAACACATTATCAATATTTAGCATAATCTTGGCCACGAAAGAAGTCTCAAAAAGTTACAATCAATAGAAATGAAACATATTGCATAAGGAAAATAAATTTCTTAAGATTTTAGAAAGCAAAACAAAACACACTGTGTTGGGTTAAAGATAAAATAAAACTTGTAGTTACAGGCTATTTAGAAATAGAAAGAAAGAGAAAGGTAATGGCAATGAGATTGAATAAGAGAAAAAATAGTTCAACATTATAAAATCTCTCTGTAATTTTACATTGATAAATAAAAGGAGAAGTATTTAAATATATTCACAAATGATTTTAAAAGGGAATTTGATAAGTCCTAACAGCTATTTTTAAAATAAAAACTCTATATGAAATAAAACTAACATAACATGAACTCTCTAAAATCAGCAAATGTTATGATAAACATGAATGGTGAAGTCATTTAAATAGAAAACAATATAGGAATGTCTACTATTACCACCATTATACATATATACACACATATATGTGTGTGTGTGCATGTGTGTATACAAATATATATATATATATACACACATACACATATGCATATTTTGGAAGCTTTAGCTAATGCGATAGGCTATGAAAATGAAGCAATTAGTATAAATACTAAAATAAGGTACAGTAATACATGTTGTATAATTATATACATAGAAAAACTAGAGAGAGACCTAATAAAATTCATGAGAAGTAGAAAACTAATTTGCCAAATGATATGGTTTGGCTCTGTGTCCCTACCCAAATCTCATGGCAAATTGTAATCCCCATGTGTT
This sequence comes from Homo sapiens, assembly GCF_000001405.40. NCBI lineage: Eukaryota > Metazoa > Chordata > Mammalia > Primates > Hominidae > Homo > Homo sapiens. Next base: position 230,352,571 of record NC_000002.12, on the reverse strand, counting down.
GGAAAGGGACCTGGTGGGAGGTGATTGGATCATGCGGGTGGATTCCCCCATACTGTTCTCATGATAGTGAGTTCTCATGAGATCTGATTATTTAAAAGTGTAACATTTCTTTCTTTGCTGTCTCTCACTCCCTCTCTCTTGCTCTGATTTGTGAAGAGGTGCCTGCTTCCCTTCACCCTCTACCATAATTGTTAAGTTTCCTGAGACCTCCTAGTCATGATTCCTGTTAAGGTTGTGGAACTGTGAGTCAATTAAACTTCTTTTCTTTTTAAATTACCCTGTCTCATGTAGTTCTTTGTAGCAGTATGAGAATGAACTAATACACCAAGGAGTATGAATAAAAAATAGACATATAAAACTTACTAGTTCTTATTTGGAAAGACATAAGTTAAAAAAAATACTCAGACTAAATAGCAAATACACATGTATATATTTATAAACATCTTAAAGGTATAAGAACTATAAAAATTTTATTGAAGGAAATTAAATAAGATCTAAATAAATGGAGATATATAAAATGCTCCCAATTAGAAAAAAAGTAGTAATTTTAAAACATCAATTTTTCTGAAATTATTATGTAAGTATGGTGTGCTTGCAACCAGAAACCCCATTAAAACTGAATAAAGCCCAAGTGTGGTGGATAATGCCTGTAGTCCCAGCACTCTGGGACGCTGGCGCGGGTGGATCACTTGAGTTCAGGAGTTCAAGACAAGTCTGGGTAACATGACAAAAGGCTCTCTCTACAAAAAATACAAAAATTAGCCAGATGTGGTGATGTGCACCTATAGATCTAACTACTTGAGTGGCTGAGGCAGGAGGATCACTTCAGCTGGTGAGGTCAGGGTTATAGTAAGCCGAGGTCACACCACTGCACTCTGGGCTGGGTGACAGTGAGACTCCGTCTCGAAAAAAAACCTGGATAAAATAATGTAAATATTGAAATGACAGAATATATGAGTCAATAAAGAACAATTTGAGATGAGAATAGTTAAAGGAAGATTTCTCTTAATCGATTTAAATGTTCTTAAAAAGCAATACAGATATAAAAGACAGTGTAGAAAAACATTCTCAATATGTATGACAAAGGGTTAATATACCTGATATTAATAGGCAAAGACTAAAGTCTGCTAATAAAAAATAACAAACAATCCCTCCAACATGGACCTGAACAGGCAGCTTAAATAAAAGAAAATTAAAATGTCCAATACACATATGAATACGTTAAAACTAAAACATCAATGAGAAACCATTTCTCACTCATTAGATTGGCAAACACAATTTCATTAGTGACACTATGCCATGTGGGAGAAGATTCAGAGAAACAGACACTCATGGCTGGTGTGAGCATGAATTACTGCAGCCTTTTCAGAAAAGATTTGGCAACATCCGCTAAATTTTAAAATATACTACAGACTGACTGACCCAGCAGATCCAGCTTTTGGAATCTACCCTATATAAATAAAAAGATCAACATGTATCCTATAGAAACAAGAACTGCAGAACTTTCAATGCTCTCCATTTCTTCAAGAGTGAAACCCAGATCCTTACACTGTTCAAAGGTAATGTAATGATCCAACCTTCTCTCCTCTCCCCTTGATCACTTCTGCCTGGTCACACTCACCTATTTGTTGTTTCTTGACTAACCAGACATACTCTAGCCTTAGGGAATTGATATTGACTGTTTCTTCTGCCTAGCATAGATATATGTATCTATGCAGTGAACTAATTTCCTTGTCTCTTTTTGATCCTTGATTCACTATTACCTTCTCAATGAGATTTTCTTTGACCAACCTATCTAAAATCACAACCACAATCCCCCATCCTGCCCCCATACTCCCAATCCCCTCATCTGCCTCTCTTTTTTCCATGCTCTTGTCAATCCCTAACGTCTTAAATAAATTACACATTTGTTTGTTTATTGTTTATCATCTTCTTCATTGTCTCTCTTCTCCCAAAAATATGTATGCCATAAGGGCAGTGGCATCTGTTTTGTCCATTGATTTTTCTTGAGTACCTGATATACACAAGGTGTTCAATAAGTATTTGTTGACTACATTCTCATAAATACAGAAGTATTTATTGAAGCATTGTTTTTAGTAGCAAAACGACAACAACAACAACAACAACTCCACAATAACACATACCTCTAAACCTGAAAATAACCTGATTGCCCATTTGGCAGAATGGTTGAGTGCATTATCATAAATGTACACTGTTGAAATATTACATAGCTATTTAATTGTAGCAATTTGGGTTGAAGGTAATAGTTTTGCTGTTCCATGAAAACATCATGTTCAGATTAATACATTATGATCCCATTTTTATATAAATTAAACAAAAAAGTCTTTCATTTGTATATAAAATTCAGAATAAATAATAGGGAAGGCATGAAACGACTACACCCCAGGTGTTAACACTGGCTTAGTGGACAGTTTCAGGGTTCTAACCAGATCCCTTCAGATCTTTCTTTTTACCATTTTTTTGGGTAACATCAGAGGAAAGAGAAATAATAAACAAATAGAATAAGACTTTAGAGTAAGTATATTTATTTTATTTTATTTTTGAGATGGAGTCTCTCTCTGTCCCCCAGGCTGGAGTGCAGTGGCTTGATCTCGGCTCACTGCAACCTCTGCCCCCTGGATTCAAGCAATTCTCCTGCCTCAGCCATCCTAGTAGCTGGAATTACAGGCATGTGCTACCACTCCTGGCTAATTTTTGTACTTTTAGTAGAGACGGGGTTTTGCCATGTTGGCCAGGTTGATCTCAAACTCCTGACCTCGAGTGATCTGCCCACCTCTGCCTCCCAAAGTGCTGGGTTTACAGACATGAGCCACTGTGCCCAGCCTAGAGTAAGTATATTTAGTACCCCCATAACTTATTCAATGATATTGTTTCTATAAAACAACCAACTAGTAAACTTAGAAATGTAAAAATTGAGTTTTCAAATTCAAAATTAAAGGTAGGCAAAATAATAAAACATTTAGGAATGAACAAACAGAATGCAAGACTTGTATGCTGAAAATGACAAAACATTACTAGAGAAATTAACAATCTAAATAAATAGAGATACCCATGTTCATGGATTGGAAGACTCAATATATTTAACCTGGCAATTCTCTCCAAATTGACCTATAAACTCAATGTGATTCCTATCAAAATTCCAAATGGCTTTTCTGAAGAAATTGAGAAGCTAATCCTAAAATTTATATGGAATTGCAAGAACCCAGAATAGCCAAAACAATCTATAAAAAGAAGAAAAAAGTTGGAAGATTTATACTTTCTTATTTCAACACTTATTATAAAGCTACCCATATCAAGACAGTTATTGTACTGGTATAATTCAGTGAAACAGAGATGAGAGTGCAGAAAAAATCCTTGTGGTTTCAGCAATTGATTTTCAACAAAAGTGCCAAGGCAATTAAATGAGGAAAAGATAGTCTTTTCAACAAATACTACAAGTAGAATTGCATAGATACACACAAAAATACAAATGTAGACTCTTACCTCACATCATATACATGAATCAACTAAAAATGGATCATGGATCTAAATGTAAGAGCAGGGCTGGCTTCATGAGCATGCATCCTGTGCAGTCACAAATGACTCTGTGCTTAGTTTAGTGTTCTGCTTTCACTGTTCTGAAATCCTTAATAACTTGTGAGCAAGGATCCCCCATTTTTATTTTTCACTGGGTTCCCCAAATTATGTAGTAATCTTCTAAAAGAGCAAAAATGGCAGGACTTTTGTAAGAAAATAAAGACAAAAATCTTTGTGACTTTAGGTTAAATGAAGAGTTAGCTACAACATCAAAAGCATGATCCTTAAAATAATAAAGTGATAAGCTGAAATTTAACAAAACTGAAATCTTTTGTGTTTCAAGTATACTGTTAAGAAAAAGAAAAGACTAGGCACAGTCTGGGAGAAAATATTAGCCAATTATATTTTCAATAAACTACTTATATTCAGGTATGTAAAGAATTCTGACAGCTCTATAAGAAGATAACCCAATTTAAAAATGGGCAAATGATTTGAACAGATATTTCTCCGAAAGACACATGGAAGATAATAAAGACAAGAAGAGATGCTCAGTATCATTAGTCATTAGAGAAAAGCAAATTCAAACCACAACAAAATACTAATATGCATTCATTGGAATGGCTATAAACACATACAATAACAAGTTTTAGCAAAGATGTGGAAAAACTGGAACCCTTACACATTGCTATGAAATGGTCTTCTGGAAACAGTGTACGATAGATTTTGTGAAAGTTAACTATCACGTTACTGTTACTATAATGTTACTATATTCGCATGCAAGTCTTTGTGTGGATATACGTTTTCATTTCTAGGTAGATGTTTAGCAGTTAAATTCTTGAGTCATACAGTTTCACTTTGACTGTGTTGCTCCTCCCCAAGGCTGGCAAAGTGCCATATCAAGAGGGTTTTCCTGAGCCCAAAGTTTCTCCAGTGGGGAAAAGAGAGCCTGAGGAGGACATCCAGCTTCTGTAGCATTCTGTGCTACATCTTAGGAGGCCCACTTCTGTCTTGTCTCATGGGAAACAAAGAGGAAATCAGTGGGGCTAGACCACCTGTGTTTGACCAGAAATGAAGAAGTGAGGGCAGGGTTCACAGTGGCCAGTGCATGGATCACCATGCTGGTACTGTGTTCCTGCCATCAGCACCCTAGCAGAGAGCTCAGCCAGCAGCTCTGCCCAACTGCAGAGGCAAGCTGGTGACCCTATTTGGCCAGGGAGCATAGTCAGCAATTCTAACTGGCTTGGGTGCCTAGTCAGCAATCCAGGCCAGCTACAGGGTTTAGCTTTCTGTCTTGTTGGACCAGGGAACCCCCAAAGAGATTCTGCCCAGCCTCAAAGCCTAACATACGTCCTTGACCACGCAGGTAATCGAGCCAGCCACTCTGCCTAACTACAGAGTATGGCCTCTAGCCTTGCTAACCAGGAAGCCCAAATAGTAACCCTGCCCAGCCTCAGTGGCCAGCCAGCGACCTGCATGGACAGTAAACAAAGCCAAGGACACCTCCCAACTGAGGGGCACAGCCTGCAGTTCTGCCTAACCAGGGATTCCAGAGAATGATCCCATCTGACAGAGGAGCCCAGCTTGCAGCAAGCTGGGGCATAGCCTGTGGCCCCACCAAACCCAGGTACCTGATAACAATACTGATTGACACTGAAGCACAGCCAGTGGTTCTACTCTGGAAGAGAACCCAGACAGTGACTCAACCCAACTGCAAAACACAGCCTGCAACCCTGATTAATCACAGAGCCTAACCTGTGGTCCCACTGAACAGTAGCTTGAGGTCTTGTTCCATCTCAGAAGCCAGCCAGTAGCCCTGCCCAACCAAAGAGTCCAACCAAAACACTCAACAAACCATACAGGCGAGCCAGTGGCCCCAGCAAACACCAGAGCACAGGCAATAATCCTGCACAACTAGAGATCTCAAAAGCAAACTGTGACTATTCATGGATGCTACCAGCTGACCTGTCCAGATCTCCAGGAAACACTGACTACTAAAGGGCTTTCCATGCCAAAGCAAACCTATAAAGGTTGGAAGAGGTTACTTCTTCCTCAAATGTACAGACACTAATGTGAGGATACAAGGATCATAAAAAATCAGCAAAAAATAAAACCCCTAAAAGAAATTAATAAGCTCTAACAACTGACTCTAAAGAAATGAAGGTCTATGAGCTAACTGACATTCAGAATAATTCTCTTTAAAAAGTTCGGTGAACTACAAGAGAACACAGATGGACAACTCAACAAAATCAGAAAACAATATATAAACAAAATATAATGCCAATAAAAAATAGGAACCATTAAACAAACCCCCAGAAATCCTAGATCTAAAAAATACAATGACTGAACTGAACAATTTAACAGAAAATTCCAACAGCTTACTTAAGCAGAAGAAAGAATCAGTGAACTGAAAGAGAAGTCATTTGAAATTATCTACTTAGAGGAGCAAAAAGAACAAAGAATGAAAATGAGTGAAAAAAAGCCTATTGTGTTTATGGGACACCATCAAGTGAAACAACATACAAATTATGGAAATTACAGAAGAAGAGAGAAAGAAAAATGAGCAGAAAGTCAATTTAAAGAAGTAATGACTAAAAACTTCCCAAATTTGGGGAGAGAAATGGACATTTATGTTCTTGAGGCCCAAAGTTCCCCAAACAGGTTCAACAATACAATTCTACACCAATAAGTATTATAATTAAATTATCAAAAGACAAAAAGATAATTTTGAAAGCAGCAAGGAAAGCATAACTTATCACAAAAAATGGAGCCCTCATAAGACTAACAGTAAAGTTTTCAGTGGAAACCTCCTCTTCTCAGCCCAGGAGAGATTAGGGTGACACATTCAAAATATTGAAAGAAAAAAAACTGCCAACCAAGAGTGTTACACTTGGTAAATCTATCTATCTTAAATGAAGGCGTGATAAAGGTTTTTCCAAAAAAACAAAAGTTGAAGGAGTTCATCATCAGTAGACTTGTCTTACAAGAACTGCTAAAGTGAGTTCTAGTTCTTCAAGCTGCAATGAGATGGTATTAGTTAACAACATAACAATATATAAATATACAAAACTCACCAGTAAAGGTAAAATTTAGTCAAAGTCAGAAATCTCTTATATTGTAATGATTGTGCATAAATCACTTTCAATTCTAGCATAAAAATTAAAAATCAAACATTTAAATAAGTATAACTATAGTAATTTGGTTTTAGATATCCAATATAAAAATATGTAAATTGTAACATTAGTCAATTAAAATATGAGGGAGGAGAGAAACAAAAGTGTAGAGTTTTATATGTGGTTGAAGTTGTTAGCTTAAAATCAGATGATATAGCTATAAGATATTTTATGTAAGCCTCACAGTAACCACAAAGGAGAAAGGAGTCAAAGCATATCACTTTAAAATTCATCAACTCACAAAGGAATGCCACAAGAAAAAAAGAAAGGAAAAAAAAAAAAGAACTACAAAACAGCCAGAATACAAATTACAAAACAGCCAGAATACAAATAACAAAACAGCAATAGTAAGTTCTCACCTATCAATAAATGGATTAAATTCTCCAATCAAAAGAAATAGAGTACCTGAATGGATTATGAAAACCCCACAAGATCCAACAAGTTGCTGCATGTAAGAGACTCATGGTAGGTTTAAGAACACATGTAGGCTGAAGGTGAAGGTATGGAAAAAGATATCCAATGCAAAAAGTGACCAAACGAAAGCAGTGGTAACTATCTTTATGTTGGACAAAATACACATTAAGTAAAAAATGGCCACATAAGACAAAGAGGGTCAATATATAAGGATAAAGGGGCCAATTCATCAAGAGGATATAACAGTTGTAAATATTTTGACAATAGCATTGGAATACCTAAATAGCTAAAGCAAATACTAACCAATCTGAAAGGAGGAAGAAACAGCAATACAATAATAGTAAGGGACTTTAATACCTCACCCTTAACAATGACAGATGAATCAGACAGAAAATCATAAGGATTTTGATCTTGAACCAGACTTTAGATCAAATGGACCTAAAAGACATATACAGAACATTTCACTGAACAGCAGCAAAACACATATTCTACTCAAGTGTACATGTTAGGCCACAAAAGAAGTCTTAATAAATTCAAGAAGACTGAAATCATACCAAGTGCTTTTCTGACCACAGTGGTATGAAACTCGAAATCCATAACAGGAGGAAATTCAGAGAATTCATAAATTCTGTAAGGTATACATAAATAATGTAGGGAAGTTAAACAATACATTCTTGAATATCCAATAGGTCAAAGAAGAAGCCAAAAGGGTAATTTAAAAATATTATGAGGCAAACAAAAATGAAAACAAAACACTATGGAAAGGAAGCACTAAATATGGAAAGGAAAAACCATTACCAGCCACTACAAAAACACACTGAAGTACACAGCGCAGTGACACTATGAAGCAACCACATAAACTAGTCTGCAAAATAACCAGCTAGCATCATGGTGGCAGGATCAAATTCACACATAACAATACTAACCTCAAATGTAAATGGGCTAAATGCCCCAGTTAAAGAAACCACAGAATGGCAAACTGGATAAAGAGCCATGACCCATCGGTATGCCATCTTCAAGAGACCTATCTCATGTGCAAAGATACACATAGGCTCAAAACCAAGGGATGGAGGAAAATTTACCAAGCAAATAGAAAACAGTAAAATGCAGGAGTTTTGATCCTAGTTTCTGACAGAACAGACTTTAAACTAACAAAGATTTTAAAAAGACAAAGAGAACATTACATAATGGTAAAGGGTTCAATTCAACAAGAAGAGCTATCTGAAATATACATGCACCCAATACAGGAGCACCCAGATTCATAAAGCAGGTTATTAGAAACCTACAAAGAGACTTAGACTCTCACACAGTAATAGTGTGAGACTTTACCACCCCACTGACAATATTAGACACATCATCGAGTCAGAAAATAAACAAAGATATTCAGGGCCTGATTCAGCTCTGGATTAAGTAGACCTGATAGATATCTACAGAACTCTCCACTCAAAAACAACAGAATACACATTCTTCCCATCACCACACAGCACTTAGTCAAAAGTTGATCACATAATCAGAAGTAAAATACTCCTCAGCAAATGCAAAAAAAACAGTAATCATAACAGTTTCTCAGATCACAGCACAATCAAATCAGACCAAGATTAAGAAAGCAGCCATAAAAAAGGATGAGTTCATGTCCTTTGCAAATCAAAACCACATGAGATATTATCTCACACTGGTCAGAATGGCTATATTAAAAAGTCAAAAAACAATAGATGCTGGTGAGGTTGCAAAGAAAAAGAAATGCTTTTACACTGTTTTTGGGAGTGTAAGTTCAACCATTGTGGAAGACAGTGTGGCAATTCCTCAGAGACCTAGAGGCAGAAATACCATTTGACCCAGCAATCCCATTACTGGATATATACCCAAAGGAATATAAATCATTCTATTATAAAGATACAACCACATGTATGCTCATTGCAGCACTATTCACAATAGCAAAAACATGTAATCCACCTAAATGCCCATCAATGATAGACTGGATAAAGAAAATGTGGTACACATACACCATGGAATACTATGCACCCATAAATAGGAACAAGATCATGTCCTTTGCAGGGACATGGATGGAATTGGAAGTCATTATCCTCAGCAAACTAATTCAGGAACAGAAAACCAAACACCACATGTTCTAACTTATAAGTGGGAGCGGAATGTTGAGAACACATGAACACATGGGAGGAACAACACACTCTGGGCACCTGTCGGGGGTGTAGGGAGAGGGACAGCATCAGGAAGAATAGCTAATGGATGTTGGGCTTAATACCTAGGATGATCTGTGCAACAAACACCATGGCACATGTTTACCTATGTAACAAACCTGCACATCCTGCACATGTACCCCTGAACTTAAAAGTTGAAGGGAAGAAAAAGGAAAGACAAATAAAAGAAAACAAAACACACCAAAACTTATGGGATGCAGCAGGAGCAATTCTATCAGGTTTATAGCTATAAACACTTGGAAAAAAGAAAAATCTCCAACAACGTAGCTTTACACCTGATGAAGAAAGGCAAACTAAGCACAAAGTAAGGAGAAGGGAGAAAATAATGTAGATTAGAGCAGAAATAAATACGGAATAGGAAAACAGTAGAAAAGATCAACAAAACTCAGACTTGGTTCTTTGAAAAGATTTTAAAAAAAAGGATAAATCTTTAGCTAGACTAACCAAGGGAAATAAGAGACAGAACTTAAAACTTATAAATGAGACAGGAAAGATTACAACTAATAACACAGTAATTCAAAGAATCATTAGGCTACTATGAACAATTATGCATCAACAAATTGGATAACCTAGAAGAAATAGATAAATTCCTAGAAACATACAACCTACCAAGACTGAATCATGAAAAAACAGATAATCTGAAGAGACCAATAATAAGTAAACTGATTGAATAAGTAGGAAAAAAAAACCTTTCCATTAAAGAAAAACGCAGGCTCCGGGAGCCAAGATGGCCGAATAGGAACAGCTCCGGTCTACAGCTCCCAGCGTGAGCGACGCAGAAGATGGGTGATTTCTGCATTTCCATCTGAGGTACTGGGTTCATCTCACTAGAGAGTGCCAGACAGTGGGCGCAGGTCAGTGGGTGCACGCACCGTGCGCGAGCGGAAGCAGGGCGAGGCATTGCCTCACTTGGGAAGCGCAAGGGGTCAGGGAGTTCCCTTTCTGAGTCAAAGAAAGGGGTGACGGAAGGCACCTGGAAAATCGGGTCACTCCCACCTGAATACTGCGCTTTTCCGACGGGCTTAAAAAACGGCGCACCACGAGATTATATCCCACACCTGGCTCGGAAGGTCCTACGCCCACGGACTCTCACTGATTGCTAGCACAGCAGTCTGAGATCAAACTGCAAGGCGGCAGTGACGCTGGGGGAGGGGCGCCCGCCATTGCCCAGGCTTGCTTAGGTAAACAAAGCAGCCGGGAAGCGCGAACTGGGTGGAGCCCACCACAGCTCAAGGAGGCCTGCCTGTCTCTCTAGGCTCCACCTCTGGGGGCAGGGCACAGACAAACAAAAAGACAGCAGTAACCTCTGCAGACTTAAATGTCCCTGTCTGACAGCTTTGAAGAGAGCAGTGGTTCTCCCAGCACGCAGCTGGAGATCTGAGAACGGGCAGACTGCCTCCTCAAGTGGGTCCCTGACCCCTGACCCCCGAACAGCCTAACTGGGAGGCACCCCCCAGCAGGGGCACACTGACACCTCACATGGCCGGTTACTCCAACAGACCTGCAGCTGAGGGTCCTCTCTGTTAGAAGGAAAACTAACAAACAGAAAGGACATCCACACCAAAAACCCATCTGTACATCACCATCATCAAAGACCAAAAGTAGATAAAACCACAAAGATGGGGAAAAAACAGAACAGAAAAACTGGAAACTCTAAAAAGCAGAGCACCTCTCCTCCTCCAAAGGAACACAGTTCCTCACCAGCAACAGAACAAAGCTGGATGGAGAATGACTTTGACGAGCTGAGAGAAGAAGGCTTCAGACGATCAAATTACTCTGAGCTACGGGCGGACATTCAAACCAAAGGCAAAGAAGTTGAAAACTTTGAAAAAAATTTAGAAGAATGTATAACTAGAATAACCAATACAGAGAAGTGCTTAAAGGAGCTGATGGAGCTGAAAACCAAGGCTCGAGAACTACGTGAAGAATGCAGAAGCCTCAGGAGCCGATGCGATCAACTGGAACAAAGGGTATCAGCGATGGAAGATGAAATGAATGAAATGAAGCAAGAAGGGAAGTTTAGAGAAAAAAGAATAAAAAGAAATGAGCAAAGCCTCCAAGAAATATGGGACTATGTGAAAAGACCAAATCTACGTCTGATTGGTGTACCTGAAAGTGATGGGGAGAATGGAACCAAGTTGGAAAACACTCTGCAGGATATTATCCAGGAGAACTTCCCCAATCTAGCAAGGCAGGCCAATGTTCAGATTCAGGAAATACAGAGAACGCCACAAAGATACTCCTCGAGAAGAGCAACTCCAAGACACATAATTGTCAGATTCACCAAAGTTGAAATGAAGGAAAAAATGTTAAGGGCAGCCAGAGAGAAAGCTCGGGTTACCCTCAAAGGGAAGCCCATCAGACTAACAGCGGATCTCTCAGCAGAAACCCTACAAGCCAGAAGAGAGTGGGGGCCAATATTCAACATTCTTAAAGAAAAGAATTTTCAACCCAGAATTTCATATCCAGCCAAACTAAGCTTCATAAGTGAAGGAGAAATAAAATACTTTACAGACAAGCAAATGCTGAGAGATTTTGTCACCACCAGGCCTGCCTTACAAGAGCTCCTGAAGGAAGCACTAAACATGGAAAGGAACAACCGGTACCAGCCGCTGCAAAATCATGCCAAAATGTAAAGACCATCGAGACTAGGAAGAAACTGCATCAACTAACGAGCAAAATAACCAGCTAACATCATAATGACAGGATCAAATTCACACATAACAATATTAACTTTAAATGTAAATGGACTAAATGCTCCAAGTAAAAGACACAGACTGGCAAATTGGATAAAGAGTCAAGACCCATCAGTGTGCTGTATTCAGGAAACGCATCTCACGTGCAGAGACACACATTGGCTCAAAATAAAAGGATGGAGGAAGATCTACCAAGCCAATGGAAAACAAAAAAAGGCAGGGGTTGCAACCCTAGTCTCTGATAAAACAGACTTTAAACCAACAAAGATCAAAAGAGACAAAGAAGGCCATTACATAATGGTAAAGGGATCAATTCAACAAGAAGAGCTAACTATCCTAAATATATATGCACTCAATACAGGAGTACCAAGATTCATAAAGCAAGTCCTGAGTGACCTACAAAGAGACTTAGACTCCCACACATTAATAATGGGAGACTTTAACACCCCACTGTCAATATTAGACAGATCAACGAGACAGAAAGTCAACAAGGATACCCAGGAATTGAACTCAGCTCTGCACCAAGCGGACCTAATAGACATCTACAGAACTCTCCACCCCAAATCAACAGAATATACATTTTTTTCAGCACCACACCTATTCCAAAATTGACCACATACTGGGAAGTAAAGCTCTCCTCAGCAAATGTAAAAGAACAGAAATTATAACAAACTATCTCTCAGACCACAGTGCAATCAAACTAGAACTCAGGATTAAGAATCTCACTCAAAACCGCTCAACTACATGGAAACTGAACAACCTGCTCCTGAATGACTACTGGGTACATAACAAAATGAAGGCAGAAATAAAGATGTTCTTTGAAACCAACGAGAACAAAGACACAACATACCAGAATCTCTGGGATGCATTCAAAGCAGTGTGTAGAGGGAAATTTATAGCACTAAATGCCCACAAGAGAAAGCAGGAAAGATCCAAAATTGACACCCTAACATCACAATTGAAAGAACTAGAAAAGCAAGAGCAAACACATTCAAAAGCTAGCAGAAGGCAAGAAATAACTAAAATCAGAGCAGAACTGAAGGAAATAGAGACACAAAAAACCCTTCAAAAATTAATGAATCCAGGAGCTGGTTTTTTGAAAGGATCAACAAAATTGATAGACCGCTAGCAAGACTAATAAAGAAAAAAAGAGAGAAGAATCAAATAGACGCAATAAAAAATGATAAAGGGGATGTCACCACCGATCCCACAGAAATACAAACTACCATCAGAGAATACAACAAACACCTCTACGCAAATAAACTAGAAAATCTAGAAGAAATGGATAAATTCCTGGACACATACACTCTCCCGAGACTAAACCAGGAAGAAGTTGAATCTCTGAATAGGCCAATAACAGGAGCTGAAATTGTGGCAATAATCAATAGCTTACCAACCAAAAAGAGTCCAGGACCAGATGGATTCACAGCCGAATTCTACCAGAGGTACAAGGAGGAACTGGTACCATTCCTTCTGAAACTATTCCAATCAATAGAAAAAGAGGGAATCCTCCCTAACTCATTTTATGAGGCCAGCATCATTCTGATACCAAAGCCAGGCAGAGACACAACAAAAAAAGAGAATTTTAGACCAATATCCTTGATGAACATTGATGCAAAAATCCTCAATAAAATACTGGCAAAACGAATCCAGCAGCACATCAAAAAGCTTATCCACCATGATCAAGTGGGCTTCATCCTTGGGATGCAAGGCTGGTTTAATATACGCAAATCAATAAATGTAATCCAGCATATAAACAGAGCCAAAGACAAAAACCACATGATTATCTCAATAGATGCAGAAAAAGCCTTTGACAAAATTCAACAACTCTTCATGCTAAAAACTCTCAATAAATTAGGTATTGATGGGACGTATTTCAAAATAATAAGAGCTATCTATGACAAACCCACAGCCAATATCATACTGAATGGGCAAAAACTGGAAGCATTCCCTTTGAAAACTGGCACAAGACAGGGATGCCCTCTCTCACCACTCCTATTCAACATAGTGTTGGAAGTTCTGGCCAGGGCAATTAGGCAGGAGAAGGAAATAAAGGGTATTCAATTAGGAAAAGAGGAAGTCAAATTGTCCCTGTTTGCAGATGACATGATTCTATATCTAGAAAACCCCATTGTCTCAGCCCAAAATCTCCTTAAGCTGATAAGCAACTTCAGCAAAGTCTCAGGATACAAAATCAATGTACAAAAATCACAAGCATTCTTATACACCAACAACAGACAAACAGAGAGCCAAATCATGAGTGAACTCCCATTCACAATTGCTTCAAAGAGAATAAAATATCTAGGAATCCAACTTACAAGGGATGTGAAGGACCTCTTCAAGGAGAACTACAAACCACTGCTCAAGGAAATAAAAGAGGATACAAACAAATGGAAGAACATTCCATGCTCATGGGTAGGAAGAATCAATATCGTGAAAATGGCCATACTGCCCAAGGTAATTTACAGATTCAATGCCATCCCCATCAAGCTACCAATGACTTTCTTCACAGAACTGGAAAAAACTACTTTAAAGTTCATATGGAACCAAAAAAGAGCCCGCATTGCCAAGTCAATCCTAAGCCAAAAGAACAAAGCTGGAGGCATCATGCTACCTGACTTCAAACTATACTACAGGGCTACAGTAACCAAAACAGCATGGTACTGGTACCAAAACGGAGATATAGATCAACGGAACAGAACAGAGCCCTCAGAAATAACGCTGCGTATCTACAACTATCTGATCTTTGACAAACCTGAGAAAAACAAGCAATGGGGAAAGGATTCCCTATTTAATAAATGGTGCTGGGAAAACTGGCTAGCCATATGTAGAAAGCTGAAACTGGATCCCTTCTTTACACCTTATACAAAAATTAATTCAAGGTGGATTAAAGACTTACATGTTAGACCTAAAACCATAAAAACCCTAGAAGAAAACATAGGCATTACCATTCAGGACATAGGCATGGGCAAGGACTTCATGTCTAAAACACCAAAAGCAATGGCAACAAAAGACAAAATTGACAAATGGGATCTAATTAAACTAAAGAGCTTCTGCACAGCAAAAGAAACTACCATCAGAGTGAACAGGCAACCTACAAAATGGGAGAAAATTTTTGCAACCTACTCATCTGACAAAGGGTTAATATCCAGAATCTACAATGAACTTAAACAAATTTACAAGAAAGAAACAAACAACCCGATCAAAAAGTGGGCGAAGGATATGAACAGACACTTCTCAAAAGAAGACATTTATGCAGCCAAAAGACACATGAAAAAATGCTCATCATCACTGGCCATCAGAGAAATGCAAATCAAAACCACAATGAGATACCATCTCACACCAGTTAGAATGGCAATCATTAAAAAGTCAGGAAACAACAGGTGCTGGAGAGGATGTGGAGAAAAAGGAACACTTTTACACTGTTGGTGGGACTGTAAACTAGTTCAACCATTGTGGAAGTCAGTGTGGCGATTCCTCAAGGATCTAGAACTAGAAACGCCATTAAACCTCTTTTCTTTATAAATTACCTAGTCTCAGGTATTTATCTAGAGCAGTGCAAGAACAGACTAATACAACACACCAGGCAAATGCAAAATAAAAGAGAGCTCTGTGGCAAAACTGACATCAGAAACAAACAGAATTTAGACTGAAGAGTAATACAAACAGCACAGAAGTTTTTTGCATACTGATAAAAGATATATTCTACCAGTCTATGTAGTAGAAGTCATGATCTGTAAGAAAATTGCTTTAAAATATTGAAAGGAAAGTCTGACAGTGATATAGGAAAACTGAAAAACTCACAATTGTAGTAAAAAAATGTTAAGGCATCTCTGTTAGAAGTTGACAAGTCCAGTAAGTCAAAATTAAATCAAGTTAAAGATTTGAATAAAATAATGAGCATTCTGGGTTAAGTAGATGTGTAATGAAGAGGTTATAACTTGTTTCAGTACATTAAAAAATATCTGACATTTCTGAGTACTCACTCTGTATGAGGTACTCACTCTTCTAAGTGCTTGGTGCGTAGCTTAACTTGTTTCCTCCTCATAGATTCTCATGAAACAGGTGGTAGGCAGTTAGTGAGGGAACAAGACATAATTACTTGCAGGTAGCTAAAAGCAAAACAAATGGGGCCAAATAGTTTAGCTCAAGGACCCACCCCTTAGTGGAAAGGAACTGTTGCAACAGGCTGCAAAAATAAAGACAATTTAGACGTTCTAGATTAGGCACAGATAAGAATGTAACAAAGAAGAAATCAACCACAACTGGTTTAATCCAAGATGGCCAGAAACTTGACTGGCTGTGGACCCTTGACTGCATTATGCCCCTATTACTATAAGACTTCCACGGGGAAACCTCCCAATCCCATCATGCATCTGATGCCATGTCAATTCTGGATTAACCATATTTAGTAAAGAAAAAAGTGGCAATCCAATTCTGGGAACTGCCTGCCCATTTCCCAGAAAATCCCTCCTCTTATGATGGAATATTCCACACCTTCATTATGCTTATCTGTATAGTATGTGAGTCCTGGCCATATTGGGTTCAGCTTATTCTTTTGAGCACACTCACAATCCTCTCTTGAGTATGTACTTGCTTTCACGCTGCAATAAATCTTCTGTACTTTCAGTTTGGTCTGGCCTTCAAATTCTTTTCTGGGGTGAAGACAAGAACCTGTACCAGCCCACTGGTAACACCATTGTTGATACCATCATTTTATAGGGAAGAAACAAGGCTTGCCCCACCTCCACATCTATGCAGTGGCAGAGCTGGACTTCACACCGTCCCTCTCCAATCATCCTAGTGTTGATCCTCTCTTCCCCTCCCACTTTCTCTCCCATCTGACATTAGTTACCACACTCTTAATCATTACATTATATTGCCTTTCAAATGTGGCAAAGCCTCAAAAATGACTATGCACTAGGCCACAAAAAAAACAACAGTAGACTCTCACAAACCAAAATCCTAAAAAACACATTTTCTAACCACAATGTGATAGGATCAGAGTAAACAACCCAAGGACAGAGGACGACTTCCCCAACTCGTTCCACTGAGAAATTTTAAAAGCTGCTTCCAGACGCTTCTTAGGTTAATCAGGAAATCAAAATCAAAATAACAAACGGCTAAGAAACTCCAGTGAAAACACTGTACATTATAAAGGCCAAACGTTTCCAAAGTGGCACAGAGGTGAATATTCATGGCCTAACATGCATTTATTAGAAAATAAGAAACACTGACAAGTAGATTAAGTTTTAAAGCAAGGTATCAGAAACAGAACACAAGGTAATCCCCTCAACAAAGTTGAAGTAAAGAATTAGGAAAGAAAATAAATAGAAAAATATAAAAATGTTAAGCAAGATTTAATTATATCTCAAACAAAAAATAAGAGTAATGGATCAATAAAAGCAAAAAGTGGTTCATTGAAAAGACCAACAAAATGGAAAGATTGATCAAAAGAACAAAGGAAAAGACAACAATAAACAACGTTAGGAGTTTAAAAAATGATATGTCTTCAGAGAAGGAAAGAATTAAAACTTTATAAGAGAAATTTCGATACAACTTTCTACCAATAAATAAGAGAATCTAGGGAAAATATACTTTAGGACAATATAAATGATAAAAACTGCCTCAAAGGTCAGCATGAGAACTAAAAATAATAGAAGAAATGCATAATATGCTTGCAGACTTACCCTAAACTACATTTCACCCCACACCTACACACAGACATTGGTTTCAAATCATTTAATGGACAATTTTTAGCAATCCTTCAAGGAACAGGTAATGTCTGTATTAAAGAAACCATTTATATATATATATATACATATAATTTTAATCACCCTCAATTATTTCATAAGGCTGTTATAGTTTCGCTATCAACATCAAGCAAATACAAAATAAAAACTGTTGCTTAAAAACACATAAGGCAAAATCCCACAATAAAATACATGTAAATCCAACACTGGAATGGATGAAAAAATCATGTGACATGACCACGTAGGTGTTATCTCAGGAATTCCAGGACAAATCACATTAGATAATCGATCTATGTATTTCATTAAGCCTGGCGGGTTGAACACATCTGCATTCATCTTTGTTCCCTGTGAAATCCCATGAAACCACCTGTAATAGAGAGTTACAGGCAGAAAAGCAGCAGGAACCAGGGAACAGGAGAGGAAAGGACATCAAATAAGAGACAACCAAACATTTCAGAAGGTAGGTGCATACATGGCAGCTAGTTTCACAGAATGAAAGAATAAAATACCTGATTACTTGCAGAGGAAATGCTGACAAGGAGTAAGCCCATGTATGCTTTCAAACTCTGGAAGTGGTTAGTAATTAGAGGCACTGTTCCTTCAGAGGATAAATTGGAAGATGAAAATCAAAATGGGGTACAGTCAACGAGAGGCATTCCTTACACAGAGCTTCTAGTCAGATTTCTAGTGTCTCGTTCTGAAATGTGAATGGACACCCAATGGACACTTGATGAATTCTTTCAGAACAAGCAAATATTGGAGCAGGAGCTGCGAAAGAAACCTGGAAGGAACAGATGCAATTCTAAAAATCATCATCCTCATTAGGAGAGAGAAAATATTGGATTTCTTGAAACAACAACAACAAGATGCTATAAACGAGAAACAACTTTTTAAAAGGGCTTTTGGAAATTAAAAATATCATGGCAGAAATTTTTAAATCACTAGAAGAAATGAAGGTCCTGAGAAAATGTCATAGAAGGTAGATTCAAAAGAAGAAGACATACAAGATTGTCAAGAAAAAAAAACAAAAAATCTCTAGAGGATCAACCTAGGAAACCCAATATCCAACTAACAGGAATTCCAAAACATAAAACAGAGAGATAAGGCAGAAGGGAGAAAATAATTAAATAATATCACAAGCAAAATGATGAGAATTGAAATAAATTGGTCTCCATTTGAAAGGACCCCGGAGAACTAAGCACAACACTCACGCCAAGGCAAACCATCATGAGAATTTAGAATCAAGGGATTAAAGAGATGAGCCAGAAAGTTTCAGAGAGGCAAAACAGGTGACATAGAAAGACAGGATCAAGAATCAGAATGGGGGTCGGGCGCGGTGGCTTATGCCTGTAATCCCAGCACTTTGGGAGGCCGAAGCGAGTGGATCATGAGGTCAAGAGATTGAGACCTTCCTGGCAAACATGGTGAAACCCTGTCTCTACTAAAAATACAAAAAATTAGCCAGACGTGGTGGTGGGCACCTGTAGTCCCAGCTACTCGGGAGGCTGAGGCAGGAGAATCACTTGAACCTGGGAGGTGGAGGTTGCAGTGAGCTGAGATTGTGCCACTGCACTCCAGCCTGGAGAAAGAGCGAGACTCCATCAAAAAAAAAAAAAAATCAGAATGGCATTCGACTTCTTATTAGCAATGCTGAAAACTGCAAGGCAGTTAACCAAATTAATTTCCAAACTATACATTTAGATTTACCAAATTTTCATACAGTTGTGAGGTTTAAGAATAATTTTTTTTCCAGATATGAATGATCTTAAGATATATACCTTCTATGAACTCTTAGTCAGGAGGCTACTGGATAATGCGGTAAGCCAAAATGAGATAGTAAAGCAAGAAAGAAGATACATGTAATCCATAAAACAAGACCCAACACAGGAGAGATGTCTAGCTTCAGAAGGTCAGTCTTGGAAGCTGAAACTAACCAGAACTAATTGGATCAGCAGAATGGGTAGCTCCAGAAGGGCTCCCCCAAGAAAATAAAACGGAATTGATAAGTTACACAATGTGCCTCACTGTCCTGAGAAGAATTTTAGAATTCTGCAGGGTGCCTGGGAAGAATTCATAACAAGGGCACACAAAATCCAAGCAAATGTGTAAGAGGGCAATAGTTATTTTTGGGAAAGATGTTGCACAGGAAAGGAAATGTGATCATCACATAGTATATGACTTGGTTATGAACATCATTTAAATAACCCTCATAACGATAACACTGATTACTGATGAACCTCAAACTGTGATGTATTACGAGAATGGATGGGGAATGAAAAGGAGTGTTAGGGGAGAAGTCTTCATCTTCTGCCCTATTATGTGAACAGATTAATGTCTGGAACTTGAAAAATTACAAAGAGCTGTATCTGCATATCTTTTCAAATTACAGAAGTAAGTACAGAAGGAAGAGCTAAAAGGTTAAAGATAATCCATCTGGGAAACTGGACGACGACTGGGGAAGATGGCCGAAAGAGCTACTTTTGTATTTTAAGGTCTTGTTGACTGTTTGATATTTTAATCTCTCTATGTATGTTTTACTTTGGAAAAATTATCAAAATTAATAAAAGTAAAATGATATGATGACCTCAAAGATTCTTTAGCAAACATTTTGATAAATATCCTATACATGGTCTTGATTAAAAGAAATAACTTAGTAAACCGGAGCAGAAAATGTCCTTATCTTGATAAAAGGCATCTGTCAGAAAGTCTCAAGTTAAACATTACAAGCGTTCCCCTGAGCGCTGGAACAAAACAAAAATGCTCATTTTTGTTGTTGCTATTCAGTATTACACTGACAATCCTGCCTAATGCACAAAGGGAAAAAGAAGGAAAAAAAGTAAGAAAAAGAAAAATACACGGTATAAATTCTGAAAAAGAGCAGACAAAGCTGCTATTTTGAAGATGTAATTATTTCTCCAGAAAAAAACAAGACAATAATAGAAGGGAGAAGACTACTTAGAAAGTCTCCTATGCACAAAGTCATCAAACTAAAACAAATAGATTTCCCCTATGCCAGAAAGAAATAACTAGAAAATGTAAAAGGAAAACGAGTTCCTGTTTACAAATACAATTTTAAAATGCCTAGCACTAAAGTGACCCAATAAGGACTCAAGTTCAAAAAATTATAAATAAGTGGAGAGATATACCATGTTTCTAGCTGGGATCATTAAGAATTTTTAAAAATGTAAATTCTTGTTAGATTTATCTATTCATTTAGTGTCTCTCAGTTGAATCCCAGCAAGACAGGTTACAGAACACTACCTAGAAGATCATAGCAACTAAAACAGTTCAGTATTGAAACAAGAATAAAAAATATAACCATGGATTAGAACATGGGTCACCTATACAAATTTATATGTAAGAGAGAATTTAGTACACTCATTCCCTTTTATCCACAGCAGATGCTTCCAAGATCCCCAGCGGATGCCTGAAACTGCAGATAGTACCAAACTCTGTATATACTATGTTTTCCCCCATCTATACATAAATTAGGCATAATAAGAGATTAAAAATAATATTTAATAATAAAGTAGAACAACTATAACAATATACTGTAATAAAAGTTATGTAAATGTGGTCTCTTTCTCTCTCTCAAAAGATTGAACTGTAGATATTAGCAACCTTAGCATGTGATTTTTTTTTTCTTTCAGGAAATTTCACATTTTCACTTAAAGGAAGCACTTGACGGCTTCTCTTTGGCATATCTGAATGGCCAGCATCAATCCTCATGTGCTTTGGGGCCTTTATTGACTAAAATCAGGGTTCTCTGAACACAAGCACTGAGATACCATGACAGCCGATCTGATTACCAGGATGGCTACTCAGTGACTCATGGACTGGTGGTGTCCACATTGTGGATACGCTGGATAAAGGGACAGTTCGCATCCTGGGCGGGATGGAGAGGGACAGCGTGAGATTTCATCACACTACTCAGAACAGCAAGTAACTTAAAACTCATGAATTGTTTATTTCTGGAATTTTCCATTTAATGTTTTTGGACCATGGTTGACTATGACTAAATGAAACCTCAGAAAGTGAAACCGTGGATAAAGAAGGACTACTATAGTTAATAATAGCATAAAGATATCAAATATCTATGAAGAAATCTAGCAGAAGTACAAGACCTTCAGAGAGAAAAATACATTTTAATAGAAAACATTTCTAAACTAATCATATACGTGAGCCATATTCATGAGAATGGAAGGCATAATATTGTAAATATGTCGGCTCTCTTCAAATTGATCTATAGAGTCAGTGCAATTTCACACAAAATGCCAAGATTTTGACAGGCTAATTTGGGAACCCAAAGTTTAAGACATTTTGGAGGAAGAGGAAGAGATTTTGCCTCGTCAGATGTCAAGAGTTCCTGGAAAGCCTCCATCGCTACGGCAGTGTGGTACTGGCATAAGAAGAGGCTCTTACAGGCCAGGGGCAGAGAAGAGAGAACACAGAAACACACCCTGCCTCTATGGCCACCTGGTTCACAATAAGTGGGGAAAAGGGTAAGATAATTAATGGTGTCCTCAGAAAAATTGATAAGAATAAAAACAGAGTCTTCAAACTGTAGCTCAGATGAAAAACAATTTGGTCTCTCTCAGATAAAATAGGAACCTTGAAAAAAACCATGACTCTCCCAGATTACAACAGAGCAAATGGGATATTTAGGGTGAGCTGCCCTGGTCGAGCCTGCCCAGATGGGTTGTAAAGCCACAGCAGGCACATGGAACACAAGATCAGATAGAATCAGTCTGGAAGAATATCTCAGAGACGATAATAATATCCCAAAGTTCTTAACATTGCACAAAAACCTAAAAAAGAAAAACCATGAAGATTGAACGAGAAATGAACAAAATGTGGAATACAGGGGAGCTTGCAGAGCTATAGAAACAAATTAAGATCCCTCCTCAAAAATAAACACGATCAATTTTTTTAAATTGGAAATTACAAGAAACAAGAAATCTACTGAAAGCTAGATGTATTAATCTGTTTTGACACTGCTATAAAGGAATACCCCAGACTGGGTAATTTATAAACGAAAGAGGTTTAATTGGCACACAGTTCTGCATGGCTGGGGAGGCCTCAGGAAACTTAAAATCATGGCAGAAGGTGAAGGAGAAGCAAGTGTCTTCTTCACAAGATGGCAAGAGAGAGAGCACAAGGGAAGCTATCATTTACAAAACCATCAGATCTTGGGAGAATTCACTCACTGTCATGAGAATAGCATGGGAGAAGCTGCCCCCATGATCCAATCACCTCCCACCAGGTCCCTCTCTCAACACCTGGAAATTACAATTCTGATTACAATTCAAGATGAGATTTGGGTGGAGACACAGAGCCAAACCATATCACTAGATAATTGTCATGGAGGAAAAGTTTGAGACAACTATTGTGAACTCAAAGTAAAAAACTGAAAAGATGAAAGGACCACGGGGAAGATAAAAGCTGTGAAGGCTGAAGTTGCTCCAATGTAAGAATAATTTTGCCTAAAAATTGAAAAAGAAAATGTCAGAGATTTTAGAGAAGGAACTTTTCCTGGAACAAAGGCAGAATCAAATCTGCCACCTTAACAGAAGAACGACTTTAAAAACTGGCCGTGCTCACAGAGTGCCTCAGCAACTCTCTGCATCACTATTTATAATGAGGGTGCATCTGTCTTATAAAATCTATGTCGTAAGATGTTTATACATGAAATTTTAAGCTGTTAATAAGATAAAAGTCACCATATACAAATGTAAGGGACAAGAAAAGTATATTTATACTTTGCAGAATATTTAGTGAACTCTCCCATATCATGAAAAAAAGACAAACACCTCAACTGAATCACATTGGCAAAAAATAAACAAAAAAATTATGGAAGAGGAAATTTCAGTGGCCAAGAAACATGAAAAGCTGTTCAGCTTTCCACATTATCAGGAAAATACAAATTAAAACAAATTGTAATTCTTCATCACCTTTGCAGACTTTGGCTGTGTGCAGGAAGATGGTTCATCTCATTTGCTACTTGTGAAACACCTCCGTTCAGCCCCCTAAAAAGACAATTTGGCAGGATCTATAAACAAGTAAATAACAGCACCCTTTGCTTCAACAATTCCACTTTTTAAGGTTTAGGCACAAGAGAAATACTTGCATATGTGCAAAAAAAAGAGAAATATATAATCATTATTATAGCTTATTGATAAACGTGAACAATTTAAAACAATCTAAATGTCCTTCAATTGGAGAATGGTTAAAAAATTATGCTATGTAAATTCTATGGAATAGTATATGTAAAAAGAGTGAGGTAGATCTATATGCATTAAGGTGAAAAGATCTCTAAGATTTCCACCATTAAAATGAGTAGAAATGCAAAATGCAGAATAGCACGCACAATGTAATTCCATTTATTACAAAACGAGAACACAAATTATATGTTTACAAAAACATACTTCATACACGTAAATGCATCGAAAAATATGAGAAAAGTTATGCCGAAGACTCTTCACAAGACTGTGAAAGGAAGCTACAAGGCGAAGTGAGTGGTGAAGAAGACTTTTTCGTTTATACACTTCTCCACTGTTTGAAATTTTATGAGTAAGAATGTAATGTATTTCTTTTGTATTAAAAAATTTAAAAGATTAAAATCGCTTGAACCCAGGAGACAGAGGTTGCAGTGAGCCGGGATTGTGCCACTGCACTCCAGCCTGGTTGACAGAGTGAGACCCTGTCTCAAAAAAATGAAATAAAATAAAAAGATTACGTAATGTTATTTATAAACTCGTTACTAGAGAAAAGATAGGATTTCCATCTCTTTTCTGGTCAGAGGCATCCCCCATCTTGGGACAGGAAATTGAAGTAAAAATAAAAATATTTAGCTTTCTGCCATCCTGGGCCTTTTTCTTCTTTTTCCTTCTTTGGATCAAGGTCAATTGTATCAGAACTCACACCCTGAGTCAGTCAAGGAAATAGCCCCAAAGCTGACTGAGGCCCCTTGCCAAGACAGGTGAAACCACAGTTTCCAATGTTTAAAAGTAAGCCAGCTGTTTACCCTGGAGTGTCTATTTCCAAACTACCTTCTTTGACATGACATATGTGAAGGTAGAGAGGGCAGAGGGATGTGAAAGGGTTGGGAGATCATGAGGAAATGTTTGTTGAAACACAAACATATAATTTGTGTTCCTCATTCTCATGAGGAAATAATAACTCTCAGTCACAAATGACTGAAACGACTGTTCAGAGTGTCCCCGCCAGCTGAGCAGTAGTTTCAAAACAAGAAAAGTCATCTGTGTTATGGCAAGCTGGACTCACACAAACAGCTGTCCTGCTGCAGTTGTAAAAATCTGATTTCCTTATTACATTCTCTTTTATTCCATTATATTACACTACCTACCTATGTTCTTGCAAAGCAGGACTAAACTGAAGCTTTAGACAGAAACTGAACTACAGGCATGAAAGCTCCAATACTGCCAGAGATAAAGGTGAAAGGAAGAGAGATAAAGACTCACCTGGTGCTCAGGTCGCTGCCCCCACCTGCCATCGTCCCACCCTAGGCCCTGCCTGGGTGTCAGAGCCTGGCCTATGAGCTCCCCAGTCGGCCCAGCCTGCGTGCAGTGTGGCTGCCCTGACCCGGAGCAGGAAGTCGGCCGACAGACTGACTCACCCTCACAGATTTCTGCCCAAATGGGGAAAAGAAAAGTGAAAGTATTTATTTAACTTCCTGCTGGGATACAGACACCGTGTTTCTCCTCCTTTTTCACTCCAAGGGGTTCTCAGCTTTTCTGAAATGTGGCAGACGGTTGGAGGAGAGGCCTGACAAGCAGCAAGACCTGCAGGACCAGGGAAAGGAGGGCCCAGAGGACGAGCAGGGCTGGCTTCCGGGAGTCCACTTGCTTGTGCAATGGACAGCAAAAAAAAAAAAAATGTCCTTGAACCAAAATAGTCCTTAGCTGCTCTGCCCTCTTAAGAGGGGGCATAGTTTACATGGGAGTTGGGGGGAAAACTCCATGTTTGCCCCTTCCCCTTGCTGAAATGGCTGGGGGTGAGAGTTGGAGGGTTGGAGGGAAAGCCAGAAACTTCAAATCTTCTCTCAGGCCCATGGGAGAGCATGGACTGGACTAAGGTAGGTCCTGACATGGGGACCCAGGGCTGGAGAGAACCAAAATGCTCAGCATTATAACCTGGGGAGAGTGTTCTTAGCCTTCCTGGAAATCAGCCAGAAGTAAGAGAGAACTCTCCACACCCCTGGGACCAGAGGCTGGAGCCAGCATGGTAAGAAAGGCAAACATTTTAAGGGGCAAGGGTTTAAGGAATCTTGACTATGGGGCCACCTTGGAACAGCCAGGGATGAAGAGAGCTTCGGAGAAGTCACTGGAATCTTGAGAGAACAAAAGCTTCTCATTGGAGGAGGATGGAGGTTGGAACCCAGATGATCTAGACATGGAAGGGCAGGGTGGCTCCCGCGGGAGGTTCTATCTCTTCCCAGATTTTCCATTTAGATTCTGATTCAACATTCCTCAGAGAACAAGAAGCGACCGAGAAGACTCGCTTTACATCAGTATAAAGTCATAGGTAAAGAAATAGAAGCAAAGGGCGCATGAGAATGGGGCCACAGGACACAACCAGGGACCAGAACTCCAGGCTGGACCATGGGGCAGAGACAGGGAGGCAGCTGGGAGCCTGGGGGCGCTGGAATCCAGGGCCCAAGGTGAGCAGAGGGTGGAAGCTGGTGAGGATTCAGGGGCCAGAGGGGATGGTGCTCCAGAGCCATGTTTTCCAAATTACATTCTGCTGAATCCAACTTTTTCCAGCCCCCACCCCCAGCCATCTCAGCAAGGGGAAGGGGCAAACATGGAGTCCTCCCCCAACTCCCATGTAAACTATGCCCCATCTTAGAGGGCAGAGCAGCTAAGGACAATTTTGGTTCAAGGACTTTTTTTTTTTTTGCTGTTTATTGCACAATAGTTGGAAGCTGTGAATGCTTGTTCAGGTACATTTGAAAATACGAGGGTGGGGGGTTTCTACCCTGATTCTACTGGTGCCCTGCTTTCCCCAAAATGAGTTAATAAGCAGGTGCCAAGACACTGGTGAGGACAGCTTTTCCAGTGGGCGAGGTCACTGTTTCTATCAGGTACTGCACACCTGTAGGTCTCTCTCTCTCTTTCTCTTGCTCGCTCCCCCATGACTCCCCAGTTTTATGGAGGCACAGTGGCTGGTAAGCTGAGCATCTGTTGGGCACAGTTGTCCTCTGATCCCAGTCTCCATGGAGCACAGCAGCACTGACAAGGCCTGGCGCGGACCACACCAGTCGGCTCTGGCGTCTGCACTCACCCCTCTCACTGCTCTTGGGCAGCAAGCAGGCCCAGGCCACTGAGTGGCACTGACATATGTACCAGCTTTTCTCTGGGTGTGCTTAGGGGCTGGAATTCCAGACCAATGAGCTGGCTGGAAATCTGCAAGTGTTGACCTTTACAGGTGGACATGCCCTTGCTAGGGCAGCTCCTGACAGCAGGGAAGGAGATGTTCTTGTCAGACAGGGTTGGAAAAAGCTGAGCACACACCACACTCTGCAAAAGCAATGCCAGTTAATGGAGAATCTCTAGGCTTCTGTGGGAAAAGCAAAGTTTCTTTGATCTGGAATACATCAGACACACCTGGGTTGGGAAAGGGACAGGACCAAATTAAGAAGTAGTATGAAGTTCTAAAAATCCTGCTGGATTGTTTAGAAGGAAATAATGGAACTCCTGGAGCATTTTCTATGGCTGCAAGGAGTACAGGCAACAGGGAATGTTTTTGCTGTCACAGAAGTAGTTCCAGTTACTGGAGCCTGGAAAACTCAGAAGCAGGAGAGGCAGTGATTGAGGAAGAACCACAGGCAGGGCACCCATCCAGGTGATGGGCCTTCGTGAGCTTCACCAAAAGCAGCTTCAGTTCAGACTTCAGTGGCGAGGGGTGGGGAGGGGCTGTGATTCTTGAACCTGGGACCCCCATGTGGGAACCCAGAGGTCTATCCCTGAGATGAGGTCATTGGCGTTATGGACCAGAGAGTTTCAGGGCAGGAGGCAGCTGCAGCAACAGTGCCACTGGGGCATGAGAATAGAGAACCTGGCCAGCCTCCAAGGGACGTAGAAGTGACGAGTGAAGAGTAGGCGCCTGGGATCTTTAGTGGGAGCAGCCAGTCCTGCCAAACTGTCTCCTTCTAGGAGGTGGAACATCAATCAATCAAGGCTTGGTCCCCACCCATCTTCTAGGGGACTCTTCTCTTCTAGGGGACTCTTCTCTAGGAGTGGGAGTGAGCCTGCTCCTTGCTGGGTGTCCCTGGAGTCATCCTGCCTGCAGAGACCAAGACTCTGTTGGCCCCTCCAAGCTCAAGTGCACAAGGACAGGGGCCTGCATGGCATGAGGGAGGGTTCGATGCCATGGGGATAAGCCAGTTCTGGGGTTTAGTGTTAGGGGTCCCTTTACTGCCACATGTCTAAGCCACATTCCTAATCCAGTTCTTATCAGGAATAAAGCTGGTATTTTGATCCCCATCTGTTTCTTCATTTTGCCTATATCTTAAAGATTTCAAGCACATGGGTACACATCTCTCTTCTCAGGTTCTCTTCTATCTGTGCCCCAGATGGGTAGAGGCTGGGATCATAGTTCCTTGCAACTGCATGATTGTGATGCAATTATCCCCTGGGCTCAGCGGGCATTTGGTGGCAATATTTCAGCTTTTAGGAAGTTGGGTGAGACCAGGCTGGTCTGATCCTCCCTGGCCCACTCACCAGGGTCCCCTGCTCAGCACAGCCTCAGTGACTGGGCTCCCAAACCTGCAACACTGTAAGATGCCAGTGGGATTGTTGGAGGTGGAAATGTAATTATTGCTGTTGGAAGGGGGTGAATCGTTGGAAAATGGGCGAATGGGAAGAAGTACCCTGGCGCGGAGGAAGAGGCTATGGGTGAAGGATTGTAGGGAGTCAGAAAGACAAGGGGAGCATTGAACAACACAGGAAGTCCCTCCGGCCACCTTCTGAAGGTGGGGACCATTCATGAGAAACCCCGAGGATGCCCTCAGTCCTTGTGCAGCACCAGGAGGAAAGAGACTGGCCCAGGGCCACCCCTGAGTCCGCATCATCACACAGGGTCCTTCAGCTGAGCCCCTGTTGTATCTGCAGCTGGACATGCACAGATCCCTGTCCCATGGTGCTGACGAGCACCACAGGCTCCTGGTGGCCCATGGAAGCCACCTCATGCCTCCTTCCCAAGGCCATCCAGCCAGCAAGGCCTGCCACAGACACACTGTGAGCATGCGCAGCGAGCAAGGGGCCAGTGACCGCCATTCCCCATGTCAGCCTCCCGTGTTCCCGTCCAAGCGGCCACCCCGTGCTCCTCCAGGCTCCGCCCCCAACTGGGCCTGCACCCCCTCTCCTGGCGACGCAGGGCACTGCAGCCTCCTAAGGGCTGGGTGGAAATAAAGCTGAAAATCGTCCTCTACTGGGGATTATAGCTCACCAAACACTTCGAAATGTGTGGTAGAAGTGCCATAGTTCCTTCTAAATAAAGTCGAACCCATGTAAGGACTGGATTCTGAGATCATTTTGCCATCCAGCAGCTCACGAGCATCACCAGGGCACCGCCTGCCCTCTGTTCAGCCCGTGAGGGGCGGGGGACTCTGCCCTTCACTTCTCCTGGTCCCTGTCCTCTTCCCTGAGAACTTCTTTCCTTCTGGAACCCCAAGGTGGCCCTGCCTTCTGGACCTCCCCCAAGGCTGAAGCCCTCAAGCTTGCCCCGCACCTTGAGGCCCTGCAGGACACTCCTGCAGTCCTTGCAGGGCACGCTGATGTGACTCGATGCTGAGCAGTTGAAAACATTCAAAAATAGTGGGCAAATGGCAAAAGCGGGTGGTATGGAGTGAATTAGAAGACATGAGGTTTCATGTAGTGCGTTTCATCCAGACAAGTGTGGCAATGTCCCCCACCCCAAACCCAGTCTCCCTGAATGAGGGGAAAGAGCTTCACCTTCCTTTACCCTCAGGGTGTAAGAGTTAAAGAAAGGGGAAAGAAACATGAAAAGTGGCTCAACAGTTAAAGACAGGTTTATTTTGGAGAATAAACCTGAGAGGGGATTCTGGTCAGTTTTGGTCAGGAGCATTTTCTCTTACTGACTAAGGGTATCTAAGGGTTTAGGAAGTGGGGAGCTTATAGCAGGCTGGGAATGTTTCCATGTGAGAGAAGGTTTATTGTGGGGTTGGAATGTCTCTGGTGGGAGGGGAGGTTGTCTCAGGGTTGGCATGTTTCTGGTTGGAGGGGGGTGGCTTATCTTAGGGTTGGAATGTTTCTGGTTATGCTGACATTAGCCATTAGGCTGATGTTTTTGGGCTGGATTTAGGGGGCTTTTTAATTAAGGTGAACTTAAAATTGTGGTGTTTGTCCAAGATGATGGTGCTCCTGCTCTGTCACAGGGCTCCTCTGAGTCTTAGCTTCCCTTTGAGCCCCAACTGCTGGACTGAAAAAGAACGACTCTCTACAGGTTCACCACGTTTCACATTCTGGAGATTCCTGATGGCATCTTCCTGTGTTCACCAGTGGGTCCCCATTAGCACAAATATCAGCTATCATCGGATATTTGGAACCAGGCAGCTCCATGTTGGATGTACCCCACAAGGGTGGAACTAAGGCTGTGGGGTCAAACCTGCCCTCAGAAAGGTGGAGGAATGTCTTCTGAGCTGTGGTGGGACTGAGGTCTCCTTGTGAGCTTCAGGGTCCCAACAATGCTGGGCTGGGCACCACCAGGAGTGGAGAGAACCTGGAGGCTGGGGCTGGAGGCAGCAAAGGCTTCAACGAAATGTGCAGCCTTTTAACAAGTCCTCACTCCTAATATTTCTGCAAACCTCCATGTGTCTACTAGTTTCAGCACAGTGAGCTGGAATGGAATGGTCCCTGGACTATCCTAGATCTTAGGACTGCCAGGTGATGCATGTGTGGTGAGAGAAGGAGAGTACCTCGTGGACCATCCAGATGGTGTCCACCAGCACCTCATGGGCAGCAACTTTCATTTCTTTGGGCTGGAAAGTGGGTGCTCCTATGAAGAACAGGGTACCTGGCAAGGACCTCAGTGTTGCTGAACAAAGGAAGAGTGGGGTGGAAAGTGTAGCTTCATGAAGATTTAGAGATTATGAGACAGGAAGTACAGTTCTAGCAAAGGCCAATGCCCATCTGCCAACCATGGTCTGGAGGAGATGTGCAGGGAAGGGGTGGAGTCTGCCTTTCCACAGGTGCTCCTCCTGGAAATGTGGGTGGGAAACAGCTGACTGGACCACTAGGGGGGGTTCTCCCAGGGCACCTGTGCCTAGCAAGGGCTGAGAAAACCCTGTTTTGAGGATGAGGTGGGTCTTTTTAGCCTGTCAGTCATAACAGATCTGGTCTAGGAGAAATCCAAAATAAAGTCTAATGAGCTCTCACCAGGGCCAAGCGGTGGGAGCTTGGTGGGACAGCCCTGTGCATTTCTCATAACTGGTGCACGTGCTTTTCATGGGTACAAATGCTGTGCCCAGGGAACAGGTTGGCATCATATAGGGCCCCAGCCCACTAGCACAGGACCACCTGGTCTGGCCAGGCCATGAAATGGCCCTGGGAACCAGGCTTTGCTGGGAATCTTGTGTCTCACCTTGGGATGAGGTTGTCAGGGCCAGGTGGGCTGTAAAACTGTCAAGTGGAACAAGTTTTGGGGAGCAGGTGGCCTCCAGGGCCTTCTGGTCCAATGTCTTTCTGGACAACATACTGACACAGTTGTGCTGATTCCCACAACAATGACATTGAAGTTGAAAACTCATCCATCTCAAAGATCAGATGGTTGTAGATGTGTGGTATTATTTCTGGGCTCTGTTCTGTTCCATTGGTCTATATCTCTGTTTTGGTACCAGTATCATGCTGTTTTGGTTACTGTAGCCTTGTAATATAGTTTGAAGTCAGGTAGCGTGATACCTCCAGCTTTGTTCTTTTGGCTTAGGATTGTCTTGGCAATGTGGGCTCTTTTTTGGTTCCATATGAACTTTAGTTTTTTCCACCCACAGGATTATAAATCATGCTGCTATAAAGACACATGCACATGTATGTTTATTGCGGCACTATTCACAATAGCAAAGACTTGGAACCAACCCAAATGTCCAACAATGATAGACTGGATTAAGAAAATATGGCACATATACACCATGGAATACTATGCAGCCATAAAAAAGGATGAGTTCATGTCCTTTGTAGGGACATAGCTGAAGCTGGAAACCATCATTCTGAGCAAACTATCGCAAGGACAGAAAACCAAACACCACATGTTCTCACTCATAGGTGGGAATTGAACAATGGGAACATTTGGACACAGGGTGGGGAACATCACACACTGGGCGGGGCCTATCATGGGGTGGGGGGAGTGGGGAGGGATAGCATTACGAGATATACCTAATGTAAATGACGAGTTAATGGGTGCAGCACACCAACCTGGCACATGTATACATACGTAACAAACCTGCACATTGTGCACATGTACCCTAGAACTTAAAGTATAATAATAATAAAAAAAAGAAAACTCATCCATCTCATCTGCTACTGATCCATTTTCTTGATGTATAGGGGAATAAAGGGTAAGTTCCCTGACAGATCCACTTATGCAGCTACTAGCCAGTTGAGAATGGCCAGTGGACTCAGTCTAGTAGGTGACACCCTCCTTTCCAGAGAGAATTGGAGACCCCTCTGCACTCCCAACACATACCATCTATGGCCTATTACACCCTCTCTCATGAATAATTCTAGAGGATGTTCAGCCCATTGAATGTGGAGCTATGGAAGTGAGGG
Organism: Homo sapiens; assembly: GCF_000001405.40. Lineage (NCBI taxonomy): Eukaryota > Metazoa > Chordata > Mammalia > Primates > Hominidae > Homo > Homo sapiens. Next base: position 230,319,978 of record NC_000002.12, on the reverse strand, counting down.
GCTCGCATTTATCTCAGAGCCTGGATTCCAGGCTCAGCTGTGATGACAATAATGGTATTCTTGAGCTGTGCTTGTAAGAATTTGGAATTGGAAATTGGGTCCTTCCCCACTGGGGAGCATGAGGAAGTGGGGCTGGGATTTACCATTTATCATTCAGACAATGGCACAATGCAGGAACCCAGGAGTTATTTCTTGTATTTCCTGAATAAGCACAAAACAAAAAGCACCAGCCAGCTCCTGTACAGCACTCTGGGCCACATGTACTGACACAGATGTTACAAAACCATCTAAGAGCAGACATGTCCACTGGCATGCAGAGTGCACCAGCCATGGGCACAATCCCATTCTGTGAGACTCAGAGGAGTGAACACAGACACCAGAGAGAGAGCCAGAAGTGGTGGCTACATCATTATATGGCCAAGACTCGAGGTCCTGAGATCTCAAGGCTGAGGTCCTGCATCCTCCTCCCCACCCAGACTCAGGCAACTGTGGATGAACCCTCTGGAGGATGAGGTGAACAGGAGATGGAAAGTGGTCCTACCCACCTTTCTGGCAGCTCTGGCAGGATGCGGTTAAATATGTAACCACATGTCTCAGTAGAGAAGTAACCCCCTTCCCTGAACAGGCCACACCCTAGTTTCCTGCTTAATGCTGGCGGGGCCACACTATACAACTCTAGAGTGTGCTGTCCTTGTGTGAACTGGTGTAGACTCTTTCAGTCACACACAAATGGAGTTCGGCGGAAAATGTGAATGAAGATTTCAGGAGAGCAATATCTCGGTGTTGATGTAAGGTAGTAAGAGGTGGTTTCATGTCAGATGAAAAATTCCAGCCCAGAGGAATCTGAACAGAAGTGATAGCAGAAGGTGGGAAGGCACCTGGTTAGTCACATTGACCTGCAGCACCCAGTGTCCAGTCTGCATCTAGAGTGACTACATTGGCAGCTAATTGCTAACTCTAGCTTGGATCAGAACAGGAAGAGCTTTTGTTCTGGCAGGTGATTTCTGTGTTTAGGTTCAAGCCACACTCTAGTTCTTGTCTGCAGTGGGCAAAGCTCTGCTCTATGTTCAGACTGATTTCACTTCACTCCAGGCATCAGCCAGAGACTTGGGAAGGGTCATACACATTATCTGAGTTCTTTTCTGTGGCTTTTTGCCTTCTGGGATTTTCCCTTCATTCCTTAGAAAGCCTGGTTGCTCTGGGCTCTTCCCCATGGCTTGGCCAACCACAAAGAAGGTAGGCTTTCTATCAAAGCTTTGGTTGTGCCACACAAAACTGTTGTTGCTCTCAGGGACAGGCAATAAAAAACAGGAAGTGTCTCTTCGAGTTTCATTTACCTTACAGAGGCCTCAAGCCATTGTTTTTTGACTACCGTCCAGAGTTTCTAGCTGTCCTCTGCAAGAGGACTTGATGCTCAGGAGTTTCCTCCTAAATATCAGAAGCAGAACTCCCTGCTCCTCACTCCTAAGCAATGACCCAGCCCTACCCCCCTCCCACACTCAGGCCTGCTCCTGGGGGCACCAGAAGTTCTAGAGAGACTCCCCCAGGCCCACTGCCCACCCAAGAGAAGAGACACCACTAAACATAGCATCAAACAGGAAGCGCACCTTCGTTATGAGATATACAACTCAGGACTACGCATACTCTGTACTTTTGCGCTCACAGGAGTTGACTTATTTCAGTAAACAAAATAAGAAAACAAATAATACCCCTGGAGAAAAGGCATGGGCATTCTAGAATTTCACTGGAGTTAATTATAAATCATCTATATAGATGAGACATATCAGTTCTTGCAGAGGAGTCTAAGTGTATTTTTTGTCTTTGTTACAGAAGGAGATTGAGTGATGGTATCGAATCCTGTACTTGTTTCAGGGACTTACTGAAGCAGCCACCTCTTTCCAAGGGATTCAGGCCCTGTCCTTCCCTCTGCCTCCTTCCTGCTCTGACTTCCCTGAGCATCTAACTAGGGAATAAATGGCACCCTACTGGGCATATGTGAGAGTTTGATGTCGCAGGAAACAGTCATGACAACTTTAGTTCCTGGGCTCCAATTCCAGAGCTTTGTGAAGCCTCCCAGGGCCATCTACCCTTCTTCCTGGTGGAATGTGCTTCTCCCAGCTCAGCAGAGCAGGGTGTGTGCTGATGCCCAGGACTCACCATGATAGATTCCAGCTGAGAGGTCATTACCGAGAGCTCATGACCTCCCAGCTCAGGACAATTACAGCACCGGGTCCTGGCAGCTCCCAGGGACACAGCACACTCCCAGAGGGTAGGAACCCACCCAGGATCCAGCATCTCTTTGAATGCAGGTGTACTGGATTGACACCATGACAGGTATAGCTCCCATCCTTGTTCTTGGTTGTCCAGTGGTGTAAGGCAGACTGCCTTCCCTCTAGAACAGTGACCAACTCAGCCTTTGCCTCCGCAGCACAGGGCAATGGGGAAACAGTTACCTGGTCCCATGGACCCAAGGAACTTGGCAGCCCCCCAACTCTGCGGCCTCTCTGACTGGCCTGGAATTGCCCCTGTTCCTCCATCAGACAGCAGTGGTCCAGGCCTTGAGTGTCCCAGGTGGGTTCCCTTGGTCAGCTGTGATTTCCTTGGCTGTCCAGCCTCCTCCATCCCCCTTTCCTAACAGTCCCCAGTTCCTTTGGGTGAAGGAGCTCTCCCTTCTGGGTGCAGGAGTGAGGAGCTGTTCATCACAATGCTGGCCCGTGAGCAGGCCAGGCCAGCCAGACGCTGTGTGGTGGGAGTTGGACTCTTGAGTGAAGTATTGTGAGGAGTTTTTGTTTTTTGTGTTTTTTTAAAAAAAAATTAGTAAAATTATTAACATCCTTAAGGACACAGCTGCATCATTCCTGGCGCTCAATGCCTGGAACCACTCTGATTCCTGCCTTTTTCCAGGGCTATTTGCCAGCTCAGTACCCCTGCCTTCCAGCCCTTTCTGTGAGGCACTGTGTATTTCATCATCAAAGTCCCTTTTTGCCTAACCTAGATAAATTGGGTCTCTCTTGATGGCAAAGAGCCTGAATTGATACAAGGGTGTTTGTGTTCATCTTAGATTTGTTTATTTATTACTTATGTATTGCATGCAGGGCCAGAAACTTTCTAAGTGAATAATAAATATTAACTTATTAATCCTCACAATAATCCAGAGGGTTACCTCAATTTTACAGATGAAGCAGTGCAGGGGAAGGATGAATAGCTTGCCCAAGCACACACTGCCAGCAAGTAGACATGTGCAGGAGCTGGGCTTCTACCTACACGGGCTACATTCAGAGTCTGTGCTCTTAAATGCTAGCCTGTGCTGCCTCTCAGTACAAGTTAGTATTGCTTACAAGACCAAAAATCACTAACTAGCCAATAACAATTCAGTTTGGATGAAAAAAGGAAAGGTATGGCAAGGATGATGTAGAGCTGTATTTATTGATGTGACAATGTCCATTGTATGTTATTAAGTGAAAAAAGTTGATAAGCATTTTTTATTTATTAAGATGGTATACCCACTGCCTCCCTACTCCCTGTCTCCCAAACACACACACGTTACAAAGCCTAGAATCACATTCATCAGAATGTCAACCATGGTGATTCTCCTAACCTGAGGAGGCCCATCAAGCTCTGAGTTTCTTCGTGGTAGGAGGTATGAGCTGCAATAGCTTGGAGCTTTGGAGGGGATACACTGACATGCTCCAGACCATTGAACCCCTGACAGCTTACCTATATGGCATATCTCTGAATCTTTGTAACGTTTCTCTCCCACCACCTGCAGTGTTTGTGATTTAGTAAGTCATTCAGAATAGTCTATATTTCTCACTTATCAGGCCCATGAACATACTGTCATCAATCCAGTGGACGAATGTAATGTATTCCAGAGTTTCCAGAAAGGCTATATTGTAACACGGAGCAGGATTCACATTGCCCTGGAGCAAGACCGTAAGGATATACTGTTGTCCAATCCTTGAGAATGTGAATTGCTTCTCAACCTACATCCTGCTGAATCCTTTAAAAGTGGCATTTCCATATTAATAGTTGCATATCACTTGCTAAGGCTGTGCTAACCCATTATAATAAAGATACCATATTTGACACAGCAACTATAATTGGGGCTACTCCTTGGTTAAGTTTTAGGAGCCATTTAGCAGCATGAACCACCAGGAGATACCAGAGGGCAGACTGCTGAATTAAAATGGAGGTGTAACTGGGGTAACAACCCCTGCCTCCTTCAGGTCTTTGTAGGTGGCACTAATCTCTATCACTCCCCAAGAATGTGATATTGCTTTTAACTTACTTGTTTTCACCATGAAACCTCAGTTTCAGAGGCTTCTGCTTGGCCTTCCCTAAGACAGTCATTGTTATTTCATAGTTTAGGAAAGCCCAGGTTAAGGAACCGGGTCAGCCAATTGCTACGTATTATGATGTATGCATGAATGTATATCCTGATTATACATTCAGGAAGAGGGGAAACGATTGCTGGGTGGCTCTGTGGATCCAGAGGGCCCATTGTGAGATGGACATTACCTGATCTCCACATACTCTAACAGGGGCTATGATAGGGCTTTGAGTCCCCAGGGATTAGCATCAACTCTGACATTGTACTCAACATCCCTTGAAAGATCTGTGTATTTTCCTTTCCCCGGCATGTGAGTTACTTGAATAAATGGCCATAGAGCCCTCCCGTGAAAACTTGAGGGAATCAGTGATGTGCACATTTACAAGGTTCTTCCTTATGAGAAACTGCCCTCATTTCCATCATGGGTTCTGGATTCCATTGAGAACTGGCTGAGGTTTGGAAGCTGGGCAAGGGGTCTAGACTTCACCTTTAGAGAGCTGACCTCAGCATTCTGCTCATTGATGTCCAATCTTTTTTGATTATATGTCTAAAGCAATATCCTTGTCAGCTGCCCATCTATCTTGCCTATAGGAACAGCATATCCATGCATGTCTGTCTTCATAGATACCTACAGGCCAGGCCTTCCAGCTGTCACTCTAACATTCATGCCCCTTAGGGAAATTACTTTATCTTGCCCTCACAGTTAAATGCTGCCTCTTGGCCTCTGTTATGCTGGAACTCTTTCATTTTACTCACTACTGGGGGATCCAGTTCTATAAAACATCCCTAGCATTATTCCAGCTTGCAGGGGGCAGCCACCATTGAGCTTCTCAAGGATGTGCTGCCCCCTCAGCAGTGCATTCCTTCTCCCTTTAGTTAGTGTCTGAGACACATTAGTAGTGTTCCCCTTAGGAGGAACTCAGTCACCTGATGGATGGATTCTCCAGTTGTAGAGTGCAGAGTCATTCTAGCACACCAACTTCTCTATCCTTGGGACCCACTTTTCCAGACTCTGCCACAGTAGTTCTGGTATCTCTGCTTCCACTTGATTTAATGTGTACCATGGCTTATACTAAGTCTCTAGGAGCCACCCAGGAGTATATCAGAATCATCACCTTTGGCCCATGCCAGGCTAGTTAAACTCTGTGGTAGCGAAGCTTGCCCTTTTGTCAATAATTCTCACGTATCTGGTTTCACATTTCACCCTTCCTGGACCAGGATCCACTCCCAGACACAATCTCCTTGCTCCTGCTGATGCACGCTGGCCAGTCCTACAGCTCCTTCGGAGGATAAACGCTCTCTTCACTTTGCCGCCCTGCCCATGACTGTTCACTTGCATTGTCCTGAGCGGTCTCTACACAGTCTTCCTTCTAGAAAAATCGGGAGTTGGGTGGGGGTGGTAGCTCATTCTTCCAACAAGGGGAAAGAGGATTTTTCTGTAGGCCCAGTGAGTTCAGGGGGCATCTGGAGTCAAAGTTCTCAGGTACCTCTATCTAGATAGCCCCATGCTGAGTTTCATGGCCTTGACATTGGCATAAGAGACCATCCTGAGCTTAGAATTCAGTCTTCTCTGAAGTTTGACTCTTTGTAAAATAAAGGCCTGTAATAGGCATTCCTTGCTGTCTGCCTTCCAGCTGCAGGTGTATGAGGGTCTCTTCTCCTTAGGCTGGTAACGACTAGATCTAAACCTGTCATTTACTCTTTTCAGGACATTAATGGCACTTAGCAATAGCCACCAAAACCCATACTTCTTATAGTTACTTTTCCTCACTTCTTAAATGCCAGACAATTGTACCAGCTATTTTACCTCTTGACCTGCAGCTCTTCCAATTTACTACAGGTGAAAATTTGGGCAACTGCTCAGTGATAGCACTTCTGGGGCTATCCATATTCTGCCCAGCACCATTGGGCTAGACAGTGATCCAACTCCAGAATCCTGTCCTCAGAGCTCGCTTCCTGGGGCCATTACCTTAGGTTGCATTCCCCAGAAGCACATTCTGGGATGAAGTCCCTTAAGCAAGAGATTGATGGTGAGGGTTCGCTCAGAAGGGAGTAGGGGAAGCAGCATCGTGTGGCCAAAAGCTAAACCAGGGTGTGGCCACAGCTGGAGACTAGCTCCAGCCTGATACCTGGGAACACAGAGTAGCCGCACACCATACCTTTGGTCCTGCTTTCAGGCAAGGGGGCTGGCCTCAGGCCACGGGGTGTCACTTCCAGGTGAAGCTGGTTCCACTTGACCCCGGGTAATATTCTGGGGACTACTGGCATTAATTAGCAGCCACCACTCAGCAGTTGGGGATGAAAAGACCTGGCCAGAAGAGGAGATGGTGCCAGGATGCCAACAGCTTTGCAGGGGAGTGAAAAATGGCTTCCCTCTACCCTGCTAGGTTCTTTGGTTGAGCTATGAATGAATTAAATTGACAAAAGCAGATAAACAGGAGGAAAAAAATTTTAATAACATATGTTTGCACAGGAGTCCCACAAAATATGAGACTCCGAGAAGAGTCAGATGATGGACACTCATGCACCACCGTGAGCTATCGAAAGAATGTGGGCTTAGGGCTTCTGCATGGAGGTGGCCACGGAAGTGGGAAAGTGAAGGCAAGAAGTGTGTCCTGAATAAAGCTTGGCTGGTTTTCAGACAAAAGGTCTTCTGGGTAATAAATGTTGTCTGGAGCAGCCCTCAGGAGAAGAGGTAAGAGCCTGTATGGGATGGTGTCGCTGCCAACATCCTTCCCTGTGATCCCACTTACTCTTCCCTGGCTGATGAGATACTTGGGGTTGTGATTCATGATGATTGAATTTCCTTTTGAGGATTTGTCTTTGGGCAGATGAAGGAGGCTCAGAGAAAAGCCCCTCCCTGCATGTGCTGTGCCCAAGTGACCTCATTTTGAAGTCAGTGGCAAACCAGCGGCATATTTTAGGGTGCCATTTGCTGAATGCTTTCAGCATCCACTAATCCAGTCAATTGTTCCCATTTGTTTCCTGAATAGCAAACACTTCCTTGAAATTCTTCTCAAACTCAGCCTCCAGTCTAAATCCCATTTGGCCAAAATCCTTGTACTGAAAAAATAATAAAGACAAAAACAATGCTCCTCATCATTAGCGTCATGAGACACCTTTCAACTGAGAATGATCAGGACTCTTGTCTTTAAAAAAAAAAGTACTGTAAGTCTACAATTTATAATGGCATATATTTTGGAGTACAAAGTAATGTTGTGATTTATGACTGCTATGTGGAATAATTAAATTGAACTAATTAACATATTCATCACCTCAAATAGTTATCATTTTTTTGTGGTGAGTACATTTGAAATTTACTTTCTTAACAATGTTGAAGTGTGAAATACACTATTATTAAGTAGAACACTTATCTTAAACACCCTAAGTTACATTAACCAGGTTAAACTTGAAAACTCATGCAGCTAAGAGTAACTTCCGTTTCTTACCAGCATGATCCTTTCTTATTAACAGGGCAGAAAAGTGAAATCATTTCCACAGCTGGGATTATTACTTCTTTGCCTTTGGTTGCTTATTTCAGTGGGTTAGAAAAGCAATCTAGGTTCTTTCAACAATTCAGATAGTGGAAGGGTATAAGGTAAGATCACTGATCTGTTCCTTTCTCTGTCACTTCTACTCCTTGCTGGCAATCCTTGTTGGGATATGGTCTATTCACATGCAAAGAATCTGGAGTTTGGGATTTCTGGGATTGGGAGCAGATAAGAAGCACAATACCACTTTAAGATGAAATTCTCTCCTCTTTATATGCTGCAGCAGGCAGGATTCAATTGCTCTCTCTGAGCTCCTGTCTCCTCTGGGGCAGGTGGGGGAGGAGCTCTCAGGGACCTGGGGTTCTGGTTGCAGGGACACCTTTTGATTCACTGTTTCTTTGCTAAGAAGAGCTTAAGTTCTGAACTGAAACCAATCAATCACTTCCAGAACCCTTGCTCGTGCAAGCTTATTACAGGATGAGGGAAACTAAATTTTTCTTGGCACCAGAAAATGAGGGGAAGGATGGAAAGAAATGAAATGGAAGCAGGAAGAGCCACCTACCTTGTAAGAGGCCCTGTGGTTCTGGAAGATGAGGCGCATGTCTTGTACAAACCCCTCCACTTGGGGGTAACCGTGCTCATTCAGCCTTTTCTTGATTTTATCCAACCACATGGGCTCCTTCAGGCCTTGACACGCCTCTCTAATCTGGTGACAAATATACCAATGGAAAAGCTACCAGCATAGTTCAGTGTCTACCTTCTGTGGATTCCCATAAAATCCAGCAGAAATACAACAAGGTGAAGGCAACTAACGACAGCGTGTGCTCTTGCCCCGTGGGATTAAGATCACAAATCTCACGAGGGCCCATTTCAGGGTCAGGTAATGTCATGGCAGCCTGTAATCATGGGTTGCTGTTGTTACTTACATAATAATAGTATGGAATCTTGGCAAAAAAGGAGCTCTCAGAACAGCAATAGACTTTCAAGAGGAGGAACTCACATTTCTGCAAAAGAAAGAGGCCGTAAATGAAAAGCAGCTTGGAGAGAATGAGCCCACATGCATGAGACACAGCACAGAACTCACACCCTTCTTCCTCAAGTTTCTCTAACATGTGTGGCTCTTGGAAACAGACATGTCATGGCTGAGTTATTTTTTGTGCAAACAAGGTGTGGTGTTCTATCAGTGCCATTGAAGTGTGGCGCGGAAGAGCAGGCTCCTTTCAGTACATTCCCCTGCCCTTGCGCTTGTTCATGGTTCTCACGTGTGAGGGGAAAGGAGAAGGCTTGGGGTTTGCATCTGATTTACCAACTGTTCCTCAGGACACATCTGCCTCTCCAGGACCTCAGATTCCTGACAACACTGTTGGCTTCCCGGAGACTCCTTCATCCTGCAGAAGATGCAATTCCACGGGGTCCTGAGAGATTGGACATGGGTGAGCAGAGGGCAGGGAGCTTGGAAATGGCCACCGTTCCTGTGGCTACCACTGTCTTCCTTCAGGAATGGCTGATGGGCTCAGTCATGGGAGGGAGGGGAACACCTCCCAAAGTATGCAAGATTCACACATGGGGTCTCCAGCCATTGGCCTTTCCCTCGCATCAGTGGTAGCAGCAGGCAGGAAGTCTGAGGAAGGTGGTGTCACCGTGAGTGTGGACTCTCCTTTCTCTGTCTGAGCTGCTGGGAGCACAGGGAACCCTGTCTGTCAGGCCTGAGTTTCAGAAACTGGGTTTTCAGCCCCAGGGACCTCGGGCCTCCAACAGCCCAATGAGATCGTGCTTCCTGTCTTGTATGAATAAGCACAAAATATAAACAACTGGTGTTTCTTGTCTCCAACCCACCCAGCTGCAAAACTTCAAGGAAAGGACAATGCCGGTATGTAGGCAAAGGTCCCCAACACTGCCCTCAGCATATCAGAGGAGGTGTCCCTGAGAGCACAGAGGACATTAACCTCCTGCTGCCAGCGTCTCCCACTGCTCTCTGGATCACACTGCTGGGTCCCAGTACCCGATGAACCTGCTCTTTCCCCATCTAGACACAAGCCGGCACTCTGCTGGAGAGTGCGCATGGCAGGTGGAAGATCCCTTAAAGGACAAAAAGAGAGACGCCTGCATGTCACTTACCTCTCAGCTTCCACAGGCGGGATGTGACAGTCCTCATGGAAGACTCTTGAACAAGTGTCGCAACAGAACAGCTCCCCTCCGTCCCGGCACACCTCACACTCATCCAGGTTTCTCATCTAGAAGATAAAACAGTGTCCACGTCACTGGGAACCGCAAGATTCAGGAAGGCCAACCCTCTGGGCAACTAGAACACACTGCCTTTGTGTGAACCTGCATGGACAGGCAAATGCTTCTCCCTGGGATATGAAGGAAAAACATGGCATGGAGATTTCAGAACAAATCCTGGTCTGCAGTGAAGTTCAGGAGGAAGGGGTATGGGTCAGAATTGAAAAGTCTTCCTTATGAAACCAGAGATTGTAATGAAGAAAGACTAGCAACAAAGCAAGATGATGATTTTATAGGAATCTGAATAATTTCCTTATTCTGCAGATAAAACCAGGTTTTGAAATGAAGTGTTAAATCAATTTGCCTATACCACAAATCAACTAGTGAAAAGGAGACCTAGCTAATTACATATGATGGAATAAGCTTCTGAGATATCACCACATCCCATATTCTTGGCCATAAGTTCCCCATGAGTTGAAGAGAGGGCCTAGTTAGGGATTCCTAGACTGTACGTTTTGTGCCTGGAGGGCTCTACGCCGACCTCTGAGGGGGAAGGACCGTGGGTGGAGATGACCAGGTGGGCCCCAGGAAGCACAGAGCTCTTCAGCTCTGGGAGCCTGGCATACATCCCCCTTGACTTAGCTAACTTGGATTGTAAGGTGCGAAGGTGCCATCTCTGATGACCAAGGACAATGGTAACAGCACCATACAGTGTTGAAGACAGAGGCCCTCACCTCATTTCCTGGGCCCATAAAAGAGCTGGTGCTTTGTTCTATAAAAGGAATGGTAAATCAACGAATTCTCCATTTCTTACAAGTCTCAATATGTGACACCTTTAGCCAGATTTAATTTCATTTGGGGAAATTAAAATATGATGGTATTTGCATCCACGTGTTGTGGAGCAAATCCCGGTCATTAAAAACCAACAGAATTTATAGAGCAAATATAGAGACCAATACATACATGCTGTATTGTAGACAAATACATGTGTATTTACAACAAAGAACCAGTCTGTGACTGAGCCCTTTGCCGTTCAAGTGAAAAGTGCTGTAAGGACTAAAATTAGAGTTCAATATTATGTGCAGCCTGGACATCTGGTAACACTGGGAGGGCCTAGAATGGTCTATCTACAAGTCCTCCGCCGGCTCTGCTGCTGCAGGTAAGGTTTCCTACCAACACTTCTGATCAAGAGGACCGCTTGCACCTTCTGCGTATTTTTGAATAGCTGATTTCATTTCCCTGCCAGCCATGGAATTATTCAAACAAGCCAATCACACTCTCCCTCTGGAAGCAGGGGACAGCCCGCCCTCCACAGCCACTGGCTGTTTCCTCTGTTCCTGAGCGCAGCCCCCATGTGGCCCTGCGTGGCGTGGGATGCCTGCCCACCCCCACCGGGCTACCGAGTAAATGTGACTAATACACTGCTGTCAATCTCATCTGTCCAGTGTCAGATGCTGTGTGTTCCACCATCTCCAAAACCCTAGGGAGGGAATGAAGTACCAAATGTTTAAGTATGTCGAATCCTTAATCTTTTTAAAAAATTATTATTTCAATAGTTTTGGGGGAACAGGTGGTTTTTGGTTACATGGATAATTTTTTTAGTGGTGGCTTTTGAGATTTTGGTGCACTCATCACAAGAGCAGTGTACGCTGTACCCAATGTGTAGTCTTTTATCCCTCACCCTCCTCCACCCTTCCCTCTCAGTCCCCAAGGCCCATTGTATCATTCTTATGCCTTTGCATCCTCATAGCTTAGCTCCAACTTATAAGTGAGAACACACGTTGTTTGGTTTTCCATTCCTGAGTTACTTCACTTAGAATAATGGTCTCCAACTCCATCCAGGTTGCTGTGAATGTCATTATTTCATTCCTTTTTATACCTGAGTAGTATTCCATGGTGTGTGTGTGTGTGTGTCTCTGTGTGTGTGTGTGTGTGTGTGTGTGTATATATATATATATATATATATATATATATATATACATGCATGTCCAAGTGTCTTTTTCATATAACTTTTTTTCCACTAGGTAGACACCCAGTAGTGTTACGGAATCCTTGGGGTATTGCTTTTTCTTGCCAGAAACCTCTGTAAGCAGTTGTGCCTTTGCCTGAGTTTTGCTCAGGCCCACTGGGCTCCTTCCACCCACTTGGCCTGGCAGGCTGCACTTGGCTCAGGCTACTGGCCTGGATCGCATACCTACCAAGGGCCTGCCATGGGGCAGGTCAGGCATGGAGTGGGAGAGGCGTGTGAGCAAGCATGGGGTCCAGCCACTGCATACAGTCAGACATGCCTGCTATTGCATAAGGGCAGGCAACTCCAGGTGCTGGCATGAGCACTGGCTCTCTGCAAGGCTGTGTCTGGACCAGGCACACTGCAAACAGCTTCCATGGCTGGCAACAGGGGATGTGCTGGCACCTAGAAGCTTGAAGATGCCAGGAACCTCAGAGCCTCCAAAAGGGAGTCACAGCCCTGGCTCAGGGAGCTTCCAGGTCTGGGCTCCCCAAAGGGCTGCAGCTCTTCTCTCCTTCTCTTCACCCACAATGCGGTGATCAAGGGGCATGTTTCAGCCCTGTTTGTGTTACAGCTCTTTTAGCCTCACCATTCAGCAGATCCCAAGTTCTTTTGTCCTGCAACCAGGAAGAATGAGGGACGCTGACAAATGGAGGGTGAGCAAGACGAAGAGGAGCTTTACCGAGCAGTAGAACAGCTCAGAGACCCACTGTGGGTAGCTCCTTTCTGCAGCCAATGTGTCCTGACGAGTGTTCAGCCCTCAGCAAAGAGGAGGAGGTCCTAGGGTGGGTGGCTTCTCTCTGCTGGCAGGTAGTCCCTGGAGTGTGAAGCTCTTCTCTGCTGCTGGTTGTCCAGGATGTTCTCTCCAAGTCTGACTGAGTCCAGAGCTTTTATGGGCTTCAGAGGGGAGGAAGTGTATGCTGATTGGTCCATGGGTTACCATGAGCAGGCCTTTGAAAGGCATTACAAGTTCCCACTCTGGTCCATAGGATTGGCAGCCCAGTTCCCAGCCTTCAGGCCCTCTCTTGCCTGAAGGTGGTGCCTCACCAGGGACCTGCCCCTTCCCACCCAGGAGCCTGTCTGCCTTTCCCCACCACCCATGGTGCCCAGGCCCCTTGCCCAAAGGGGCACCTGCAGGCCAGTGCTGAGCTGGCCCCAGCCCATTCTTGGCCTCTCTCCTATGATCGTCAGCACCCAAAATCCAGAGGGGTGCAGGCAGCAGGGGCCTGGTGTGTCAGCTCTGCCCCAAGCATGTGCACACCCAACAGGGCTGCAACTGCACCTGGGCTCAGCCCCAACCCTGCTCCAAGATTGCAGCAGGTGCTGGGAGCAGGGAATGGCCAGGCAGCAGAAGCTTCTGTTCTGGCAGGTGGAGGGTAGCCTCCTGGGCCCCCAAGAGCACTGGGAGGCCCAGGCCTACAGCTGCAACCTGGGCACCTGCAGTTGCGCATGGCGAGCTCCTGCCCTGCCAATTTGGGAGAGGCAGGGCTCCTGCTTGTCCTTGGCTCTGCAGAGTGGGGCGGCCTCAGCCATGCCCCCTCTCTGTGTCTCCTGCAGCAGTTGTGGATGAGGTGCAGGTGGCACAGTGCCCCAGCCAACCTCACACAAAGGAACCTGACACTCAGGGGCCAGTTCTGTGAGTCTCGGCTGCACCTTTGGCCAGGTGCTTGCAGGTTCCCAGGATGCAGTGGGGAAAGAGGTCCAGGCTGTGATAGAGGCTCTGGGCCTGAGAGCAGGTCCTGCCGGCTGTGTGAGGGTGAGGGTCCCTGCCTCAGGGACACAGGGCACAGGGACCCACTGCTGCCACTGCTGCTCCTCTGGCCGTTCCTGCTGCCCTGTCTGCCTCCTTGCAGCCTGGGTTGGTGGCTCCAGCCCTTGCCAGGCCCAGGCCAGCATCTGGTGCAGGGGTGATGTTGGCTCAAGTTCCTCCTGTGGCCCCAAGGCTCAGGGATGGCTTGGGGCACCCCCTCTCCTGGCTTGTGACCCTGCCTGGGGGAAACCTCCAGGACCGGATTGCCTCCCCAGTCTCAGCTGCTGAAAGCACCAGGCACAGCAGTCACTCTAACTCGGGGCAGATCCTAGGGACACGGCCTCTGGCGGCCCTTTGTTCAGCCTCCTGTGAGGGGCGGGAACCTGGCGCTGTGGGCAGGGTGGGTGCAGGGGCCGCATTGCTGGCTGGGTCCTGGAAGTGGGCGCCACTCCCACTTCCCACCCCGGCCCCTGAAGTGTGGCCACTGCTCCGCGTTCGGGCCCGACCCCCACGCTACGTGTGCAAGTGCCGAACCACCACTGGCCCAGCTCCATCTTGGGACCTCTCTCTGCTCACCCCTCCCTGCCTGACCACGCCCTACGGGCAGCTGGGCCTAGCCCCATTGCAGCGGCTCCCAGAGGAAGGCTCCCAGGGCAACTGGCTCTGGGGATCTCCTGCCTCTGTGTCTGCCCCCTAAGACCCACGGCCAGCGCCTGCACCTCACTGCAGCCAGCTTCATGGCAGCAGCCACTTCAGACTGCCTGCCGCTGCCGTCAGTAGTGGGATTGCTGGATGAAATGGTAGATCTACTTATACTTCTTTAAGGAACCTCTGTACTGTTTTCTGTAGTGGCTGTACTAGTTTACATTCCCACCAGAAGTGTAAAAGTGTTCCATTTTCACCACATCCATGCCAACACCTATTATTTTTTGATCTTTAAGTTATGGCCATTCTTGCAGGAGTAAGGTGGTATCGCATTGCGGTTTTGATTTGCATTTCCCTGATAATTAGTGATGCTGAGCATTTTTTCATGTTCGTTGGCCATTTGTATATCTTCTTTTGAGAATTGTCTATTCATGTCCTTAGCCCACTTTTTGATGGGATTATTTGATTTTTTCTTGCTGATTGCTTTGAGTTCCTTGTAGATTCTGGATATTAGTCCTCCGTCGGATGCATAGTTTGCAAATATTTTCTCCTACTCTGTGGGTTGTCTGTTTATTCTGTTATTTCTTTTGCTGTATAGAAGCCTTTTAGTTTAATTAAATCCCATCTATTTATCTTTGTTTTTCTTGCATTTGCTTTTGCGTTTTTGGTCCTGAACTCTTTGCCTAAGCCAATGCCTAGAAGAGTTTTTCCAATGTTATTTTCTAGAATTTATATGGTTTCAGGTCTTAGATTTAAGTCTTTGATCCATCTTTAGTTGATTTTTGTATAAGGTGAGAGATGAGGATTCAATTTCATTCTTCTAAATGTGGCTTGCCAATTATGCCAGTGCTATTGGTTGAATGGGGTGTCCTTTCCCCCTTTATGCTTTTGTTTGCTTTGTCAAAGGTTAGCTGGCTGCAAATATTTGGCTTTATTTCTGGGTCCTTTCTTCTGTTCCATTGGTCTATGTGTACTGGTATATTCTCATACCTGGACTATGTTGTTTGGGTGACTATAGCCTTGTAGTATAGTTTGAAGTCAGGTAATGTGATGCCTCCAAGTTTTTTCTTTGTGCTTAGTCTTGCTTTGGCTACATGAGCTCTTTTTTGGTTCTGTATGAATTTTAGAATTGTTTTTTCTAGTTCTGTGAAAAATGATCATGGTATTTTGATGGGAATTGCATTGACTTTCCAGATTGCTATTGGCCATATGATCATTTTCACAATATTGATTCTACCCATCCACGAGCATAGGACATGTTTCCATTTGTTTGTGTCATCTGTGATTTCTTTCAGCAGTGTTTTGTAGTTTTCCTTGTAGAGGTATTTCATCTCTGTGGTTAGGTACATTCCTAAGTATTTTATTTTTTTGCAGCTAGTGTAAAAGGGGTTGAGTTCTTGATTTGATTCTCAGCTTTGTCTCTGTTAGTATATAACAGTGCTATTGATTTGTATATATTGATTTTGTATCCTGAAGCTTTACTGAATTCATTTATCATATCTAGGAGGTTTTTGGATGAGTCCTTAGGGTTTTCTAGGTATACGATCATATTGGCGACCAGCAACAGTTTGACTTCCTCTTTACTGATTTGGATGCCCTTTATTTCCTTCTCTTGTCTGATTGCTCTGCCTAGGACTTCTAGTATCATGTAGAATAGAAGTGGTGAAAGTGGGCATCCTTGTCTTGTTCCAGGTCTCAGAGGGAATGCTTTCAACTTTTGCCATTTCAGTATTATGTTGGCTATGGGTTTGTCATAGATGGCTTTTATTACCTTAAGGTATGTCCCCTCTATGCCAATTTTGTGGAGGGTTTTAATTATAAAAGGTGCTGGATTTTGTCAAATGCTTTTGCTGTCTTTATTGAGATGATCATACAATTTTTGTTTTTAATTCTGATTATGTGGTATATCACATTTGTTGACATGAGCTATGCCCTTTCCTGGTTTTGGTATTAGGGTGATACTGGCTTCATAGAATGATTTAGGGAGGATGCCCTCTTTCTCTATGTTTTGGAATGGTTTCAGTAGGATTGATACCAATTCTTCTTTGAATGTCTGATAGAATTCAGCTGTGAATCAATCCATCTGGTCTTGGCCTTTCTAGTATTGGCAATTTTTTAATTACCATTTCAATCTCACTGCTTGTTACTGGTCTCTTCAGAATTTCTATTTCTGCCTGCTTTAATCTAGGAGGGTTGTATATTTCCAGGAATTTATCCATCCCCTCTAGGTTTTCTAGTTTGTGTGCATAAAGGTGTTCATAGTAGACTTAAGTGATCTTCTGTATTTCTGTGGTGTTGGTTGTAATATCTCCCATTTTGTTTCTAATTGGGCTTATTTGGATCTTCTCTAGTCTTTTCTTGGTTAATCTTGCTAATAGTGTATCAATTTTGTTTATCTTTTCAAATAACCAGCTTTTTGTTTCATATATCTTTTGTATTTTTTTTGTTTCAATTTCATTTAGTTCTTCTCTGATCTTTGTTATTTCTTTTCTTCTGCTGGGTTTGGGTTTGGTTTGTTCTTCTTTCTCTAGTTCCTTCAGGTGTGAACTTAGATTGTCTATTTGTGCTCTTTCAGACTTTTTGATGTAGGCATTCAATGCTATGAATTTTCCTCTTAGCATTGCTTTTCCTGTATCCCAGAGGTTTTGATAGCTTGTGTCATTATTGTCGTTCAGTTCAAAGGATTTTTTCATTTCCATCTTGATTTCATTGTGGACCCAATGATCATTCAGGAGAAGATTATTTAATTTCCATGTACGTGCCTGGTTTTGAGGGTTCCTTTTGGAGCTGATTTCCAATTTTATTCCACTGTGGTCTGAGAGAGTACTTGCTATAATTTCAATTTTCTTAAATTTGTTGAGACTTGTTATGTGGCCTATGATATGGTCTATCTTGGAGAATGTTCCAGGTACTGATGAAAAGAATGTATGTTCTGCAGTTGTTGGGTAGAATGTTCTGTAATATCTGTTAAGTCCATTTGTTCTAGTGTACAGTTTAAGTCCATTGTTTCTTGGTTGACTTTCTGTCTTGATGACCTGTCTAGTGCTGTCAGCAGAGTACTGAAGTCCCCCAGTATCATTCTGTTGCCATCTATCTCATTTCTTAGGTCTAGTAGAAATTGTTTTTGTTTTTGTTTCTGAGATGGAGTCTCACTCTGTTGCCCAGGCTGGAGTACAGTGGTGCAATCTTGGCTCAGTGCAAGCTCTGCCTCCTGGGTTCATGCCATTCTCCTGCCTCAGCTTCCTGAGTAGCTGGGAGTACAGGTGCCTGCCACCACGCCCAGCTAATTTTTTTTTTTTTTTGTATTTTTAGTAGAGATGGGGTTTCACTGCATTAGCCAGGATGGTCTTGATCTCCTGACCTTGTGATCCACCCACCTCGGCCTCCCAAAGTGAGTAATTGTTTTGTAAATTTGGGAACTCCACAGTTAGGTGCATATTTAGGATTGTGCTAGTTTCCTGTTGGACTAGTCCTTTTATCATTATATAAGGTCGCTCTTTGTCTTTTTTAACTGTTGTTGCTTTAAAGTCTGTTTTGTATGATGTAAGAATACCTACTCCTGCTCGCTTTTGGTGTCCATTTGCATGGCATATCTTTTTCTACCCCTTTACCTTAAGTTTATGTGAGTCCTTATGTGTTAGGTGAGTCTCTTGAAGACAGCAGGTGCCTGGTAAATTCCTATCCATTCTGCCATTCTGTATCTTTTAAGTGAAGAATTTAGGTCATTTACATTCAACATTAGTATTGAGATGTGAGGTACTATTCTATTCATCATGCTAGCTGTTGCCTGAATACCTTATTTTTTTCATTGTGTTATTTTTTAATAGGCCTGTGATATTTATGCTTTAGGGGGTTCTATTTTGGTATATTTTGATATATTGTTTTAAGATTTAGAACTCCTTTTAGCAGTTCTTGTAGCACTGGCTTGGTAGTGGTGAATTCTCTCAGCATTTGTTTGTCTGAAAAAGACTTTATCTTTCCTTCATTTATGAAGCTTAGTTTCTTGGATACAAAATTCTTGGCTGATAATTATTTTGTTTAAGGAGGCTAAAGATAGGATCCCAAAGCCTTCTAGCTTGTAGGGTTTCTGCTGAGAAGTCTGCTGTTAATCATTAGATAAGTTTTCCTTTGTAGTTTAGCTGATGTTTTTGCTTCATAGATTCTTTCCTTCATCTTAACTTTAGATAACCTGATGACTCTGCCTGAGTGATTATCTTTTTGTGATGAATTTTCCAGATGTTCTTTGAGCTTCTTGTATTTGGATGTCTAAATCTCTAGAAAGGCCAGCAACATTTTCTTTGATTATTCCCGCGAATATGTTTTCCAAACTTTTAGATTTCTTGCTGAGGAACACAAATTATTCTTAGGTTTGGTCATTTATCATAATCCTAAACTTCGTGGAGGCTTTGTTCATTTTTAAAAAGTTCTTTTTTCTTGTTGGATTGGGTTAATTCCAGAGCCTTGTCTTCGAGTTCTGTAGTTCATTCTTCTACTTGTTCTAGTCTATTGTTGAAACTTGCCAGTGTATTTTGTATTTCTCTAAGTATGTCTTTCACTTCCAGAAGTTGTGATTGATTTTTATTTATGATATCTATTTCTCTGGAGACTTTTTCATCCATATCCTGTATTATTATTTTAATTCCTTTAAGTTGGTTTACACCTTTATCTGGTGTCTCCTTGAGTAGCTGAATAATTGACCTTCTGAATTCTTTTTCTGGCAATTCAGAGATTTCTTCTTGGTTTGGATCCATTGCTGGTGAGCTAACGTGATCTTTTGGGGGTGTTATAGAACTTTGTTTTGTCATTATCAGAATTGTTTTTCTGGTTCCTTCTCACTTGGGTAGACTACGTTAGAGGAAAGATCTGAAACTCAAGAGCTGCTGTTCAGATTCTCTTGTTCCACAGGGTGATCCCTTAATGTGGTGTTCTCCCCCTTCCCCTAGGGATGGGCTTCCCGAGAGCCAAACTGCTGTGATTGTTATTGCTCTTCTGGGTCTAGCCACCCAGAAGAGCTACTGGGTTCTGGGCTGGTACTGGGGAGTATCTGCAAAGGGTCCTGTGATGTGATCTGTCTTCAGTTCTCCCAGTCATGGGTACCAGCACGTGCTCCAGTGGAGGTAGCAGGGGAGTGAAGTGGATTCTGTGAGAGTCCTTGATTGTAGTTTTGTTTAGTACACTGGTTTTCTCAAATGTTGGTTATGCTAGCAGTGAGGTTGTTACAGGGACAGACTCAGGATCTTTGGTTAGCCAGGATGTTACAGGCAGTATAATTAGTTGTTGTTTTCTCCTTCCTGGAGCAAGGTGGTTCTCGTATGAGTGTCTGTAATGACTTGAGTTGGCTGACCTTCGGCGAGGAGGTGGCACTTTCAAGAGACCATCAGCTGCAAGTAATATGAGGGGGATACAAGCTTGACCTAAGTTCACTGGATAAGTATTCGGTTTTCTCAGGTGATGGGTGAGGTCATAGAGCTCCCATGAGCCCCTGTCTTTTGTCTTCAGCTACAGGGGCAGGTAGAGAAAGACCATCAGCTGGGGGCAGGGTTAGGTGTGTCTGAGCTCAGATTCTCAGACAGGGCTTGCTGTGGCCACTGTGGGGGATGAGGGGTGGCTTGCAGGCCAATGGATTTATGTTCCAGAGGGGATTATGCCTGCCTCTGCTGCTTCATACAGTTCACCAGATAAGTAAGGGAAGCCGGCAGTGACAGGCTTCACCCAGCACCCAGGCAGCCAGCAAGGCCAGTCTCACTCCCGCTGTGGTGCCCAACAGCCAACAGAGCCAAATTTATATCCAGGCATCCTTTGCCTGGAGCTAAGATCTTGCCCCAGGAAGAAGCACCCCCATTGAGAAAGCAAGCAGGGCTTTCAGATCTCACCCCTCCCTGCCTGCCATGGCTTCTGCACTTATATCTGTACTTCAGGTTCACACCCCCAGATTCTGACCAGGAAAATTTGTGCTTGGTTAAAATTATTACAAAGTTCAGCTGGAAGCCTCCTTCTCCCCATGGCTCTCTGCAAATTGTACTGGCTGCCCTCCCCAAGGACTGTGAGATAAAGTCAGAAATGGCTTCCCTGGGGACTGAAATGCTTATAGGGATCCTTGGGGAAGGCACCTCTTCCTGCTGCTTATTCTACTTTTATATTTCACCCAGCTTTCTAAATTCATTTCAGCTCTAGGTTAGGTGAAATCCTTCTCCTGTGATCTGGATTTCCAGGTTCCCCAGTGAGGATATGTGTTCAGAGGTGGACTTTTTCCCTCTCACACTTTGAGGACTCACGGTTTTTTGGCTATCTCCCAGAGTTTGCGGTGGCAAGCCACTTCTTTTAAAGGGTGTGTGACTTCCTTCAGTTTTGCTGGTATATTCCTGCAGTGGTTCTTGGAGCAAAAGTTCACAGTGTGAGTCTCAACACGCTGTTCTGTCCATCTGAGTAGGAGGAGCAAGTTAGTCCTGCCTCCTATCTGCCATTTTGTTCTCCAAACCCATCTTTTCAAGAAGAGATTTGATTTCTCTGGTTCTTTGGTTGTTGGCCTGGCTGTACATTAGACTCCTCTCAGGAGAGTATATAAAATGCTAATGTCCTGAACCCAACACCAGAGATTCTGAATCACTGGGTCAGGGTTGAGGCACAGGCACTGGTATTCTTCTTTAGGTGACAGAATAGGCAATTCTATGTATCAGAATTAGTACATCTGGGGATCTTAAACAAATCCTAATGTTCCAGTCATACATAGTCCAGAATGATTAAATTATAATTTCCCCAGAAGTGGGATCCAGGAAACAATATTTTTTTAAAGCTCTTCAAGTGATTCCAGGCTGCAGGACAATATGAGATTCAACCTAAGCAAAGTCTGGTTATGGACGCATGGGGATATTATAAGTCAATGTTGTTACTGGCCTTGGAAAAATTATTAACAGGGGTGACCATACCTTTGCTGGAACTGTTTCCCTCTTCTCCCCACACATATCTGGCTGTGAGCTGTGAAACCTAAACCTCCATGCCTAGTCCATCCAAAATCAGCCACACAAACACTGACTTCCAGGGCTGTTTTAATTATTGAAAAGTCCCTCAGTTGGCCAGACATCAAAATCAGTGTGGAAAAGACCTAAATCTGATTGGAGGACTGCTTTGGAGGTAAGGTGTGTATAAAACTATTTGAGCATCCCTCCTCTGTTAAGTATCATGTGTCAGTGCTATTGCATGATATTCTATGTGAGTGCTGTCCCCCAGAGTTGTGCAAGAAGGTGACCCGGCCTAAAACAGACATCTCACTGCAATGAAAAGAATCAAATCACGATTTCATTTAGAGAAGGGACTCATCCATGATTTTGGCAGAATCCAAAGCAGGCAGTCATATAGCAAGCAGAGAATGGATGGGGCCTGTGGCATCAGAAAGTTTGCATAGTACTGAGCACCAGATAAGCAGTTGAGTTAAAATGCCTCAGGATTTGCTAGGTCGTGATGGTTTCAGTCCTAACCAGCTCAGCACCCTAATGGCTTCCCTGAAACCATCCAAATGAGCTCTGTAAAGGACCCCTTGCCTTGTATGTACTCCTTTACAGGGCTAATGACAGGATCAACACCTGGAACATAATAGCTTGGCCTGGTCTGTTCCTTCTGGCTGATGCTTATGACCATCTTCAACTCTACCTGCACCTTGGAGTGCATTTTTAGGACTTTCCCTTTCATCCACACCACTTACTTGAAAATGCTGTTATCCTCTCACATTTGTTCCTTCCCCCTAATCACCAGGCCAGCCCTACCCATTACCACTTCAGGCTCTGTCTCAAGAGACCTCAGTGGTCTGGAGCTCAGCCTCCCATACTCACTTTCCAGGGGAAATAAGGACATTGGAAGGTTTCTACTGAAACAGATGGAAAGGGTGCTTTCATAATGAGACATCCAAGGCCCAGGCACATCTACCTGGCTTGGGTGATGCAACTGAATTCACACAGCCACATACTCCAGCTGAGACTGAACATGATTCAGGCAACAGCAGTCATGACACAGAACATATGCCTGGAGAAAGGAGTGGAATATTCTGGGGGTCGTAGTTCAGAATTTGTACTTACACAAGGGTCAACTGAGCTATTGTTTTGAGACTTCAGTATTCTCTGTTGAAAAAACAGAAAGATTGATTTATGATATTGAATGCATTGTTTCCATCTATCACTTATTTAAATTTAAATAGTATTCTTTGAAGGGATTCAGGAACCAGTTGTTAAAAAATAATTGGGAAGAGAGAAGGCCAGTAGGCTGGGGTGGCTCCAGTGGTTTAAGTTTCTAAGTAAGCAAACTGAAACCTGATGTAAACAGTAAAATGAAACTAGAGATTTTACCAACTAGAATCTGCCATCTAACCTCTAATTATCATCTTTCTATGATAACCCATTAAATATAGTTTCTCTGTCTTACTCCTGTGTTGGCCTCACTGTCTGGGCTGCTACAGCAGAGTTCTCTGAACCTCTCCTTGTTCTGAGTGCTGCCCAATTCATGAATTGCTCTTTGCTCAAATAAATGCTATAAATTTTATTTTGTCTAAAGTTTTATTTTTGTAAACAGTCTTCCCTTTACCTCATATCTGATTTTTTGGACCTATATATCTACTGAAAGAATAAAAAGTGTGCAAGTACTACCGTTAATCCCAATGCAAGTCCCATTCCCTGCAGGGAGTCTGGACCTAGTTTGCACAGGCCAAGTCAGAGAAGCTCTACTTGTCCTCTTACTTCAAGGGGCCCTCAGGCATATTTCCTAAACTTGGCCTTTGTGTCATCCCACCCAGAGGAGCCTCAATAATAATCAGGCTGAGGACTTATCTCCCACAGCCTCCTGGGACCACAGGACTCAGAGTCCTAGAGGCCATGCAAGTGTCCCAGACAAGAAGAGCACTGCTTTCTGCAGCTCCCCTAGGGACACAGCCCTGGTGATAAAATGCCTCCAAGGTCCTCTGTGCTGCAGCTCTTTTTCCTGAAACTCTCTCCCTCTCCCTTCTATCCAAATCACAAGAAGATGCCAGGTTGACTGACTTTTAAGAGGTAACCCACTACATTTATTTAGATTGCTTTTGGATATCCATGGCATGACTTGGCATCCTTCCCTTCTGGGATACAAGCAGCCTCAGCTTTTGTCTGTAGCCCAGGGCACAGAGGCCATAAACAAGTGTGATTCAAAGGACAAGCACCTGAGAGATGACCTTGTCACTGAATGCCTCTCCAACTGGTCTAGAATCTCCCACCCCACCCCATTTGTAATTCATCCATGTTGACAATAAATTTAAAACTTTTTTTATTTTTTGAGACAGAGTCTCACTCAGTCACCTAGGCTGGAGTGCTATGATGAAATCACAGCCCAGTACAGCTTTGACCTTTCAGGCTCAAGTGATCTTCCCACCTCAGTCTCCTGAGTAGGTGGGACTACAGGTGTACACCACAATGTCTGGGTAATTTTTTTTTTTTTTTGGTAGAGATGGTATCTCACTATGTTGCTCAGGTTGGTCTCAAATTCCTGGGCTCCAATGATTCTCCCATCTCAGCCTCTCAAAATGCTGGCATTATAGGCTCAAGTGACCATGTTTGGCCTGAAATAATTTTTGAGGTCAATCTTCTGTAATGTCCATTGGCATTTAGTGTGTGCTTGATAATTATATGTTGAGTGGGTGAATAAATGAATGTTGATTCACTTAGAAATCACTGGAGGCTCTTAAGCAAACATTAGCATACAACAATTATTCTGGGTGAGTATATCAGATTGCTTTACAATATCTCAGGTGCCACCAAAAGGTCTATGTGGCCCTTGTCATGAGCAGAGATGCTATCATGTGGCACTCATAGTGACACTGAAATTTCCTAAAGCCAAATGGCTCTGCAAGTAAGAGAAGCTCTGAGAGGCACAGAGGACCCATGGAGTTCATAATGGATCCTGGATCTGCCACTTAAGGGACCTTCTGTTCTCCCCCATGAGGAGACACAACATATAGAGGCAACTGCACCTTGTCGCTGCTAAGTTTTGCACCCCAGAATAGAGGGAGAGTCGGTTAGTCGGAAATTGCCAGCTCATTTGGGTCATCCAGACTCAGTTACTCTTGGCACCCGGTGAAAGGTAGAGATGCTGGTCTTTAGTGTAGTCACTGAATAGGTGACATCATAGTTTCCCTTCGGGAAACCCAGTGGATGAAATGTCTCAGTGGCTGAAAATTCAAATCAGCCAGTATATCAGATAATGTAAAGGCCTGCATCTCAGGTTCCCAGTGGAATATGAAGCTTAGTGGCTAGCTATGTGTGAGCTGTTTTAGAAGTCTGTGAATGTCTTGAATGCGTATTTCTACCTGAAGTGCATAAGGATGACATTTTTCTCTTCCCCCTCCTCAGGTTCTCATTCATACCCAGTCTTGGAAAAACCATCACCTTGTCCTGAATATACACTGCACTTAACCTATTTGTTTGTTGCATTCTTCAAGAGAGGGAAAAATCACTTTCACAGATAAAAAGCAGGTCTGCACAGTCCCTCTGGTAGAGCCAAAGAGGTGGCATCAACATAAAAGATTTTCCTGGTCAGCCCCTCCTATAAAATACATTTGCCTCTGGAGATCTTCCTCCTCAGTGGCACCATTGTGGTAACAGGAAATAATTTCACCTTGAGAAGACATTCTGTGTGTCTGTGTGTACATTTTTTTGGAAGGTGAAAGAGAATGTGAAGGATCAGAAAAGAAATATTCTTTTTGTTGCCGATTTCATTAAATGATATATGGTTTCATGCATGTCTCAAATGGATGTGAGCAAATATCTGCTCCATCCTATTTCACTAAAGTTAGAAAATAGTAACTTCAATGAAAAAAATCTGAATTTTGAGTTGAAGGTGATCCTCTCACCTTACTATGAAATATTTTTATGTATCCCATGACCATGCTTGACTTTCCAACTTGGACACTCTTAAGACATCTGCATCTATTGCTAAAACACTCCCAGGACGTATATTCTGATGGCTCCTTATCATCTTCATATGAAATGGTTGAATCCAAACAGGACCTAGCTTTATATACATTTAGTGTTCAAATTAGCGACTCTGAAGGAATACATGCAAAAAGTATTTTAAGGTGAGTAGTGAAGAAGGTGAAAGCTTAATTATTCCTACCCAATTTCAGACCCCATAAAATAAGATTTTGTGCATGCTAAATCAGTTATGTGACAAGAAGCTGTATAAAGCTATGTAATAATCACCTTTTTTTTCCTGTAACGTATTCTTGGAGGATCAGGCAGAAATCCATTCTGAAAGACAAAAAGATTCAGGTATATGGTCAGCCTGTGTTTCCGTTTTGTGAGTCTGGCATTTCCAACCTCCTCCCAAATATTTCTACCTGAGTGTTCCACTGCCAGCTCAAATCCAAGGTGTCTAATGAGAAACCATCTCCCTGTCTTCACCTGTGCTTCTTCTAGACTTCAATCAATAGAAGCCAGAAAAGCATCTTCAGGACCATTTTCCCTTCTCTTGTGCTTCTTTCCTAAGTCCTAAGAGGTTTTCCTTCACAATCTCATACCACCTATCACCTCTCTTCCAGTCCCACCAGTGCCACTCCAGCTGGAGTCCTTACACCAGAGCTATCCAAGCAGCACACACATTGCCTGCTACTGGGTATCAGTAATTCTGATCAATCTTGGGCACATGAAGATGGGACAACCTAAAGGAGTCTACGGACAAAAAGCACTCACAAAATAATAAATATAAAACAGTGAATGAAAGGCCTTAGTAGAGGGCTCAGGAGCCCTGGGAAGGCCTGGTCAATGGCCCATGACAGGTCAATCAATGAACATTCAGGAAGGGGTAACACTTGAACTGAGCATTCTAGATTGAGTA
The DNA here is from genome assembly GCF_000001405.40 of Homo sapiens. Lineage (NCBI taxonomy): Eukaryota > Metazoa > Chordata > Mammalia > Primates > Hominidae > Homo > Homo sapiens. Next base: position 230,293,684 of record NC_000002.12, on the reverse strand, counting down.
TAGGTTTGCTAGGGGGAAAGCCCCGTGGCTGTCTAAAATACTGTTTTATGGCGGGGCGGGGTGGCTGTCGCCTGTAACCCCAGCATTTTGGGAGGCCGAGGAGGCCTCCCGCTTGACGCCAGGAATTCGAGATCAGCCTGGCCAACGTGACAAAACCCCATTTCTACTAAAAATACAAAAATTAGCCTGGCATGGTGGTGCACAACCGTAGTTCCAGCTACTCGAGAGGCTGAGGCACAAGAATCACTTGAATCTGGGAGGTGGAGGTTGCAGTGAGCCGAGATTGAGCCACTGCACTCCTGCTTGGGCAACAGAGTGAGACTGTCTCCTAAAAATAAATAAATAAAATAAAATATTGTTTTAAATGTCATTTCCAATCCTAGAAGATTTCACTGAATCCTTGTTATCTCAATTACAGGTTTAAACTCCTTAGCCTGGCATTAAAGCCCTGCACAACCTGCCCCAATTGTTAAATTATACCTAATTGCACACAACCTGTGCTACCTAAATCCACAGAGCTACTTTTGCCATGGTTCTGGTTTTCATGGCATTCTGGCTTTTATGCCATTCTTTCTCTGAAGTGTCTTCTTCCACTGCTTGACTGTCAACTCCCTTCTTTCTTTCAGTGCACAAAGCTGTCTGCATGCACCCTAGTCAGAATGACCCTTTCCTCCTCCAAGCTGCTGAGTCTATCCTGACGGAGCCCCTGGTACAACGTCAATGTGTTGCACTGTAGTGTGGTTATGAATGTGGGGTCCCTCTCTCCTGAGTGAGAGGATAAACCCACTGGCATCAAGGCTTTAGCTATAACCTAACAAATATTTGGTGAATAAACAGTCTCCTCATTATTAGGGAACAAGAAGGAACACAGGCCTGGCCCCTTGTCATTGGAATACCTCCATCAGCCATCGTAGGGGCCACCCGCCACAGCGCACACTCAGCCTCCAGTTCTTTGATCTTGCATGGCCTCCTTTGATTTCAAATTCCGTGGGGGTGAACCATTTTCCATCCTCAGTCTGTATACACTTCACCAAGATTCCTGTAAGACCAGGGTAACTTGATCCTGAGCCCTCTTTTTTCCCAGCGCACAGACTATGGCCACTCACCACACTGGATCTAGAGCCACCCAATTTGTGATGCAGATCAATAGCAGGAGAGTCTGGCCTTCCCTCTCAGACTACAGAGGCCCCAAATCCAGCCTGAAAATCCCCTCTAAGGATATTTCCTGGTGGGGGTGCACATTTCTTTGACCTTCATCCATGAGGAGAGTGATGGTTATCATCAAGAGCAACCTTTTAAGCATTTCAAAAGCACTTACAGAAGGAAAAGCAAGTGATTCTGAAAGATGAGAGGACTCCAACTTGCTATTCAAATTTGGAAGTAGAGGCCAGGCCTGAGTCTCCAGATGGCTGTGAGGGCAATGTTGGAGGCAGAATCCTCAACTTGGGGCTACGGTCTCAGATGGGTGCCCTGTGGCTCAGGGGGTCACTCCCGCAACATCTGCACTCTCAATTATAACATGTTTTATGCAGTCTAGTGGCATTATTAAACAGAAATTTTCATATCCCTGCAATCACAGGTAGCTGATATTAAAAAACTAATTGTGAAATGTTATCTGATAAAAAATTTAATTTATATGTAAAAGATAGTCACATGCTCAACACCATTAGCCATTAAGGAAACACAAACCAAAACCAAAATGAGATACCATGTCATACCCACTAGGATGACAGTATGACTGTAATAAAAAAAGACAGACAGACGATAACAAAGTTGGTGAGCATGTAGAGAAATTGGAGCCTTCATACATTGCTGGTAGGAATACAGAATAGTGCAGCCACTGTGGAAACACTTTGGTGATTCCTCAATAAATTAAACATAGAATTACCATACGATGTAGTCATTCCTCTCTTGACTATATACCCAAAAGAACTGAAATATGTTCACACAAAACTTGTTACACAAATGTTCAGAACAGCATTATTTATAATAGCCAAAGAGTGGAAATAGTTCCAAATGATGAGTTTATAAACAAAGTGTGGTATATCTATACAATGACATATATTATTTGTCAATAAAAGAAATGAAATACTAATACATTCATTGTGGATGAACTTTGAAAATATCACAATTAGTGAATGAAGGCAGTCAGGAAAGGGCATGTATTATAGGATTCCACTTCTAGAAAGCCTACAGTAGGCAAACTTATAGAGCAGAAAATAGATTAGTGGCTGCTTAGGTGGGAATAGGCACTGACTGCTAATTGACATGGGCTTTTCTTTCAGTGGGGAACAAATTGTTCCAAAATTAGAGGATAATGATGGCTGTACAATTCTGTGACTATACAAAAAAAAGTTGATTTGTACACTCTAAGTGGTGAGTTGTATGATATGTGAACTATATCTCAGTAAAGCTGTTTAGAAATAGTCACAATGCAAACATTTCTGTTAATTGACATCCAAAGAGTCATATTAAGATTGGTCTGAGATGATGGCCATTCTAATAGACATTTTTTGGCAAAGTTTTATAATTTACAGTAAAAACATGTAAATTTACATATTTTACATCAATATGCAAATTAATTCTCACAGCTACATCATGAGGCAGGTTTTTCATTATTGTTCCCTCTCTTGGATGAGACATTTCAGGTTCAGAAAGGTTCCCTTCTCTACTCAGAATGGAACAGTCACTCCTGAAACAGCAAAGGCTGGAACTCAGGCTTTCTGATCCCAAATTCTGTGATCATCTCCCTATACCAAGCACCCTGCCCTGGTGATGGCACTCCAGAAGGGAGAGAGAATATGAAGGTCGAGGTTGAGGGCCTCTTCATTTTTCTGTCTGATTCAAAGTAAAATACGTGACATTTTTCATCTGTGAATTGATGTTCCTGCCTTCTCTTTGGTTCTTTGGGCACCCTCTGGACATTCCATGTGCAAGTGAGCATCTGGTGGTTGCGATTTCTTAAAGTCTGTAAACGTCATCTTAGAAATCCCTTCCTCCTTCCCTCAAGCCAAACTGGGACCAAACTCCTTGAATGATGTGTAATTCACATGATAATTCCCCACTACTTGTGATGCCTTCAGATAGGAGCTGCAAATTAAAGAAGACCATAAAACCTACCTTGCTGCAATTTCTTCTTATGTAAAATTCCCTTCACCCCACCACAGGTCACTGGAAGCAAAGGAGCCTTAAAATCCACAGTTTCATCTTTGTGCTTTCTTGAAGCTGAAAGAGAGGATTTCTTCATTCTGTCTCACTTTGCAAAGGCACGTCCCCCCTCCCTACTGAGGTAATTCCTATAAAGACACGAGGGATACTTAGGAAATTCTATTCCAAAACCCTCTAGAGTTTCAAAGTCTTTCTTCCAAGTGGCATTTTTGATACATAATTACAGAATGTCTACCCCAATTTCACCTTTCAAATTTCATACAAAATAGAATGCTTTAGCAGAGAAATTAGACTTCAGTAAAACTGGTTTAACTCCTAATCTCGTAAGCTCCACTGATTCTTATATGACAATGAAACACAGTTGCTGTCACTGTTCTGACAGAAGCTCTCCAGCTATGCTGTTTTGCTGCAGGTGGGTAGCCTTAGATGACTCCAGAGATCATATTCAGTCTCCCCATTTGAGCACTGACGGGGCAAGCAGGGAGAGGGTAATGATGGGATAACCTAATGGAGATGATGTCTGCCTTCTATTTTTGTTCTCTCCTTTAGTTCATTTCTCTGTCCTGTCTGCTTTCCCCGTAGCTAAGAGAAGAGCTCAGGGAGCTCTAGAATAATCTGAAAATTATATGGGGTTGCAGGTGGGGGACTGGAGACCTGATTTCACAGAGAAGGGGGTGAAAGGTCTTCAAAGGAACTCCAGGAGGGTGAGCAGTGAATCCTTCCCTTCCAACCAAAGGTGTAGGGCCAGGCGTGGTGGCTCACACCTGTAATCTCAGCACTTTGGGAGGGCAAGGCAGGTGGATCACTTGACGTCAGGAGTTCGAGACCAGCCTGGCCAACATGGCGAAACTCCATCTCTACCAAAAATACAAAAATTAGCCAGGTATGGTGGTGCCCACCTGTAATCCCAGCTACTTGGGAGGCTAAGTCAGGAGAATTGCTGGATCCTGGGAGGTGGAGTCTGCAGTGAGATCACACCACTGCACTCCAGCCTGGGCAACAGAAGTCATGATAAACGGGGGAGCTGTCCTTGGTCCTGAGACAAATTTTTAGAAAGGCAGACTATTAGGACCAGGATGGACTAATAAGAAAGATGGTTGGCCTACCTACAGAATGAAAGAAAATTTTTGCAGTCTATCTATCTGACAAAGGGCTAATATCCAGAATCTACAAGAAACTTAAAACAAATTTACAAGAAAAAAACAACCCCATCAAAAAGTGGGCAAAGGATATGAACAGACACTTCTTAAAAGAAGACACTTATCTGGCCAACAAACATGAATAAAAGCTCATCATCACTGGTCATTAGAGAAATGCAAATCAAAACCACAATGAGATACCATCTCACGCCAGTTAGAATGGCAATCATTAAAAAGTCAGGAAACAACAGATGCTGAAGAGGATGTGGAGAAATAGGTAAGCTTTAACACTGTTGGTTGCAGTGTAAATTAGTTCAACCGTTATGGAAGACAGTGTGGCGATTCCTCAAGGATCTAGAACCAGAAATACCATTTGACCCAGCAGTCCCATTACTGGATATATACCCAAAGGATTATAAATCAGTCTACTATAAAGACACACACACGTGTGTTTATTGCAGCAGTGTTCACAATAGCAAAGACTAGGAACCAGCCCAAATGTCCATCAATGATAGACTGGATAAAGAAAATGTGGCACATATACACCATGAAATACTATGCAGCCATGAAAAAGAATGAGTTCCTGTCCTTTACAGGGACATGGATGAAGCTGGAAACCATCATTCTGGGCAAACTAACACAGGAACAGAAAACCAAACATCACATGCTCTCACTCATAAGTGGAAGTCGAACAATAAGGACACATGGACACAGGGACAGAACATCACACACCGGGGCCTGTCGGGATTTGGGGGTTAGGGGAAGGATAGCATTAGGAGAAATACCTAATGTAGATGATGGGTTGTAGAACCTGCACATTCTACACGTGTATCTCAGAACTTAAAGAATAAAAAAAGAAAGAAAGAAAGAAAGAAAGAAAGAAAGAAAGAAAGAAAGAAAGAAAGAAAGAAAGAAAGAAAGATAGTTGGCCTAATTCATGCTCTTGCTTTCCAGATGAGAAAACTGAGACAAAGAAAGTCAAATGATCAGCCTAAGCCCACACAAAGAAAAAGAAAGTCTTAGGACACAGATCTCTAACCACAACTCTTTTTCACCCTTAGTGTGCAACCTGTGGCTTTCTGAGTAGTCAGAGGAAGGTCAGTTAAATCACTTATGGGTTATACCCTTTATACGGCAATGAACTATCTCCAGCCTTGAAATTTATCATTTCAGTGAAAGTAGCACTTTAGTGGCCCCTGGGCCCCTGGGATCTGGTTGTAGATCCATCACCAACTTACTTCCTTCTTTCCTTGACACATTTTGGAAAATGACTAAATAGGATACATTTCTCACTAGTTAGTACAGCTTCATAAAACAATTAAGGAAATGGGTTTATTACTGAAAGTACAGTGTACCGCACAGGAAATTAGATGTTTAGTTATTGAAAGTTCATTCCTGTTTTCTTTTTTACCTCTTGATCGGACTCTTTTCTGTGCAGCTCTGTCACTCTGAGTGAAGCGGGTTCCAGGTTTGCCTCTCTTTCTCCCTGAGAAAGTAGAATAATATAATCACAGTCATTTATGAGCAGCTGTATTACACATATTACAGCTTTTCAAAAATTCCATTTAAATGTAACTTTCCAAAAGCCTGTTTAATGTATAAATAAAAAGATTTAAACCCTAGCCTTTAAGGTATGAAGAATTAGATAGCTAATGTTAGGTTCACTTTATATTTCATTTTCCTATTCTTATGTTAGGAAAAAAACTAATTGAAATCAGTATTTCACGTATATCTCAAGCAAAAGTATAAATGCTTCATTCCATATTTTGAAGGTTCATTTCATATTTCATTCCAAACATATATATTTGAAATATATATGACATATAATACACATTAAACACTTACATATCCATTAATTTATTTAATCTTTGCAAGATCAAAATGATGATTACCGTCATTACAGAAACTAAAATATTCAGAGAAAATTGAGACAAAACTACAAAATTAAGTGAAGGCGTTTCAGTTTCTCTCAGCAGAGACACAAATAAATGACAGTTCTGTGACTTAAGGGAAACCCTATTAGGTGTCCCATAGGTGAGATGTATGCTGCACATGTCACATTGGGGGAAGATATTTGTACCCTCGTGCTGAAAGTAATAGTAAATGTGACCAGGGCTTTGTCCACATGGCTTTGGACAAAATAAATATTAGGATCTAAGAAACTAATCAGAAGAAGGTTAACCATGAGGAATGGGTAGAATTGAGATTTCCGCAGCCTTCATTCCAAATAGTAATTAAGGATTGACATGGCAGACACTGCAGCCGATGATATTCTCCCAAGTGCATGTTAATTGGCTGTGAATGGGCATCTCAATGTTTACTATTGTCCAAATGTGTTTTATTTTCCAAGGCAGGAAAGCAAAATGTTCCTTCCTTCTTGTGCTGGATGTCCACCATCCAATGACCACCATCTGGGGGTGCTGATCAGGGTCATGTAGGCCCATGAGGAAATATTTTCCAGCCTATGCATTCCTAAGTACTATAAGTTCTAAGCATATCATGAGCATATTAGGCCACCAAAGTAAAAAGGACCAATCAGACCCAAAGTGGACCTATGGCTTGGAAATGAGAGTTTCATTGGGAAAATTGAGAAAGTCCCAAGCAAGTAGGTTGAGTTGAGCACCCGCATCCTAGGACAATGCACCAGGCCACATATGTAACCTTAGAAAGAGTTGGTGGAACTGATTATGCCAGGTTCAGCCCTTCACTCACATCCAGGTTGTAGAAGTAAAGCTCTATTTCTTTCAAAATAAGTCAAGCTGTGATGCCTGACCCCTCCCCTTCCCTTGCAGTGGACTTGATGAAAGCATCTCATGGAAGAAAGAGCTAGTGATTGTGCATCAACCACTTGCAATGTCATTTCACGGCTGCACCTGTCAGGCAAGACACTTCCACACTCTGATCTCACCCATCTCTCTCACCTCCCCAATCCTGGATGGGACCAAGCCAACAGCTATGGAGTGGGGGTAGGGCCAAGACAGAATAAGAGAAGACACTGACCATGTCACCCCCAACTATATGTGTTCCAGACTAAGGCTTGCCTAGGCTGAAGAAGCGAAGGTGCTTTAAACTGGGGAAGACATTGTAGTTTAATACTAGGTCAGAAAGGTCCCAACTACTGAAATGAGACTCTTACTGTTTTTAAAAGGGAACAAGAAAGCGACAGAGCTTGCTCAAGACAGGAAAGAACTCATCTAGGAGGAGGACTTGAAAGGGCAGTGAGAGAATAAACCTGTATTCGGCTTACAATTTACCAGGTCCAGCCATTTTAATAAAACAATGATTTGAGGCAAAGGAATTTCCAGGAAAATGAGATAAAACACAGAGGAAAACTATTTTAGAAACTGGGCAGATAAGATCTATGATATGAATACAATCAACTTACAACCCCTGCTTATAATGAGTTTGCTCTTTTAGATTTCACTGCTCTCCAATTGACTAAGCTTGATGAGTAAACAATTAAGGTGGATCTAGGCTCGTCAATACCTCAGTAAAATTTGTATTGACCTGTAGGGCAAAGGGAAAGCGGACAAACTTTATCTTACCCCTAATCTTGGAAAGGTCTTTCAGATTCACGTTCGCCTTCTTTTCACTGGAGACCACCTGGCCGTCGGCTTTGCTATTATCTGGGGATAGGCAGGGGAAAATGTATTAATAGAACTGGGCAGAACAACAGCTGTCAGGCAGGAACAAACGCAAGTGAGGGAGTCCTGGGTCTCATTCTGGATCCCCTCGAGCAGGTGTCCAGAGCATTTTTTGCTTTTGGGAGTGTCGACTTTTAAGTTACACACAGGATTTAATTGCACATTGAAGTCTCTTAGAATTTGTCTACATACACACAGACTTAAATGAGAATGTTATAATGATTCAGACTTAAATGAAAATGTTATAATGATTGAGTCCAAACAAATTTTCAATTTGAAAACAGCCATTCTTAAAATGCACGCAGCCACTTTTTTTTCTTTCCAAACAAAGCTGTCACATCCACCAACCAGGAAGCCACATCAACTGGCAAGATTGGTAAAAATTAATAACTTTCAATAGGACTCTAAAATCTTACTATTTAGATCCACTGATTCAAAATTGACAATCATTTAGAAAATGAGACTTAGCCTTCATCGTCTAGAAGAATGGAAGTCCTCAGACCATGGCTAAAATAAATTTTGAAAATTTCAGGGGCCTGATTATAAAGAATAAATATATTTACAGGAAATTCAGAAAATAAAATGATATGAAACATCACCATTGGAGATAGCCACAGATGAGGATGGCTATCTCCAGATGATGATTTGTGCAAAAATATTCTCCTAGTCTTTTCTTTTTGCATATGTTACTTTTTGAATAACACTTTTTCATTAAAAATGTTGAAGATTTATAATATTTTAATATATACACATACATTTAAAAACCACAGATAAAAATATATAAACATCACCTCTATTACACTGACCAAATGTAACCACTGCATATATTTTTATGAATGAACTGCCATCTATTTTTCTATATTTATGTCTTTTTATATGTACAGATAAATAATTACATATGTGTATATCAGGATACATAAAAATATACTTCACAAGTATGAATTTCACATAAAATATGGTTATACATATATGTATGTTTACTATTGTGCACACATACACATACACCCTGATTTCTTCATTTAGCCCTCTTAGGAATGTCTTTCCAAATTAATAAAAATACTTTGAGCTAGGAAAGAAAGTCATACTGAGGATGATAACACCTCCCTATTAACTGTGGGCCTCTGGACTATTACATGCATTAGAAACCATTTTGTTGAAGCCATTGCATTCTCAGGCCTCTTTGTCACAGCCTGTTAGTCTACATCCTAATGGATACAGGAGGTATAGAACTCTGGCTCTGGGGAACTGCAGGCCTTCCAGAATACAATGGACAGTGCCCTAATAAACTCAAAAGCTGTAACTACTTCACTTTGCCTGCTTACCATTTTGTTGGCTGTTTTCCTGCCTTCTCATTCTCATTCTGCTCCAGCCATGCCCCCTCTTTTTTCCTTCAAACCAAAGAGAATAAAGTTAATTATGCAGAGGTATAAATATAATTCTCTGAGTTTTATATGCCAATAGTATTAAAGATTTTTTTTCATACTTTGGTCCGCAGGAATGGGGCAAAATACTTTATGATCAGTGTAGCAGCGTGGAGGTTGAGTACAGAGTTATATTTTACCTCTGCATGAGCCTTGGGCCATGGGCTTGGGAGAGACTACAGGAGATGACGTTCCTTTGAACAAAATTTTTAATGGAAAATTAACTCTTGCTGGCACCTTAAAGTGAATGATAACTGCTGTTTCATGTTGCTTTTTCAAGTGTTTGTTGTGTAAATTCAAATGTGCAATGAGAGGACATCCTCCTTGAGGTTGATGGTGTTATGGATAATATTCTGTGTTGGAAATTGGGAGATATTCTGAACTCTGATATGGAGAGTTTTCATTATGTAATTACATAATCATTATAGAATTTCTATATAGTTTCCTTAAATAATCTCAGCACTGCCTCCACACTGTCAGCCCTCCTTCAGGCTGCAGAGCAGCTGACTCCAGGAACGCTATGGTGACCCCAGAAACTCATCAGTGTCCTCAAACTGGCCATCTGGGCCATTTGCAGTCTGACGTGCCCTTTATCAGAAAAGTGACTCCACAGTGCACTGATTTTCTGACTGTCCCTCATCTCCTCCTGTCCGCACACTATGGGAGGGCAGTAGGCTCATTGAAGGGAGCAATCTCCAGAAAGGGATCATCTCCTTCCTGGATAGTGACCAGGACAAAAGTGGTGGGGATTGCGAGTGTTCTGTAGACCTATCTTGAAAATTCAGGATTCTGTTGTGACCCTGGTCATTCCTAGGGATGATGCCTCATTCTTTCCCCTACCAGCCTGGTGGCTATGGCCTTCAAAGTGCCTAGGGATTCAGATTTAACTCCAGGCACATTTTATAAAATGCTTTTCCTCTACTTCTATCTAATTTTGTAGATGGAAAGTCTAAGTGAGAAAAGGAGATAATTAGGGCAAAAGATGAAGGTACAGCCACTGGAATGGTATAGCAGATTTTGCAGCAGTGAAGCAAGAGCAAAAATCCAGACATCTAAAGAGGTATGGGAGAAAACAGGAGCATTGGTGATATCTGTCTTTCAGAAGAACCCAAGGATGCTTTGTCCAGAAGGAAAACACACTACTCCAGCGCTCCCGCCTCTGAGAATGCTGAGTCAGCCTCTCTGCACCAGCCATGAGATGGCAGGGGCTGGGCCCAGCTTCTGAGGTCCCACACAGAACCCTCTAGACATAGTCTCCACCACTATTCTCAGTCATTTGTTAGGGGGGACTGCCACCTGGTTGGTGACATGGACAAATAGGACAGATTGGACAGACTGTCCTCAAGCAGTCCCCCATATGCCCACCCTCTCCCCAGCCACACACAAACAAATCAAGGATAAACAGAACTGGGAACCCCAAGGCTTACAGCCAGCCAGGAGCCACGTAAGAGACACTGTTCACCTTCTCCCTTACTAATGTACATCCCACTCAGGGAAGCCCAACAATTGTATACACTTCCCTTCTGGGAGCACCACGTGTGCCCTTGGGATTGTGCTTCTTGTATGAAAGCCAGGCACTAACTTGCCTCCCTCACATAAGGACTTGTACCTTAGAGGTGCTCATAAGGGACCTAGATCGTTTACAGTTTATGAAATGTGTGTGGGTACGTGTGTGTGTGTAGATACGGGGTCTCACTATGTTGTCCAGGCTGGTTTTTGAACTCCTGACCTCAAGTGATCCTCCTGTATTGGCCTCCCAAAGTACTGGGATAACATGAGTGAGCCGCTGCACTGGGTCAAGATTTGTTAAATGTTGCAGGAAAAAAATTGAATGGATGTGGACCCATGGGTCCGAATAATCAGAGTGGCTGATGGGGTGGTGTCTTCATGGGGAAATTTGCCAGAAGCAAAAATGTGGGGTGAATTTGCTGGGAGGCCATTCTCCATGGCATTTCTACGTGCCTCAGAGTATCACTTCAAGGATATTTGAATACCAAAGCGGCCTTGGAAGCTAGAGATCATGTAGCCTCCAGATTATAGGGCAAATGTATCCCTGACCAGTATAAAGTAGAGAACATCTCCCTCCTTAGAAATTTTCCAGAGGAGATGCCTCCAGAAGAGATTTGCTTAAGATCCCCAGAGGAGATTTGCTTAATATCCCCAGAGGAGAATTGCTTAAATTCCAGCTAAAAAGATAATGTCTCCCTCAGAGGTAAGGTTTGGGCAGGTTTGCTATTGGTCCCCTTATAATCCCATAGGTTTCCTCAGTGAAGCATTCTTCTGCTGCTGCACACACCTATGAGTGCAGCATCCACCTGGGCTTGCTCTGCACCATCCTTTTCATGGGTCCTGGGGGAAAGAACTGATGCATCTACTCTATATCCCGGCAATTTTGTTTCTAGGTATTTATGCAGGAGATACGAAAAAACAGGAAGACTCCTACAAGAATGTACTCAGCAGAGTTTTCATAATAGCAAAAACTTAAAAAACTCGAGGTGTCCATCAATAGGAGAATTATAAACAAAATTTGGTATATCCAGATAATGTACACTACTTAGCAATGAAAAAGAACAAACTACTGAGACATCCAACAATATGGATGAATCTCAAAAACATGCTGTGTGAAATAAATCCCACTCTAAAGAGAATATGCTATAAAACCTTATTTATATAAAGTTTTTTAAAAGCCAAATTATCATAGTTAAAAAGAAGAGTAGTGATTGCCCTGATGGATAGTGGGTGGAGATACACCAGAAAGGGCGTAAGGAACCTTTCCAGGGTGATGATCATGTTCTGTATCTTGATAAGAATTTTGATGGTGCAGAAAAATGCAGTTATAAGAACTCATCAAATGGTACACTTAATACTTGTGCATTTCATTGTAAATTTTATCTTAACAAAAGAACTCTAAACATACATTGAACTCTACTTAATGATATACATTCTGACGTAGTTGAGGGGGAATAGTGCTAACGTCTGCAGCCTTGAAATGTTTCAAACTTGACCACCGGTTAGTGAGTGGATAGAGAAATGCATAGATGAATAGAAAAGTGATAAAGCAGGAATGATACAATGTTAATTGTGAATCTATGTGAAAGTATATTGATGTTTAGTGTACAATTCTCCCAAGTCTTCTGTATGCTTAAAATTTTCGTGATTAAATTTTGGGGAATAAAAGCTTTTAGAGAGAAAGGACAGAATATTTACCAAGAAGTTACAGTTAGTTACAATAAGAGAATAATTGTTATTAGCCACACCATAGATTCCAGGAAATAATATAGTAATCACCTTACTATACTGAGAAGAAATAAATTATCGACCTGGAATTTTTAATGTAGCTAAAAAGTTCTATCAAAGTAAAGAAAAAGTTGTACACCCAACACTTACAGAGTTTACCACTTAGAGATCACTCACTAGAAAAAACAAAGAATTTACTTCAGCTAGACAAAAAGTGAAACCAAAGAAAAAGAACAATGGTGAGTATACAAAATATTTTTTTAAATTAAGTAAATATCAACTGTAAAAATGATAATAGTTTCAAAATTTATAGTTAAAAATAAAATATTAAACAATAGCCAAAATGGTAGAGATGGGGTGTTCAGTTTGTAGTGAAACCATGATAAGATCCTTGTCATCTTTTGGGATTGGGGCATAATTTAAAAGCTTACAGAAATTTTATCTTTAATTTCCAAACCAGCAGGGAGAAAGGGGAGAATATATAGTTTTATACCAATCCATTAAAAAGCAGGAAGGAGACACGAAAGATACAAATAGAGAATGGTCAACAATACCACAGAAGATATAGGTCCGTATACATCTGGAAACTCAATAAATGTAAACAAATTGAAATTTACCTATTAAGAAGCTAGGAATATCAGACAAAACTACAAAAGTTAAGTGCAGTTACAAGAGACATAAAAGAAAACTGAACAAAAGGGCATCACATAAAGTGAGTGGAAAATATTTTTAAAAAATCATAAAAGTTTGTGTAACAATGTTAGTACTTGGCAAAAGAGATTTTACGGCAAAAGCATTAACAGGGATAAAGCAGAATGCTGTATAATGATAAAAGAAAAACATCCATTAAAAAGTTACAAATCATAAATAGCCTCAAAATATTTAAAGTAAAGCAACAAGATAAAGAGGAATTGGCAAATATACAACCATGTGCAAGAATTTAACACATTTGTATGCAAATCTGATGGAGCAAATAAAATTTAAATTACTATGGACACAAATTTAAACAAGAAAGTTGTGCTTGATAAAAAAGATATATATGGAGTGAAGCCAGAGCCTAACAAATAGTTCAAATGTACATTATTCTCAAGGGGCAGAAAACATTTACAAATATTGACCACACATTAGGTTGCAAATTAAAAAAAAAAACACCTTGGTTTAGGGGTGGTATATGCCTGTATTCCCACTTATTTGGGAGTCTGAGGCAGGAGGATTACTTGAGCCCAGGAGTTTAAGGTCATCCTGGAACACACAGTGAGGCCCCATCTTTTAAAAAACAAACTAGCAAAAAACAGATCAGCTGTTGTCGAGAACCAGAGAATGGAGAGAAGAATGCAAGTGGACTTTGGGGTGATGAAAATGATACATGTCATGATTGTGGAGGTATTTATATAACTGCACACATTTGTTAAAACAAATTAGGTTATACCTTAAGGTGATGAATTTGTTTTATGCAAATTACAGCTCAATAAAGCAGATAAGAAAAGTGGATGCGTGGAACATCTACATAAAGAAAATTCTGTAATTGTTGTCCTTATCAAAGATTACTTGAACATACATGCATGAGTGTTTATTTCTGGGTTCCCTATTCAATTGCATTGGTTTATGTCTGTTTTTATGACAGTACCATATGGTTTTGATTACTCTTGCTTTGTAACATAGTTTAAAATCAGACAGTATGATGCCTCCAGTTTGTTTCCTTTTTTTTCAAAATTACTTTGACTATTTGGAGTCTTTTATGATTCAATACAAATTTTAGGATTCCTTTTACCTATTTCTGTGAAAAATGTCATTTAAATTTTGATAGAGATTTCATTGACTCTTCAGATCACTTTGGGTAATATGGACATTTTAACACTATTCTTCCAGTTCATGAACATGAGATATCTTTCCATTTATTTGTATATTTTTCAATTTCTTTCATCAATGTCATAGTTTTCAGTGTGCAAATATTTCACCTCTTGTTAACTTGGTTCCTATTTTATTCTTTTTGTTGCTATTGTAAATGGGATTGTTTTCTTAATTTATTTTTTGGATAGTTCATTGTTAGTGCATAGAAACACAACTGATCTTTGAATTCTGCAACCTTACTAATTCATTTGTTAGTTCCAACAGTTTTTTGATGGAGTCTATAGGGTTTTCTACATAGAAGATCATGTCACCTGCAAACAGAGACAATTTAACTTCTTTCCAATTTGGATGCCTTTTCTTTCTTTCTTACTTGCTCTGACTAGGACTTACATCACTATGCTGAATACAGATGTCAAGAAGGGGCATTTAATCTTGACAAGGGTGCCAAGAATAAATAATGGAGAAAAGACAGTCTCTTCAATAAATGGTCCTAAGAAAACTGAATATCCACAAGCAAAAGAATGAAATTAGACGCTTGGCTTACACCATATACAAAAATTAACTCAAAATAGATTAAAGGCTTAAATGTCAAATATAAAACCATAAAATTCCTAGAAGAAAACAGAGGAAAAGCTCCTTGAGGTTAGTCTGGGCAATTATTCTTTAGATATGACACCAGAAGCACAGGAACAAAAGCAAAAATAAACAAGTGGACCTACATCACTCTAAAAAGCTTTTGTACAGCAAATGAAATAATTGTAAAAATGAAAAGGCAACCTACGGAATAGGAGAAAACATTTGCAAACCATGTATTTGATAAGGGTTACTACCTAAATATATATAAGGAACTCACATAACTCAATAGCAAAAAAACAAAACAAAACAAAAGCATGTCATAATCTGATTTAAAAATGGGCAAAGGATCTTAATAAATGTTTTCCCAAAGAAGACATATAATGGCCAATGGATTATAAAAAAAGCAATCAACATTACTAATCATGAGAGAATTGTAACTCAAAACCATAATGAAACATCACCTCACACCTATTAGGATAGCTATTAGCAAAAAGGCAGGAGATAACAAGTGTTGGTGAGGTTGTGGGGAAAAGGAACTCTTGTATGCTCTAAGTGGGAATGTAAATTGGTACAGCCATTATGGAAAACAGTATGGAGGTTCCTCAAAAAGTTAAAAACAGAAATACATACAATCCAGAAATCTCACTTTGGGGTATGAATTTATAGGAAATGAGACCAATATCTTAAAGAGGTATCTGCATCCACATGTTCATTGCAGCATAATTCACAGTAGTTAAGACATAGAAACAACCTAAGTCTCTATCAACAGATGAATGGATAAAGAAATGTGATAAGACACAGTTCTGTATATACTGGAAAACATACATAAAATAGTATTTTGAATCATGAAGAAAAAAACTACCAGTGTTATATCTCTTAATTACCATCTCACATCATATACCAATAAATGAATTCCATGTGTGTTATAGATTTAAACATTAAAAAGTATTCCAAATATTCTAGAAGTAAGTAAACATGTTTCTAAATTATGAGGTGGACAATATATTTGCAAATTTTACATAAAACCTGGAAACCATAAATGAAAAGGCTGACAGATTTGATCAGATAAAAATTTCAAGCTTCTTTGGGATAAAGATACAGGCATATCTTAGAAATACTTGGTTTCAGACCACTGCAATAAAGTGAATATTGCAATAAGGTAAATCACACAAATGTTTTGGTTTCCCAGTGCATATGAAAGTTATGTTTACACTATACTGTGGTATATTAAGTGTGCAATAGCATTGTGTCTAAAATAAAATGAACATATCTTAAACATACTTTATTGCTAAATGTAATGCTCATGATCACTTGAGCCTTCAGTAAGTCATAATCTCTTTGCTGGTGGAAAGTCCTGCCTGGATGTTGGTGGCTACTGACTGACTAGGGTGGTGACTGATGAAGGCTGAGGTGTCTGTGGAAATTTCTTAAAATAAGACAGTAATGAAGTTTGCTAAATTGATTGGCTCTTCCTGAAAGATTTCTCTGTAGCATGCAATGCTATTGAGTAGCATTTTATCACGGTAGATCCTCTCAAATCTTGCTGCTGCTTTATCAACTAATATATTCTAAATCCTTTGTTGTCATTTCAACAATGTTCACAGCATTTTCACCAGGTATAAATTCCATCTCAAGAAACTGCTTTCTTTGCTCATTCTTAAGAAGCAACTCCTTGTCCACTCAAGGTTTATCATGAGATTGCAGCAATTCAATCACATCTTCAGGCTCCACTTCTAATTCTGGTTCTCTTGGCTATTTCTGCCACACTTGCAATTACTTCTTCACTGATGTGTTGAACACTTCAAAGTCATCCACGAGGATTGTAATCAACTTCTTCTAAATTCCTGTTAATGTTGATATTTTGACCTCCTCTCATATATCATGAATGTTATTATGGCATGTAAAATGGTGAATCCTTTCCAGAAGGTTTCCAATTGACTTTGCCAAGATTCATCAGAAGAATCATTATGTATAGAGACAGCTATAGCATTACAACATGTGTTTCTTAAATATTAAGACTTGCAAGTTGAAATTACTTTTTGATCCATGGGCTGCAGAATGGACGTTGTGTTAGCAGGCATGGAAATAATGCTAATCACCTTGTACATCTCCATCAGAGCTCCTGGATGACTAGGTGCACTGTCAATGAACAGTAATATTTTGAAAGGAATCTTTTTTTCTGAGGAGTATGTCTCAACAGTGGGTTTAAAATACTCAGTAAACCATGTTGTAAACAGATGTTCTATGATCTGGGCTTTATTTTACTTATACAGCATAGGCAGAGTAGACTTAGAATAATTCTTAAGGGCCCTAGGATTTTCAGAATGGTGAATGAGTATTGGCTTCAAGGGAAAGTCACCTGCTGCCTTAGCTTCTAACAAGAGACTCAGCCTGTTCTGTGGAGCTTTGAAACCAGGCATTGACTTCTCCTCTCTAGCTATGACAGTTCTAGATGGCATCTTCTTCCAATAAAAGGCCGTTTAGTCTACACTGTAAAACTGTTGTTTAGTGTAGCCATCTTCATCTAGGATCTTGGCTAGATCTTCTGGACAACCTTCTGCAGCTTTTACATCAGCATTTGCAGCTTCGCCTTGCACTTTAATGTTATGAGACAGCTTCTTTCCTTCAACCTCAGGAACCAACATCAGCTAGCCACAAACTTTTCTTATGCAGCTTCTCACATCTTTCAGCCTTCATAGAATTGAGGAGAGTTTAGGCCTCACTCTGGATTAAGGCTTGGCTTAAGGGAATGTTGTGGCTGGTTGGATCTTCTATCCAGACCACTCATACTTTCTCCATATCAGCGATAAGACTGTTCTACTTTCTTATTATTCGTATGTTCACTGGAGTAGCACTTCATAACTTGGCTGATTGTTTGCTGCAACAGGCCTAGTTTTCAGCCTCTCAGCTTTTGACATGGCTTCCTAACTAAGCCTCACCATTTCTAGCTTTTTATTTAAAGTGAGACACATGTGACGCTTCCTTTAACTTGAGCCCTTAGAGGCCATTGTAGGATTATTAATTGACTTAATTTCCATATTTTTTTGTCTCAGGAAAGAGGAAAGTCAAAGAGAGGGAGAGAGACAGGGGAACAGCTGGTCAGTGAAGCAGTTGAAACACACACAACATTTATTAGGTTTGCCATCTTATACGAACACAGTGTGTGGTGCCATAGACAGTTAGAATAGTAACATCAAAGATCATTGTTACCACTGTTCATACTACCATAACAGGAAGAAGAATAATAATAAAATTTGAAATATTGCGAGAATTACCAAAATGTGACAGAGACACAAAGTGAGCACATGCTGTTGGAAAAAGGGCACCAACAGACTTTTTTTGACACAGGGTTGTCACAAACATTTAATTTGTAAAACTCACAATATCCTCAAAGTACAATAAAGTGAAGTGCAATCAAACGAGATGTGCCTATACCACAAAGAAACGTAAAAGAATAACATCAAATATGACAACACACGTAGTCAACCCTTAGTATATATCATATATAAGTATTCCTGTTGTCCTAAAGCATGGGGAAAAAAAGACAACACACTGGCAAAATATAAGTTCCAGGCACTCGTAGGAGAAGAAACAAAAATGGCCAATAACAAATGAAGAATGCTCAACTGCACCAAAAATGAAAGCAATGTAAGTTAAAACAGGAATGAAATAAAACTTTTTTTTACAGTTAAGTTGGCAAGATATTAAATGTTTATAATATCCAGTGCATGTTATATTGATTTAAAAAGAAATGTAACAGTTTAAATGTATTCATTTAGATATATCACATAATTCTAAATGTGCTAACAAAGCATAGAAAAAAATATAGAAATATGTACAGCAAAGTTTACAGGGAACAAGTATTTTAAAATCAGAAAAAAAAAGCATAAAGGTGTAAGTAATTTGAAAAAATATAAATTGTTAGTTTAGAAGATTGAATATAACCGTATAGGGTGAAATTTTTTTTTTGTCTTACAAAAGGTATTGCTGCTGTAATAAATTACCATAAATTTAGTGACAAAAAAATCACAGATTTGTGGTCTCATAATTCTGAGGGTTGGAAATCTGACATGCACCTAACAGGGCTAAAATCAATCAAGGTGTCTGCAGGGCTTTGCTCCTTTCTGGAGGCCACAGAGGAGCCTTTTCCAGCTTCGGAAGGCTGCCCACATTCTTTAGTTGATGGACCCCTGCATCCATCTCCACATCCAGCTCTATTCTCTCTGACCATTCTTCCATAGTCACACATCCCTCTCTCGACAGAAGGATATGTTCTCTGACTTTAGTGGCCCATGTGATCTTATCTCAAGATCCTTAACTTAATTACATCTTCAAAGTCCCTTCTGCCATGTAAAGTAACAGATTATAGGTTCTAGGAGATAGGACATGGAAATCTTTGTTTCTCTTGGTACAAAACCCTCAAGAGTCTTATGGATCTCCTGCATATATCATGGGGATTTCTGATTTCCTCCATTAGACATGAAGCTTCCCTACAGATCTTTCCTAGGAATTCACACATCTATTTTTTTTTTTTTTTATACTTTAAGTTCAAGGATATATGTGCAGGTTTGTTACAAAGCTAAACATGTGTCATGGGTGTTTGTTATACAGATTATTTCATCATCCAGGTATTAAGCCTCATACTTATTAGTTATTTTTCCTGATCCTCTCCCTCCTCCAACCCTTCACCTTCTGAACCTTCTGATAGGCTTCAGTGTGTGTTGTTCTCCTCTAGGTGTTCATGTGTTCTCATCATTTCGTTACCACTTATAAGTGAGAACATGTGGTGTTCAGTTTTCTGTTCCTGCATTAGTTTGCTAAGGATAATACTCTCCAGCTCCATCCATGTCCCTGCAAAGCACATGATCTTATTCTTTTTTTATGGCTGCACAGTACTCCATGGTGTACATGAACCACATTTTCTTTATCCAGTCTATCATTGCTGGACATTTAGGTTGATTCCATGTCTTTGCTACTGTGAACAGTGCTGAGATAAGCATACATGTGCATATGTCTTTATAATAGAATGATTTATATTCCTTTGGGTATATACTCAGTAATAGGATTGCTGGGTCAAATGGTATTTCTGTCTTTAGGTCTTTGAGGAATTGCCACACTGTCTTCCACAATAGTTGAACTAGTTTACACTCCCAGCAACAGTGTGTATAAGCATTCCTTTTTCTCCACAACCTCGTCAGTATCTGTTGTTTTTAGACCTTTTAATAATAGTCATTCTGACTGGTGTGAGATGGTATCTCATTTTGGTTTTGATTTGCATTTCTCTAATCATCAGTGATGTTGAGCTTTGTTTCATATGATTGCTGGCTGCATGTATGTCTTCTCTTGAAAAGTTATCTGTTGATATCCTTTGCCCACTTTTTAATGGGGCTGTTTGTTTTTCTTGTAAATTTGTTTAAGTACCTTACAGATGCTGGATGTTAGATCTTTGTCAGATGCATAGTTTGCAAAAATTTTCTCCCATTCTGTAAGTTGTCTGTTTACTCTGATGATAGCTTCTTTTGCTGTGCAGAAACTCTTTAGTTTAATTAGATCCCATTTTTCAATTTTTGCTTTTATTGCAATTGCTTTTGGCATCTTTGTCATGAACTCTTTGCCCATGCCTATGTCCTGAATGGTATTGCCTAGGTCATCTTCCAGGGTTTTTATAGTTTTGGGTTTTACATTTAATTCTTTAATCTGTCTTGAGATAATTTTTGTATATGGTGTAAGGAAGGGGTCCAGTTTCAATTTTCTGTATATGGCTAGCTGATTATCCCAGTACCATTTACTGAATAAGGAATCCTTTTCCCATTGCTTGTTTTTGTCAGGTTTGTCAAAGATCAGTTAGTTGTAGGTGTTTGGTCTTATTTCTGGGTTCTCTTTTCTGTTCCACTGGGCTATGTGTCTGTTCTTGTACCAGTACCATCTTGATTTGGTTACTGTATTAGTCTGTTTTCATACTGTTGATAAAGACACACCCAAGACTGGGTAATTTATACAGGAAAAAGAGTTTAATGGACTTACAGTTCCATGTGGCTGGGGAAGCCTCACAATCATGGTGGAAGACAAGGAGGAGCAAGTCACGTCTTACATGGATGATGGCAGGCAAAGAGAGAGAGCTTGTGCAGGGAAACTCCCCCTTATAAAACTATTAGATCTCATGAAGACATATTCACTATTATGAGAATAGCACAGGAAAAACCGGCCCCTATGATTCAATTACCTGCCACTGGGTCCCTCCCACAATACTTGGGAATTGTGGGAGATACAATTCAAGATGAGATTTGAGTGGGGACACAGCCAAACCATATCAGTTAATGTAGCCCTGTAGTATGGCTTGAAATTGGGTAGCATGATATCTCCAGCTTTGTTCTTTTTGCTTAGGATTGCCTTTGCTATTCAGGCTCTTTTTTGGTTCCATGTGAATTCTAAAATCGTATTTTCTAGTTATGTGAGGAATGTCAATGGTAGCTTAATGGCAATAGCATTGAATTTATAAATTGCTTTGGGCAGTATGACCATTTTAAAATGATATTGATTCTTCCTATCCATGAACATGGAATGTTTTTCCATTTGTTTGTGTCATCTGTCATTTCTTTGAACAGTGGTTTTTAGTTCTCCTTGTAGAGATCTTTCACCTCCCTAATTAGCTGTATTCCTAGGTATTTTATTCTTTTTGTAGCAACGCACATCTATTTTTGACTTCTGCTGAGATGGCTGAGGGACTTATGAGTCACATGCTACGTCTCTTCAAATAACTTTTTTTGTGAATGTATAATCTGACCTTTCACTACTTCCCAGGGAACTGGCAAAAAGTCTTTGTTGTTTCTACCAAGCACACGTCCCTGACAGTGAATCTCCTCATTTTATCATGTTTTTTGACCTGGATAGGCTGGGAATTTTCTAAATCATCAAGACTTGATTCTTTTTCGTTTAGCAGCTCTTCCTTCAATATACCTCTTCCCTCTTGCATTTTACTATAATTAGCAAAAGACACCACAACACACCATGATCACTGTGTTTGGAAATCTCCTTAGCTATAGATCCAGAAAGTTCTGCTTTTCACATGAGTACAGGACAGACCACTATATAATAAGGAGGCCCTTTCCACATCTTTCTTATGTCCTTCTGAGTGCTCACCAGTAACACAGTTAACCTCCATATTTTTACTAACAGTCTGCTCATGATGATCCAGGTTTTCTCTAACGCAATATAGGCTTTCTCTCCCATGTTCTTCACTTCCTTCTCAGTCCTCACTAGCACAGTCTTTAGCATCCATGTTTCTACTAAGGACTACTCAAGGCAATATAGGCTTTTCCGATCATAATCTAAAATTCTTCCAGCCTCTGTCCATTGCCCAATCCCAAAGGCATGCCAACACTTTCAGGAATATGTTAATAGCCACACCCTACTTCTAAGTACCAAAATCTGTATTACTCTTAATTGCTGCCATAACAAATTACCACCAATTTAGTGGTTTAAAACAACACAAATGTATTTTCTTCCAGTTATGTCAGTGAGAAGTGTGACATGGGTCTCACTGGCTAAAGTAATTCCTTTCTGGGAGCTGGAAAGGACAAGCTATTTCCTTGTCTTTTCAGCTCCTAGAGGTCACCCATATTCCTTGGTCCCTTCTTCCATCTTCAAAGCCTGCAACATGACATATTTCTGATGATTCTTCCATAGTCACATCTTCCTTTCTCCACAGCCAGGAAAAGTTTTCCACTCTTTAAGGCCTACAAGATTAGATTGTGCCCACCCCATAACCCAGGATCATCTCCCCATTTCAAGGTCTCTAGCTTAATTGTATCTGTAAAGTCCCTTTTGTCATGTAAGATAGCAGATTACAGGTCCAGGGATTAGGAGGTAGACATCTTAGGGAGGTCATCCTTCTGTCTACCACAGTATTACAAATAATAACAGAAATAGTAACAATGACAAAATTAAAACTCTGGCATTAAAAACGTATTTGTAATACCAAAAGCAAATAAATTCTTATTTATTCTTACTTCTTTTCCTCTTGGGTTTTCCCAAAGTGGAGTTGTTTGCAATATCCACAGTATCTGGAAAATAACAAGTGGTGGTGAGGAAACAGAAATTAATAAATAAAAGTTATAGATTTTAGGACAATGTATACTACAGAAGGCTTGAGTTTATACAGATGCTTGGATAATCATTCCTCTCTTTCTTCTAGGGGAACCAAAAACCCACCGAACTGAGAACTAGGAGTCTAGGATGGGCCCTGGGTCTTCTATCAAAAATACGTGTTGGGCTAAGAAGAGTAGACCTGCAGTCTTTCCTCCTGACAATTAAGTACCGGGATTAGTTGTCTTTTGAGTGTGGCCTTTCTAAGTTGTAGCAAAGTGACACTATTATCTACCAGCAGAAGTTCACTGGGGTATCCTGGGCTTCATGGAAGATTGGGTGTAACTTAATATACTAATGCAATACACAAGATAAGTGCCATTGCAAAGAGTATACTTCTATGACATCATCTATGTCTAATCAACAGAGTCCATCCTCTTAAATAGTACTTTATAACGATCTCTTGCCTCCCTGCAGCTCCCCAAAGGCTCAGGTCAAGCAAATGCGGAGAATAGAATTCTGGACAGACTGGAGCACCTACCTCCACCCTACTGGGGGTCTGTGGGGCCCACTGAGCCACCCCCATCCCACGGCCCTCAGACAGCCTTACCCATTGTGCCACACGCTTGATCACTTTCCGTCCTTGCTTCTGGGCTTCCTGGCACCTCTTCTGAGAAACACATGACACAGGAACACTTCTCATTTTCATATGCTGATTGCTCCGCTCCTGGGCCAAAATTGTGATTCATGAAGACTTTCAGTTTGACCCAGTGACTCTATTTTCTGCACCCTTGTTGCTCCCCCTTCTTTACTTTTTCCTCTGAAATCTTCTCCTTTCACTGCTCCTCCTTATATTTGACTCTTCCTTTAAGTCTATTTTTTCTCCTCCTTTTTCTCTTTATCAGAACTCTGTTTCTGTTTTCACTATTTTTAAGTCATAATTACCTGGTACATTATCATATAGCAGGCTAGAAGCAAGCTCTTCTGATTCTCCTTCTTCATTCATTGGGTGATTTTCTAGTTCACTAGACACTAATGAGAAACAAGAAAATTATTGTCCAAGGATCCTGAGACAATGACCACAGAAGAGTTTCCAGTGCTGCTATACTGCACACTGATATTCTGAGCTAAGATGAACTGTTCTCTGGAAAAAAATATACCTGCTCCAATAATCACATTTGACACATAACAGAGCCACGCTCTCCCCATGTTATGCACCTCATCCTCCTTTTCTCTACTTTTATTTTTGTACTTGTAGTCCTGAGAATAAAGCAAGGAAACTCTTATCATTCCAGAAAATACTACTGTTCTTTGACAATAGTGAAAAGCAACTATTTAAACTCATCCCAATTGGCCACTGACTACTTATATCCCCAGTCACATTTCTGAAAGCGAGCCCATTACTGGCAGTTCTACATATCTGAAGCCCAGCCAGTCAGCAACACCCCCTCCACAAAGCCTGCATTGATGGCCAAATGCTAAATTACTCATAAACACTCCTGTTTCTGAAGGTCTGGAGTCCCTACACAATATGCTTCCTAAAACTCTCTATAAAACTGCAGTTTCCTTTTCTATAGAGACTGTGTCTTACAAGCACAGGGCCTCCTCCCACTAGGTGCCTTGCTTAGCTAGGAATAAATCAGCTTTTAGTTTCAGATTATGAGTAGTAGCCTAGCCCTTCAAAAATTGGAGTTCCTGCCGAGATTATCTTGAAGATTCTTGCTGGGGAGTGTCCTGTGGGACCCTTGGAACCACAGGCATGAATCTCAGGCCACTGTGTCCAGCTCAGGTCATTTTTCTGACCTACTGCCAAGTGAATCTTTCTCAACAACAACTCGAACTCTGACTTGTTTCACTGAGCTCCTAGTTCTGAATTTATCTTATTTAAACATGGGTATACAATTAGATACAATTAGATATTTTCAGTTGGAAGTACACCACTTAGCAAACATTTTCTCAATTAATGTGCTTATTTACTTATTTACTTGTTTCACTACTTCATCTACTGTTACCTTTCTTTTGTCTTTTTTTTTTTTTTTAGACAGAGTTTCACTCTTGTCGCCCAGGCTGGAGTGCAACCGCGTAATCTCGGCTCACTGCAACCTCCGCCTCCTGGGTTCAAGAGATTCTCCTGTCTCAGCCTCCCAAAGTAGCTGGGATTACAGGTGCCTGCCACCACGCCTGGCTAATTTTTGTAATTTTAGTAGAGAGGGGATTTCTCCATGTTGGCCAGGCTGGTCTCGAACTCCTGACCTCAGGTGATCCACTCATCTCGGCCTCCCAAAGTGCTGGGATTATAGGCATGAGCCACCACACCCGGCCTCTTCTGTCTATTTTTAAAAAGTCTTATCTCTGCCAGGCATGGTGGCTTATGCCTGTTAATAGGTCATATTACAGGCAGATGGCTTGAGCTCAGGAATTCTAGACTATCCTGGGCAACATAGCAAAACCCCACCAAAAAAACAAAAAGTCTTATTTCATGTGTGCTTGTTCCTGATTTTCCTGTGCTTTCTGAATGTTAGAAGACAGTGATCCAAAGCAAACAGCTGGTGGTCAAGGTCTGATAAGTCCTCAATTCAAGCCAGCCCCTAAAACTAATGGATGTGGGTCCATTAGACAGTAGCCAAACTGTGCAAAGATGTTCGGTCACATTTTTTCTTGGGTCCCTCATCAAAACCTTCATGAGGGCACCTAGTGTCTTGTCAATTTGTGAAAGAAAATCATTTTGTTTAGTATGTAATCTGGAGTCAACTACAATCATGTAATTAATCATATGTCCCCTTTTCAGTTTCTGCTTCATTCATGTGGAACACACCATTCACACTTATACTGAAATATAGTGGCCTCTTTGCTGTTTGTCACGGGATTGTCTTTGCCAAAGCCATAATCTCCCCGACAAAATGTTCACTTCCTCTGTATACTTTCATCATGATTCTAACTCTTGTACTTTTCTTAATAACTGGCAAAATTTTCCCTAAAATGACTCTGGCTTGCAATGGGGAGGTTTTGTCATGTCCAAAGTAAGTAACACATTTGACAAGTAGGTCTATAAAAGAAGAGAAAAAAATCACTGAATGTTTCCACATCTCAACCAGTAATCTATTACTTTCAGACCATTATCTGAGGAACACTGTTTTCAACAAAACCTCTATAAATGTAATAGGTAGGGATCTATTCTGCAAATAGAACTACCAGATTAAAGGTTCAGAAGAAGGACTAATTTTAGAAGTCCTGGAAAATTCTCTGACACATGATCTATGTATAGTTGACCTGACCATTAGTATACCTACACTACGGATGATTTGAGGTCTGCAAGCAATAAACAAAATAGGTATACCTCACTTCCCTGTACCTCCTAACCAGATTACTACAATCTCTTCAGTCTCACCTAAAGCCAAAATTTTTAATATATTTATGTTCAGCTTTGTTTAATGTCTCACTTGATAAAGATAAATATTATTTGCTTGGGAAAATCAGTGGCTTATCTGGACAGTTATTTTCTAGGAATTTCCTTGACGATAGGCAGAATTCTAAGATGGCCCCCAAATATTTCTTTCCCTAATCCTGAGGACTGTGAACATAATGAGATATTACTTCCATAATTACCTTATGTGATATGGCAGAGCTGTCCTTAAGAGAGACTAATAGAGTGGATCTGGTTTAACCTTATGAGCCTTTTAAGAGCAGGGAGTTTTCTCTAGCCAGCAGCAGAAGAGGAAGTCAGAGATTCAAAGTGTGAGAAGGATTCCACACAAGATTGCTGGCTTCAAGATGGAGGGGCAATGTATTAAGGAATATGATTGGCTTCCAGGAGCTGAGAGTGGTCCGTGACCAACAACCAGCAACAAAGCTGTGACCTCGGTTCAACAACCACGAGGAACTGGATTATGTCAACAACCTGGGTGAGCTCGATTGCAAGATTCTCAGAGCCTTCAGCCAAGACTTCAGCTGGGCTGACATCTTAATTTCAGCCTAAGGAGACTCTAAGCAGAGAACTAAGTTGAGCCCACCCACACTTCTGCTGGCAGGACTGTGAGATAACAAGTGGGTATTGTAGTAAGCCATTACATTTGTGGTTATTTGTCATGCAGCAATGAAAAACGAACACAACCATCTTCTTCCAAGTTTTAAATACGGCCTAAGGGATACAAAGCTCATACCTGCATCTTCTCTGATCTGATGCATAGGTCACCTCTATTATACTCTATAGATCTAGACATTTCTTAATCTATTCATTGAGTTGGGCAAAAATGGACATAAAACTTCTAAGGAAAAACTCCAAGTTTGTAAAACAAACAAAATGAAACAAAACAAAAACTAGGCTATTTTCTCAGACATAATCTATTGGCTGAGGAAATAATATTATATAAAGAAATGTTACAATGTCTTCAGAGTTTCCCAAGACCAATGACTGAAGGAAAGATAAGAGGATTTCTAGGATTAACTGAGTCTTGAAGACAATGGGGGTCAATCTTTTCTGAAATACCAGGCCTCCCTACATTTGACCCAAATATCTTGGGGCCATTCTCATGGAACACAGAAATGGAACAGATCTTCACGATTTTAAAATACTCCTTCATCAGTCACCCACACTGAATCTTCTATTATCACATTATCAGGAGACAGGTCTCCTGTCTCCCTTTCTCCTTTATCATAATCCTTTTCTTTTATACGTACATAAAAAATAGGCCATGGTTCGTGACCAGCCTAGGCAACATGACCCTCTGAAGGAAGCAGATTGCACCTGCAGGACCCAGGAGACCGCCCCCCCCCGTAAAACTGAGAGTGCCCCAACTGCAGAAGTGGGAAAAGGAGACCCTCCTCTCCCGAACACACACCCCCACTGGAGAAGCTGAAGGTCTGTTTGTGGGAGAAGTTTCCGACTTTACCTGGAGCTGAGTCAATCTGAAGAGATGAGGGAAATACAGGTGTAGGGGGAAGCAGCGGAAAGGGCCTGGGAGGTGGCTGGGTCCCCTAGAAGGCCATTCCTGCCTGGCACCACAGGGACCCAATGGGAGAGGAGCAGGGGGTAAAACTACACAGGGAGAAGCCAATCTCTAGCTGAACTTTGTAACAATTTGAACAGGGTGAGACGCCTCCTGGACAGAACTCTTGTGAGGGCGCAAATCCGGTGTGCAGACTCCACAGGTGGGGAAGAACCAAGCCTTTTTCTTCTGCAGCTGGGAGGCAGATAGCCTGGGGCAGGTTTTCAAGCCTGGAAATGGTCTGGGGGCTGTTGGGGCGGGGCATGGTGGGAGTGAGTCTGGCCCTTTGGTTTGCATGGGAGCTGGGTGAGACCTGTGACTGCCAGCTTTCCCCCATTTCCCTGACAACCTGCATGACTCAGCAGAGGCAGCCATAATCCTCCCAGGTACACAACTCCAGTGACATGGGAATCTCACCCCCATCCCCCACAGCAGCTGCAGCAAGACATGTCCAACGAGAGTCTTAGCTCAGACATGCCTAGCCCCTCCCCCACCTGACGGCTCTTCCTTATCCACCCTGGCAGCTGAAGACAAAGGGCATATAACCTTAGGAATTCTAGGGCTGGCCCATCACCGGTTCCTCCCCATAATACCACAGCTGATGCTCTCTGGAAAGTGCCACCTCCTGGCAAGAGGCCAACCAGCACAAAAATAGAACATTAAACCACCAAAGGACCCCCATGGAGTCCATTGCACCCCCTTCACCTCCAGCAGAACAGGCACTGGTATCCACAGCTGAGAGACCCATAGATGGTTCACATCACAGGACTCTGTGCAGACAACCCCGAGTACCAGCCTGGAGCCTGGTAGACTCACTGGGTCACTAGACCCAGAAAAGAGACAACAATTACTGCAGTTTGGCTCACAGGAAGCCACATCCATAGAAAAAGGAGGAGAATAGTACATCAAGGGAACATCCTATGGGACAAAAGAATCTGAACAACAACCTTCAGCCCTAGACCCTCCCTCTGACAGAGCCTACCCAAATGAGAAGGAACCAGAAAACCAACCCTGGTAATATGACAAAACAAGGCTCTTTAACACACCCCAAAAATCACACTAGTTCACCAGCAATGGATCCGAACCAAGAAGAAATCCCTGATTTACCCAAAAAAGAATTCAGGAGGGTAGTTATTAAGCTAATCAGGGAGGGACCAGAGAAAGGCAAAGCCCAATGCAAGGAAATCCAAAATATGATACAAGAAGTGAAGGGAGAAATATTCAAGCAAATAGATAGCTTAAAGAAAATCAATAAAAAATTCAGGAAACTTTGGACACACTTTTAGAAATGTGAAATGCTCTGGAAAACCTCAGCAATAGAATTGAAAAAGTAGAAGAAAGAAATTCAGAGCTCAAAGACAAGGTCTTTGAATTAACCCAATCCAACAAAGATAAAGTAAAAAGAATAAGAAAATATGAACAAAGCCTCCAAGAAGTCTGGGATTATGTTAAATGACCAAACCTAAGAATAATCGGTGTTCCTGAGGAAGAAGAGAATTCTAAAAGCTTGGAAAACATATTTGGGGGAATAATCAAAGAAAACTTCCCTGGCCTTGCTAGAGACCTAGACATCCAAATACAAGAAGCACAAAGAACACCAGGGAAATTCATCATAAAAAGATCTTCGCCTAGGCACATTGTCATCAGGTTAACCAAATTTAAGACGAAGGAAAGAATCTTTAGAGCTGTGAGACAGAAGCACCAGGTAACCTCCAAAGGAGAACCTATCAGATTAACAGCAGATTTCTTGGCAGAAACCATATAAGACAGGAGGGACTGGGGCCCTATCTTCAGCCTCTTCAAACAAAACAATTATCAGACAAGACTTCTGTATCCAGCAAAACTAAGCATCATATACGAAGGAAAGATACAGTCTTTTTCAGACAAACAAATGCTGAGAGAATTCGCCATTACCAAGCCACCACTACAAGAACTGCTAAAAGGAGCTCTCAATATTGAAACAAATCCTAGAAACACATCAAAACGGAACCTCTTTAAAGCATAAATCACACAGGACCTATAAAACAAAAATAAAATACAAGTTAAAAAATAAAAACAAAAAGTACACAGGCAACAAAAAGCACAATGAATGCAATGGTACCTCACATTTTAATACTAACATTGAATGTAAATGGCCTAAATGCTCCACTTAAAAGATACAGAACCACAGAACCGATAAGAACTCACCAACCATCTGCTGCCTTCAGGAGACTCACCTAGCACATAAGGACTCGCATAAACTTAAAGTAAAGGGGTGGAAACAGGCATTTCTTGCAAAAGGACACCAAAAGCAAGCAGGGGTAGCTATTCTTATATTAGACAAAACAAACTTTAAGGCAACAGCAGTTAAAAGAGACACAGAGGGACATTATACAACGGTAAAAAGCCTTGTCCAACAGGAAAATACGACAATTCTAAACATATATGCACCTAACATTGGGGCTCCCAAATTTATAAAATAATTACTAATAGACCTAAGAAATGAGATAGACAGCAACACAATAATAGTGGAGAACTTCAATACTCCACTGACAGCACTAGACAGGTCATCAAGAAAGAAAGTCAACAATGAAACAATGGGTTTAAACTATACCTTGGAACAAATGGATTTAACAGATATATATAGAACATTTCATCCAACAACCACAGAATATACATTCTATTTAACAGTGCATGGAACTTTCTCCAAGATAGACCATATGATAGGCCATAAAACGAGCCTCAATAAATTTAAGAAAATTGGAATTATATCAAGCACTCTCTCAGACCACAGTAGAATAAGACTGGAAATCAACTCCAAAAGGCACCTCCAAAACCATGCAAATACATGAAAATTAAATAACCTGCTCCTGAATGAGCATTGGGTCAAAAACGAAATCAAGATGGAAATTAAAAAATTATTCAAGCTGAATGACAGTAATTCTTCAAACTGAATGACAATCAAAACCTCTGGGATAGAGCAAAGGCGGTGCTAAGAGGAAAGTTCATGGCCCTGAACACCTACATCAGAAAGACTGAAAGAGCACAAACTGACAATCTAAGGTCACATCTGAAGGAACTAGAGAAACAAGAACAAACCAAAACCAAACCCAAACCCAGCAGAAGAAAGGAAATAACAAAGATCAGAGCAGAACTAAATGAAATTGAAATAAAAAAAATACAAACGATAAATGAAACAAAAGCTGGTTCTTCGAAAAGGTAAATAAAATGGATAGACCATTGGCAAGATTAACCAAGAGGAGAGAAAACCCGAATAACGTCACTGAGAAATGAAACAGGAAATACTACAACTGACACCAGTGAAATACAAAAGATCATTCAAGGTTACTATGAATACCTTTATGTACATAAACTAGAAAACATAGAAGAGATGGATAAATTCCTGCAAAAATACAACCCTCCTAGTGTAAATCAGGAAGAATTAGATACCTTGAACAGACCAGTAACAAGCAGCAAGACTGAAATGGTAATTTAAACATTACCAACAAAAAAAAGTTCAGGATCAGACGGATTCACAGCAGAATGCTACCAGACAGTCAAAGAATTGGTACCAATCCTTTTGACACTATTCCACAAGATAGAGAAAGAAGGAACCCTCCCTAATTCATTCTGTGAAGCCAGCATCACCCTAATACCAACACCAGGAAAGGACATAGCCAAAAAAGAAAACTACAGACTGGTATCCTTGATGAACATAGATGCTAAAATCCTTAACAAAATACTTGCCAACTGAATCCAACAACATATCAAAAAGATAATCCACGACGATGAAGTAGGTTTCATACCAGGGATGCAGGGATGGCTTAACATATGCAAGTCAATAAATATGATACACCACATAAACAGAATTAAAAACAAAAATCACATGATCATTTCAATAGATGCAGAAAAAGCATTCAACAAAATCCAGCATCTCCTTATGATTAAAACTCTCAGCAAAATCAGCATACAAGAGACATACCTTAAGGTAATAAAAGCCACCTATGACAAACCCATAGCCAACATAATACTGAATGGGGAAATGTTGAAAGCTTTCCCTCTGAGAACTGAAACAAGACAAGGATGCCCACTCTCGCCACTCCTCTTCAACATAGTACTGGAAGTCCTAGCCAGAGCAATCAGACAAGAGAAAGAAATAAAGAGCATCCAAATTGGTAAATAGGAAGTCAAATTCTCACTGTTTGCTGATGATATGACTGTATACCTTGAAAACCCTAAGGACTCCCCCAGAAAGCTCCTAGAACTGATAAAAGAATTCAGCAAACTTTCTGGATACACGATTAATGTACACAAATCAGTAGCTTTTCTATATACCAACAGTGACCAAGCAGAGAATCAAATCAAGAACTCAACCCCTTTTACAATAGCTGCAAAACAACAACAACAACAACAACAAAAACTTAGGAATATACCTAACCAGGGAGTCGAAAGACCTCTACAAGGAAAACTACAAAACATTGCTGAAAGAAATCATAGACAACCTGAACAAATGAAAATACATCCCATGCTTCATGGATGGGTAGAATCAATATTGTGAAAATGATCATACCGCCAAAAGCAATCACAAATTCAATGCAATCCCCATCAAAATACCACCATCTTCTTCACAGAATTAGAAAAAACACCTCTAAAATTCATATGGAACCAAAAAGGAGCCCACAAAGCCAAAGCAAGACTAAGCAAAAAGAACAAATCTGGAGGCATCACACGACATGATTTCAAACTATACTATAAGGCCATAGTCACCAAAACAGAGTGGTACTGGTACAAAAATAGACGTAGACCAATGAAACAGAACAGAGAACCCAGAAGTAAACCCAAATACTTACAGCCAACTGATCTTTGACAAAGCAAACAAACCATAAAGTGGGGAAAGGACACCCTATTCAACAAATGGTGCTGGGATAATTGGCAAGCCACATGTAGGAGAATGAAACTGGATCCTCATCTCTCACCTTATACAAAAATCAACTCAAGATGGATCAAGGACTTAAATCTAAGGCCTGAAACTATAAAAATTCTGGAAGATAACATCAGAAAAACCCTTCTAAACATTGGCTTAGGCAAGGCCTTCATGACCAAGAACCCAAAAGCAAATGAAAGAAAAACAAAGATAAATAGCTGGGACTTAATTAAACCTAAGAGCTTTTGCACAGCAAAAGGAACAGTCAGCAGAGTAAACAGACAACCCACAGAGTGGGAGAAAATCTTCACAATCTATACATCTGACAAAAGACTAATATCCATAATCTACAATGAACTTAAACAAATCAGTAAGAAAAAAACAAACAATCCCATCAAAAAGTGGGCTAAGGACATGAATAGACAGTTCGTAAAAGAAGATATACAAATGGCCAATGAACATATGAAAAAATTGCTCAACATCACCAATGATCAGGGAAATGCAAATCAAAACCACAATGCGATACCACCTCACTCCTTAAGAATGGCCATAATCAAAAAATCAAAAACAGTAGATGCTGGCATGGATGCAGTGAATAGGGAACACTTCTACACTGCTGATGGGAATGTAAACTAGTACAGCTGCTATGGAAAACAGTGTAGAGATTCCTTAAAGAACTAAAAATAGAACTACCATTTGATCCAGCAATCCCACTACTGGGTATCTATCCAGAGGAAAAGAAGTCATTATTCGAAAAAGATACTTGCACATGCATGTTTATAGCAGTACAATTCACAATTGCAAAATTGTGGAACCAACCCAAATGCCCACCAATTAACAAGTGGATAAAGAAACTGTGGTATATATGTATGTATGTGGTATATATATATATATATATATATATGATGGAATACTACGCAGCCATAAAAAGGAATGAATTAACAGCATTTGCAGTGACCTGGATGAGATTGGAGACTATTTTTTTTTTTGAGATGGAGTCTCGTTCTGTCACCCAGGCTGGAGTGCAGTGGTGTGATCTCAGCTCATTACCACCTCCACCTCCCGGGTTCAAGCAATTCTCCTGCCTCAGCCCCTGCTAGTAGCTGGGATTACAGGCACACACTACCATGCCTGACTAATTTTTGTATTTTTTTTTTTTTAGCGGAGGCGGGGTTTTGCCATGTTGGCCAGGTTGGTCTCAAACTCCTGACCTCAGGTGATCCATCCATCTCAGCCTCCCAAAGTGCTGGGACTACAGGCGTGAGCCACCGTGCCCGGCTTGGAGACTATCATCCTAAGTGAAGTAACTCAGGAAAGGAAAACCAAACACTGTATGTTCTCACTGATACGTGGGAGCTAAGCTATGAGGACGCAAAGGTGTAAGAATGATGCAATGGACTTTGGGGACTTGGAGGGAAGAGTGGGAGGGGTGCGAGGGATAGAAGACTACAAATATGGTGCAGCGTATACTGCTCAGGTGATGGGTGCACCAAAATCTCACAAATCACCACTAAAGAACTTACCCATGTAACCAGATACAACCTGTACCCCAATAACTTACGGAAAAATAAAAATAAATAAATAAATAAATAAACAAACAGGCCATGCTCTAGGGGTATCACTTCAAAACGTGACAGACATCAAAGAGCCATTGCTAGTAGCCACATCTCATCCTAGTTGCCTCAAAGCAATTGCAGGTGACTGCATTAGTCCATGGTTCTGGAGATTTTGTACTTGGATCAACTTTAACTCTGTTCCCGTTTAGAAAAAAAAAAAAGTGCAGCTTGCTGCACTCATTTAATTTTACGTAAACACATTCTTTGAGGCTGAAGCAAACATGATTGATTTTCAATGTGAAAATAAAATATATAAACTGTTCTTGGAGTTATTTCTAAACAGAACCATATCAGAATCATCTATTTTAAAAATATATGATTCATCAAATGAATCTTCGGCCAACAATTGTTCAGTAACAATGTTAACAGCACATGTGGGAAAGCCACGTTTTCCAGGATTTGACATTTTCAGTGATCAACAATTACTGTATTTTGTAAATGGAAATACCACTACTAAAACCAGAATGCTATAATTAGAAGAATGTCTTTTGTTTCCAAAGTCAATATATTAGAGTGATGTGAAAATAATAATAAAAGCAAGATATTTCATGGCAAATTTACTTGGGATAAACGCTGCAGCCACAAGGGTGGCTGGTGAGTATTCTTGGAGCAAAAGGGAATAAATAGGATAGTATTGCAAGCAGCACAATTCTGCTGCTAATTAAAAACTTTCAACAGTTGTCTGCCATTCCATTAACGTATTGTAAAACATCATTACTTTTTCTTATGTCATCCTTTGCAAGGATAACACTCTCAATCTAGCAACTCTATAACTCCTACTCAGTGAAGGGGAATCCTAGGATTTTGTTTCCAGGGTCCTCTTCCAGAAAAGACATCTTGGATGGGGAAAATACTTGATGGTGCCTCCTGCAGCTTTAGATGAGAGATTTCCTAAAGGGGAAACTGATAATTGAAAGTTGCTACACTTCTAGGAAAACTCATTATTGTTTGGCCATATGGTCAATAACAACCAGAATCATCCCAATTAATCAACAATAGCTTCTGGCCAGTACACAGGCCTCTGAAAGCCAGCCAACCATTGACTTCCCCATGCTTCTGAAAGTCAGACAGTCAGTAACAGCCACACTCCAGTGACCCTGCTTTCACTAAAGGTCAGCTAACCACTAACAAATCTCACTTTTGAAGGCCGCCAGTCACCGAGATCCACACTTCCACAAACGTTCTCTGTTCAGAGAAACTGACCCACAAGCACAACTATCCCTTAACTGAACAATAAATTCAGCCTTTCGTTTGATATTAAGTGGTGGCCCCTTATTTTTTCTTTTTTTCTTCTGAGATGGAATCTTGCTCTGTCACCAGGCTGGAGTGCAGTGATGTGATCTCAGCTGACTGCAACCTCCACATCCCGGGTTCAAGCAACTCTCTTGTTTCAGCCTCCCGAGTAGCTGGGACTACAGGTGTGCTCGACCACAACCAGCTAATTTTTGTATTTTTAGTAGAGATGGGGTTTTGCCATGTTGGCCCGGCTGGCCTTGAACTCCTGACCTCAAGTGATCCACCTGCCTTGGCCTCCCAAATTGCTGGGATTACAGGGGTGACCCACTGCACCCAGCCTAAGTGATAGCCCCTTCTACTAGTGATATCTTTTTATTACTCTATGACGGCATCTATGGTTCTTTTCGGCTTTCTGGACTTTCTCTTCTTAACATCTCCTCTCCCTTACTGTCTCTTCCTCCTTCAGTGATGTGCTACATATACTTTTCATATTGCCTCTCTGTTTCTCTTTTCTGGCTCTATTTTTCTGGATATCTCCTATCTCGTATCGTAGATTACATTCAAGTATTTTCCAACTCTTGATAATGTTTCCTTATCTCTCCCTAATCTTTCTTTATTTGTTAGATAAAAGTCTCTTTCCATTGAACCCTGGTAGAGTCTCTTGGATTCCTAAAAACCCTTTGGGCATCCACATTGGACTCAGACTATGAGACCCCACCCCAACCCATGCCCACCTCATAGAACTGAAAGCCTGTAAGGAGTCATCCAGGACACTGGTCTCTGCTCTTTCTTTTTTCTTGGGTCTTATCAAACACCCGTGTCACATGCATTTCTGTGTTTCTGGCTCCTTAAAACAGCAATAACAGCACCTTCCCTATCTAAGTCTTGAGGTTTTTGTGAGTAAAATTATAACACCTATCAGAGTACTCTGAAAAACCACTGCATGATCCAATGACATAATGGAAAGTACTGGTCAAAAATACCATTTAGTCTCACAAATAGTTGATCTAAGTTCTGCCAATTAGATGGTAGAATACCATTACACTGAAGGCTTTGTCAAGTTTGTGAAAAAATCATAAAAAAGTATCTACCAGCAGAGGAATGATACCCTTTTTTATTTCCATAGAGGGAGTGAGAATAGAAATTTTTTTTATTATACTTTAAGTTTTAGGGTACATGTGCACAACGTGCAGGTTTGTTACATATGTATACATGTGCTGTGTTGGTGTGCTGCACCCATTAACTCATCATTTACGTTAGGTATATCTCCTAATGCTATCCCTCCCCCCTCCCCCACCCCACAATAGGCCCTGGTGTGTGATATCCCCCTTCTTGTGTCCAAGTGTTCTCATTGTTCAATTCCCACCTATGAGTGAGAACATGCAGTGTTTGGTTTTTTGTCCTTGTGATAGTTTGCTGAGAATGATGGTTTCCAGCTTCATCCATGTCCCTACAAAGGACATGGACTCATCATTTTTTATGGCTGCATAGTATTCCATGGTGTATATGTGCCACATTTTCTTAATCCAGTCTATCATTGTTGGACATTTGGGTTGGTTCCAAGTCTTTGCTATTGTGAATAGTGCCACAATAAACATACGTGTGCATGTGTCTTTATAGCAGCATGATTTATAATCCTTTGGGTATATACCCAGTAATGGGATGGCTGAGTCAAATGGTATTTCTAGTTCTAGATCCCTGAGGAATCACCACACTGACTTCCACAATGGTTGAACTAGTTTACAGTCCCACCAACAGTGTAAAATTGTTCCTGAGAATAGAAATTTTATATAAATTCAAATAATAGTATTGATAGCTAGAAAAAATAAAGGCAAAAGAGCATTGCTTCTTCCTACCGTATTTCTGACCTTTATTTCTTCACCTATAAAATAGGATTACTCAGTTTGCCTGCCCCCATCTTAAGGTTTTGTGAGGGTATCGAGAGATCTTATTTGGTAAAATATTTTAATACTGTAGTATTGAAAGGCATGAGAATATAAAGGAGGGAACACATTGCCTTGCCTTGGCATATTTTGACTACCACTAGACTGCCTGAACACATATGTTCAAACAATAAATCCCATTCTGTTAAACATGGACTTCTGTATAAAGATTCCTCCCTGCATTTCACAAAAGATTCATGTACAGAAAATGTGAAAAATCTCAGGATTAATTAGATCCTTTCACTGTGAGGTATATGCAGAGGAAAGTCAATCAGGAAACACGAGCTCCAAATTCAACCTCCTGACACTCTGCAGCCCAGGGCCAGAAATCCCCCCCCCCGTCCTTACCTGACCCACGTCTTGCTAGGGAGCTAGAGGCTTCCTGGCGCTCTTCTCCATCACACATTTCCGAACAGTCATCACTGCCCTCTGCAGAAAGGAAGGAAATCCCTCAGAGGTCTCAGTATACAACCAACAAAAAATCATGAAGAGAAAACTTAGTGAAGATGTGGAAAGCTGAAGTATCTCTCAGGTAGGGCTGTCCCCCACCCAGGTCCTCCTGGTCTGCCCTGTGGGTTCACCTGGCCTGTAGGTGGACACACTCCAGTTGCTGCCACCAAGGCTGAGAACCATCCATCAGCTCACTTGCTGCCTGGACTCCTAATTCTCTCTCCTTCTCCCCCTCCCCCTTTCCACATTAGACTCAGGCCTCTGCCCTGCTTTCCTGCTGCCAGTGGCTCCAGGTGCTTCTCTTTGTTTCCATGCGTTTCTGCCCCCCTTCTCTGTTTCTATCCTTTTCTCTTGCACCCCTGACTCTGCTCTTTACTAGCTTTCCCCATCTTGTTTATTTCCTTGTCACCCCCTTTTTCATACTGGGTATCAGGAAAGGCATTCCTGGGATAGTGGAAATGAACCAGATAAGGAAGGGGATCAGGAGCAGAGTGGGCCAAGGCAACAACACATAGTACAGGGGAAGTGTGGCTCAAGGGCCCACATATAAAAGAAAGATCAGATCATTGCAGCTCCTGAAATGATTGATGCCATTAGTAGAGATGAGACAGATGATATGGGCTGGGGCCCCATGAAGGGTGGAAGCCACAGAAATCCACAGGAAGGATAACTCTTCTAATCCTGTGCAACAAAGATCACCACATCTAAGGGGAAAGGAAGATGATCTGATTGATATCTTGCAAATAACAATTGTGCTAAAGCAGAAAAAATGAGTCTGATGAGTAGAAGAGCAAACAGGACATTCATCCCTTTACTGAGACAGCAAACCCTGGAGAAAGAGGAGTTTCTAAGTTCAGGGGAGGTGCTGGTTTCCACTGTGAGGTGTTCAGTTCCTGAAAGACATTGCAATAAAGAAGGTCCCAAGATAAAAGTCTTCAGGCACACAGATGGAAGAGCTTGGAAGGGAGGCCTGCCTAACAGACAGATATTAAATGCTTGACAATGATTCCACTACCTGAGCAGATGAGGCTGCGGGGAGAGAAAGAATTCTTACCCTCTGAGTATGCTTCTGTGTCACTCTCTACCTAGAAGGACCTTAATCAGAAAACTCACTATTGATAGAGGTGCCGTTTGCTGGATGTTGCTGCTGTCTAGTAACTCTGACTTCAGCTCTACAGGCCCTCAACCCGCTCCTTTCCTCCGACATAGTTTGCACTCTTCATGGGTACTTTAATTATTTTGATCTCTTTCTCTGCATAGTTTAATCTGTGCTTCCTTCCAACATTGTTGTCATTTGTATTTGCCTCCATTTGTATAATTTTCTCTTAACTTTTCTCTCTGCCTCTTATTTCTTATCGAGATTATCCTCTTTCTACTTTGTCTTTCACTTTCTCCTTTTCTGTCTCTGTTTCTTTGGGTTTTACCTTAACCTCTTAGATGCCTGTAAAATGTCCACGATTTTATATATTTTCCTCACTCTCAAAGTTCTCTTCTCCCAGGTTGGAAAAGTTCTTCCGTTTACGCAGGGGCTGTAAAACTGCATACGCTTTGCTTGTCAGCTCCATCCCAAGGGTCTTCCACATGACTTTTCTCAATTGCAAGCATTCAATCATTCACAAAACTTACGTCTGTGTTCCTGATACTTCTGAAAGTAGGCTGAAAACAATCTCCCTGCCTCAATTACCATAACCTGCTGATATTTCGGTTTCATGTGTTTTTAATAACATCACCCAGGAACTTCTTCTCTGGTGCCCCCAGCCTACCTCTGGCATATTGTATCTCCCTACATGCTCCATGCAGGGAT
The DNA here is from genome assembly GCF_000001405.40 of Homo sapiens. Taxonomy (NCBI): domain Eukaryota; kingdom Metazoa; phylum Chordata; class Mammalia; order Primates; family Hominidae; genus Homo; species Homo sapiens. Next base: position 230,253,626 of record NC_000002.12, on the reverse strand, counting down.
ATGGTCTCCACTCAGGGGCTCACCTTAGCTTGATCCTTTGTCTCTCACAATTTACAAAAAAAGCCCAACAGAAAATTGACATAATTCCATCTGTATGTATGCGAATGTGAAGAAGAGAAGGGTAGGATGGGAGAAAGGGAAGCTTTTTTCCCATGCCAACTGGAAAACAAAGATGTACTCAAATACCTAAAAATGTACATCATAATTACCTTCTCCTTCACCTGGTAGTAGACTGAGCTCCTTCTCTGGTTCTCCTTCATTAGTGACTTGGGGAGTCTTTAGATCAAAGGTCTCTGCAGATAAACAAGAAACTGACAGACCACAGAGGGTGACTTGGACACAGACCTCAGTGCATTCACGCCATCCAAGATGGGAAAATGCTAAGAGCCACCCCTGTCTTGTTCCGCCTTTTCTCCATCTTGTTACATCTCCTCTTTCTCCTTCTCTCTAATTCTCAGTGTCCTCCTCACCGTTCTGCCTCCACATAGTTCCCTCCTAGCTGAGCAGCGCTTGGATTGTCTGATCTTCTCTCCAACTGGCCTCTCCTGCCTCCTGTTTCTATGTCTTTTTTCTTTTTTAGTGATATTGTATCTCTTTTCTATTATTTCTTTAGCTCTTATTCTAGATCCATCCTATCCCATAGAGCAGGCTCTATTTCCATGCTGTGTTTCCACGATCTCCCTTCCCTCCCGGTAGCATTTTTCTTTTCCTTAAAGCCTTACATTGATCCCTGGTTCACTCCTCAGGGAACCTGCAGAACTCCTTGGGCTTCTTTCTATTCTGACCCTGTGACCCGGCCCTGAACCCCCAGCTGGCCTTGCACAACCATCACCCAGTGACACATCCAGGACACTGGTGCCCACTCTTCCTTTTCTACTTTGCCTTTGCGATAATATCCTGCTTGCATTTCTGTGCTTTATTTCTCAGTCTAAAATAGACGTTTAGCTGTTTGCATACAGATGTTTAAGAGTTTGTGAGGGTAAAAGGAGCTCTTGTGCAACCCAGTAATCTGATAGAGACTGTCAGAAACCTTGCCCACCTGGTCTCCCACCCCATGTTGGCACTCTCATTTTCATGCTTGACACATGTCTCTGCTTCTTCTGTTTCTACCTCTGTCTCTTGCCGCTGGACTCTCTTGGTACTTCTCCTTGTCTTGGTTTCTTTTTCTGGGACTGCTCCTGCCTCCCTCATTTCCCTCTTGCATCCCTGGTCCTGTGCTTTATGTCCTTGCCCCACTCTATGCCTATTAAGGCACATGAAGGTATACACTTATATCTTCATACACCTTCATAGAATGCTACTCTATGAAGGCAACTGTCCTTCTCTTTGGCTCTGTGGACTTTCTCTTCCAAACATCTCTCCCTGAATATCTGTCTCTTTCTCCTTCAGTGATATGCTACATCTGCTATGCACATTCTATCTCTGTGTATCTTTCCTGGCTCTATTTTTCTGGATATCTCCTATCTCGTATCATGGATTATATTTACATACTTTCTAACTCTCAATAATTTTTCCACTCCTCTCCTTAAGCTTGCTTTACTTGTTAATAAAAGTCTCTTTCCATTAAACCCAGGTAGAGTCTCTCAGATTCCTAAAAACCCTTTGGGCATCCACATTGGACTCAGTCTATGGGACCCCACCCTAACCCATGCCCGCCTCACAGAACTGAAAGCCTGTAAGGAGTCATCCAGGACACTGGTCTCCGCATTTCCCTCCTTCTTGGGTCTTAACAAACACCGGTGTCACATGTACGTCTGTGTTTCTGGCTCCTCAAAACAACAATAACAGCACTTTCCCTGCCTAAATCTTGAGGTTTCTGAGGGTAAAAATGTAACACTTATCAGAGTCCTCTAAAAACATACTGCATGATCCAATAACATAATGAAGAGTATTGGTCAAAAATAGCATTTAGTCTCATAAAGAGATCATCTGAATTCTGTCAATTAGAGGGTAGGATACCATTTCTTTGAAGGCTTTGTCAAGTTTGTAATAAAATGATAAAAAGTATCTACCAGCAGAGGGATGATAAGCTTTTTCATTCCCATAGAAAAAGTGAGTGAGAATAGAATTTTAAATTCAAGTAATACTATTGATAGTGAAGAAAAATAAAGGCAAAGAGCATTTTTTCCTCCTAGCATATTCTGACCTTTATTTCTTCATCTGTAAAATAGGATTACCCAGTTTGTCTGGCCCCATCTTAAGGTTTTGTGAGGGTATCAGGAGATCTTATTCAGTAAAATATTTTAATGCTTCAGTATTAATAGGCATGAGAATATGAAGGGGAGAACACATTGCCTTGCCTTGACATAATCCAACTACCACGTGATTATCTAAACACATATGTTCAAACAATAAAACCCATTCCGTTAAACACAGACTTCTATATCAAGATTCCTCCCTGCATTTCTCAAATATCCATGTATAGAAAATGTGAAAAATCTCAGATTTAATTGCATTCTTTCACTGTGAAGTATACTTGGAGGAAAGACAATCAGGAAACACAAGCTCCAAATTCAACCTCCTGACACTCTGCAGCCCAGGGCCAGAAATCCTCCCCTTCTTTACCTGACCCACATCTTGCTAGGGAGCTAGAGGCTTCCTGGGGCTCTTCTCCATCACACATTTCTGAACAGTCATCACTGCCCTCTGCAGAAAGAAAAGAAATCCCTCAAGAAATTATGAAGAGAAAACTTAGTGAAGACGTGGGAAGCTGAAGTATCTCCTAGGTGGGGCTGTCCATCACCCAGGCCCTCCTGGCCTGTAGGTGGGTTCTGTAGGTGGGTTCACCTGGCCTGTAAGTGGATGCACTCCAGTTGCTGTCACCAAGGCTGAGAACCATCCATCAGCTCACTTGCTGCCTGGACTCCTAATTCTCTCTCCTTCTCCCCCTCCCCCTTTCCTAGGCACATTTCTTCTGCCTTTGCCCTGCTTTCCTGCTGCCAGTGGCTCCAGGTGCTTCTCTTTGTTTCCATGTGTTTCTGCTCCATTCTCTGCTCCTGCCTTTTTCTCTTGCACCCCTGACTCTGCTTTTTATTGGCTTTCCCCATCTCATTTATTTCCTTGTCACCCCCTTTCTCATACTGGGCATCAGGAAAGGCATCCTTGGGATGGTGGAAATGAACCAGATAAGGAAAGGGATCAGGAGAAGAGTGGGCCAAGGCAACAATACAGAGTACAGGGGAAATGTGGCTCAAGGGCCCACATATAAAAGAAAGATCAGATCATTGCAGCTCCTGAAACAATTGATGCCATTAGTAGAGATGGGACAGATGATATGGGCTGGGGACCCATGAAGGGTGGAAGCCACAGAAATCCACAGGAAGGATAATTCATCTAATCCTGTGCAGCAAAGATCACCGCGTCTAAGGGGAAAAGAAAATGATCTGATTGACATCTTGCAATTGCCAATTGTGCTAAAGCAGAGAACAATTGTGCTAAAGCAGAGAAAAAGAGTCTGATGAGTAGAAGAGCAAACAGGATATTCATCCCTTTACTGACAGAGTAAACCCTGGAGAAAGGGGAGTTTCTAGGTTCGGAGGAGGTGTTGGTTTCCCTTTTGGATGTGTGTAGTTCCTGAAAGACATTGCAAGGGGCAGGGTCCTGGGATAAATATCTTCAGGCACATGGATGGAAGAGCTTGGAAAGCAGGTCTGCATCGCAGACATGTACATGAGAATCATTCCACTACCTGAGCAGATGAGACTGGGGAAAGAGTACTCTTACTCTCTGAGTATGCTTCTGTGCCACTGTCTACCTAGGGGGGCCTGGATTGGAAAACTCACTATTGATAGAGGTGCCCTTTGCTGGGAGCTGCTTCTATCTAGTGACTGACTTCAGCTCCATAGGCCCTCGACCTGCCCCTTTCCTTGGACAACAGTTTTCACTCTTCATGGGTTCTTTAATTATTTTGATCTGTTTCTTTCTCTGCATAATTTCTTCTGTGCTTCCTTCCCATATTGCTGTTGTTATTGTATTTGCTACCATTTGTACAATTTTCTCTAACTTTTCTCCTTGAGGTTATCACCTTTCTATGTGTCTTCTACTTTCTCCTTTTCTGTTTCTTTGGGTTTTATCTTATGCTCCTAGATGCTGGTAAAATGTCCCTTATTTTATATATTTTCCTCATTCTCAAAGTTATCTTCTTCCAGGTTGGAAAAGATCTTCTGTTCACGCAGGGGCTATAGCACCACAGGTCCTTCCCTTGTCAGCACCATCCCAAGGGTCTCCTGCATGACTTTCCTCAGTTGCAAGCCTTCGGTCTTTCACAAAACATGTCTGTGCTCCAGATCCTTCTGGAAGTAGGCTGAAAACATTCTCCCCTGCGTCAGTTGCCATAATCTGCTGTTATTTAGGTTTAATGTGTGTTTAATAACATCACCCACGCACTTCTCTGGCGCCCCAGCCTACCTCTGGTATATTCGTTCTCCCTACATTCCCCATGCAGAAATATGGTCCCCACTCAGGGGCTCAGCTCACCTTGATCCTTTGTCTCTCTCACAGTTTTCAAAAAGGCACAACAGAAAATTGACATAATTCCATCTGTATGTATGCGAATGTGAAGAAGGGAAGGGTAGGATGGGAGAAAGGGAAACTTTTTTTCCATGCCAACTAGAAAACAAAGATGTACTCAAATATTTAAAAACTTAAATCATAATTACCTTCTCCTTCACCTGGTAGTAGACAGAGCCCCTTCTCTGGTTCTCCTTCATTAGTGACTTGGGGAGTTTTTAGATCAAAGGTCTCTGCAGATAAACAAGAAATTGACAGACCACAGAGGGTGACTTGGACACAGGCCTCAGTGTGTTCATGCCATCCAAGATGGGCAAATGCTGAGAGCCACCCCTGTCTTGTTCCGCCTTTTCTCCACCTTGTTGCAGCTCCTCTTTCTCCTTCTCTGTAATTCTCAGTGTCCTCCTCACCGTTCTGCCTCCACATAATTCCCTCCTAGCTGAGCAGCGCTTGGATTGTCTGATCTTCTCTCCAACTGGCTTCTCTTGTCTCCTGTTTCTATGTCTTTTTTCTTTTTCAGTGATACCATATCCCTTTTCTATTATTTCTTTAGCTCTTATTCTAGATCCCTCTCCTATTCCAAAGGGCAGGCTCTATTTCCATGCTGTGTTTCCATGATTTCCCTTCCCTCCCATTAGCATTTTTTTTCCTTAAAGCCTTACATTGATCCCTGGTCCACTCCTCCGGGAACCTGCAGAACTCCTTGGACTTCTTTCTATTCTGACCCTGTGACCTGGCCCTGAACCCCCAGCTGGCCTTGCACAACCATCACCCAGTGACACATCCAGGACACTGGTGCCCACTCTTCCTTTTCTACTTTGCCTTTGTGATAATATCCTGCTTGCATTTCTGTGCTTTATTTCTCAGTCTGTAAGATAGACATACAGCTGTTTGCATATCGATGTTAAAGATTTTGTGAGGGTAAAAGAAGCTCTTGTGCAATCCAGTAATCTGATAGAGACTGTCAGAAACCTTGCCCACCTGGTCTCCCACCCCATGTTGGCACTCTCATTTTCACCCTTGACACATGTCTCTGCTTCTTCTGTTCCTACCTTTGTCTCTTCCCTCTGGACTCTCTTGGTACTTCTCCTTGTCTTGGTTTCTTTTTCTGGGACTGTTCCTGCCTTCCTCCTCTCCCTGTTTCTCCCCTGGTGCTGTGCTGTATGTCCTTGCCGCATCTATCATCCCGTTGCTTTCTAGAACTAGGGATCAAAAAAGGCATCTCTGAGAGTGTATGTAATTTCCATATAATTTCACTAGATTAGTGAGCATGATGGAGATTGTAGTGAAACAAGGTGACTTTTTCAAGCACAGGGCTAAGCCTTTAGGAAAGCTCAGATGAGAAAGAGTCATCAGAAAATGACAATGACTAGAAAATTTGTATATAAACCTTGAAGTAATTGCAGGAGAGGCAGACATGAAGCTGGAGCCCTGGGGGAAAAAATAGATTTAATCCTTATGACCCCAAGTAGTTATTGATTTAAAGTAGAAATGTAAGATAAGCCAACTTCAATTTTTGAAAGAGTTGTTTGAGTTGGAAAGAATGGATGTGAGAGGTACAAGATCAGAGGAAAGATGTGAGTCTAGAGGCTGTTGCTCCAGTCCAAGAGAGAGATCTTACCAGAGTTTTTGTGTTGGGGTGGAAGGAAATGGACAGGTGAGATATGTAGAACTCACTAAAAGTCTACTGGATGGTTGATGGGGTGTTTAAGTTGAGGGAGGTGGGGTGAGTCATGAGTGGCTCCTAGGTTTCTGCTTCAAGAATGGAGTAATAGTGTTTCATCCTGAGATAGGGAACACTGGGAGAGGAGTCAGATCTGTGTCAGGAAAGATGGTATGTACTCTTGGAGGTGTCTTGTATTGAGGTTCCTGAAAAACATCCAAATGGAGAGGTCTTTCAGATATCTTCATGAACGTATTCAGGTACTCAGATGAATGAACTTAGAAGATAAATCTGGACATATGTGTTTTGAAATCATTAAGTTATAGATGGGAGAGACATGAAAGCCTCAGGGGGAGGTCGACTGCCTCTGAGGACATTACAGGTGCCATTTTGATAGGCTGGGGACACCATAATGTGAAAACTCGCTGCTAACATGTCTCATTCTTGGGCCAGAAGTTATTTCTGTCTAGTGAATCTTCCCTCCATCCCTACAATGTCCCATATTGTTCCCCATCTCTTGCAAGCAGTTTTCACTCTCTGCTAACTTCACTTATTCTCCTTTCTCTTTTTCTCTGTGTACAACTTTTGTGCCTCTCCTCCACTGTCTCTGTCTTCGAGCATTTTTCTTCTCTCTGTTCCTCTCACAGTATTTTCTCCACCTTTTAATTCCTGTGCCATATTTAATAATCAAGCTTATCTCCTTTCTTCCATGGTGCTCATTTCCATGCCTCTATCTGTTCTCTCTAATTAGCTTTCTGTTCCTAATTTTTCAATCCAAAATTTAAATCTAAAAATTTAAACTTCAGTCTTTCTGTATATTCTGTCTTATTTTTCTGCCATAGTATCAAAGGCCTCATCTTTTGCCATTAACAAAGGGGCAGGGACCCTTCCCTTTGTGAAGTTCATTTCAACAGTCTTTCACTGAGTTTTCTATATTGCAATATACTCATTATATCCATGCTGTTGGCATAACCTCGAGAAAATAAGTTGAAAATTATCTCCCCTTCCTTATAACCCAATGTGGTAATATTACCCAAATGTTACCCAATGTGGTAATATTACCCAAATGTTACCCAACGTGGTAATATTTGGATCCCACAACTATTGAGGTAAAACTGGCAATCACTCAGATCTCTCTTTATTTAACGATTCAAACTATATTTTTCTTTCTCTCTCTCTTTCCCTATGTCCTATATGCAGGAAAGCCCCAACCAGTCTGAGCTCATCCTTCTTTTGCTACTTGTGCCTCTTAAGGAAAGCAGGAAGAAGCTGGACATAGACTGTCTCTGTCTGTATGTGGGGAGGGATGCATGGATTGATGGATGGCTGGATGGATGGATGGACAGATGAATATACAGATGGATGGATGGATATATGGATGGATGGATGAATGGATGGATGGATGGATATATGGATGAATACATGAATAGATGGGGGAATGGGAAGGGAGATGAAAGAGTAGGTGTTTTTGTATGTTGACAGAAAAATAAAGCTTTAATTTAAATCCTAATTACCTTCTGTATCATAAGGCAGTAACTTGGGCATTTCTTCTGATTCTCCTTCATCTATTTGTATAGCAAGTTTACAGGACACTGCAGAGTGAAAGAGGAACATGACAGACAATTGGCAGTGACCTGGACACCTACCTGGATCCATGCTGAGCTCTAATATTCGGGTGTAGAACTGCTCCCTGGGAATAAAGGTATCTTTGCACCAAACAAAAGTGGCTCTACTTCTTCTAGCACCTTGTCAGGCCCCTTTCCCCTCTCTCCCTCTCTCTCCTTCTTTTTTCTCCCTCTAACCCTGTCTTTACACATTGCTGCATCTGCACCATAAACCAACTCCAGGATCTCTTTGACTTGACTTCCTCTCCCTGACTTCTACCATTTCTTTGCATTTCTGTCTCTTTCTTCCTTCGTGATGTTTGTTACCTCTTTGCCCCGTTATATCCCTATTCATTCTTCTAACTTTGTCACTTCCACTTTGTCTCTTCTATATACAGTATTTCATTATTCCTAAATAATCCCTGGCAAGTAAGTTTAAAATTCTCTCTCTTTTCTCAAACCCCATCCTGGTAGGATTTAGATTCAATATTCATGTAGATAAAATTGGGCCCACTTAGGCAACACCATTTGGTGCCTCCAATCAGAGTAATTTTTATTACTCTGTACCCTTAAGCTCTCTGCCCAGGAGCCCCTCCACTAAAGGACTTAGCCGTCCTTTACCTCTTGCCTCCCACACACCTGGGGAAAACAACCACAGGCTGAACAAAAGTGTGTTACAGGGTTGGTGGTGGAGAGAGAAGGAAGTGTTGGTTGCATAGAGATAGGCCAACTAATTTAATGAGATAATTGGTCATTTAAATCATAATTACCTCCCCCACCTGGTAGTAGGCTGGGTGCATCTTCAGCATCTCCTCCACCAGCCTTTGGGAGAGCTAACTGCTCACAAGACTCTGAAGAGAAACCTGGAAATAAACAAGGCACAGTGATGAGAGCACAGACCTCAGGATGCTCCTGCTGAATCCTGGTGTTCAGCACTCAAGTGAGCTTCTCCTTGCAAAAAAACACTATTGCTCCAAGGACCTCGCCTGAGCCCCGCCACAGCCTTGCTCTGCCTGTTTTCCTTCTGATCATCTCTCTGCTACCTCCTTTCTCCTTCTCACTTTTTGGTTACCACACACTCTTGCTTCTACGCCATGAAGCACCGTCCATCTCCTTGACTCCCTGGGATTCCCTCTCTTTTTCTTTTCTGTTGCTCTTCAATGCCCTCCATCACATTTTCCTACTTGTGTCTCCATTTTTCTTTCTGGTTCTCTTCTTCTGGATTTCTTGCATCCCACATGGCAGATTCCAATCTTACCGTTTCTCTCTGCTTTTCCCTGCTCTGGCCATGGAAATGCTTTTGCTGAATAAGAGTCTCCTTGCACCAGGCCCTGGCCCACTCCCCTAAGAACCTGCAGGCCTCCTTGGGTCTCCTGTGTGAACTCCAATCCATGACCCTGGCTACCCTGATCTCTGCCAAATTCACACAACCATCACCGCAGTGAGTCAGCAGGGATGTGGGTCATGTTCTTGCTTGACTAATTTGACCTGGTAAAAGACCTTACACATTGCTATGCTTCTACTTCTACTTTATTTAGCTATAAAATACAAATAAGCAAAAGTTTATCCATCAAAATTCATAAGCTGTGGAGATAAAATGACATCTTGTTTGCCAAAATTCTTTGAACAATAACTAGATAAGATAGTAACACAATGGAAAATATTTGGCAAAAATTATCATTTAGTTTTTCGAGTAGTTGGTCTGATGGAACATGTTTCTTTTGAAGGCTTTCTATAGTAAGGGACAAAATAATAATAGTAACAAACAATAATCGTTTTTATTCTCTAGAGAAAGTAAGTGGTGGGTAGGTATAATCAAGTTTTTATTATTAGTAGACATGAAAGACATCATCCTTCTCTAGCATATTTCTACTATAACATACACTTAGGAAAATTTAGCAGAATTATAGGATCCAAGGACAAAATGGATCTTTTGCCTGTGGCATGTACTCAGAGTAAAATGCATTAGGAAACACCAGCTCTGAATTCCACCTCCTGACACCCTGCAGGTCAGGGAGAGCAAGTCACTCCTTCCTTACCTGGCTCACACCTTGGCGAGGAGCTCAAGGCTTCCTGAGGCACTGCTATATCATCCATTTCATGACAGGCATTGCTGTTCTCTGCCGAAAGGAATGAAATCCCTTAGATGTCTTGATTTATGGTCAAAAAGCCATCAAAACAAGAAAACAAATAATGAGAAAACTAAGAAAACCTGATAATCTGGAAGGTCCCCTCTCCCCAAACAACCTGACCTGAGGATTCAGTCCTTCAGTAACCTTCACCAGAGGCTGAGAATAATTCATCCACTGTGGGGGAGTCTTCCTTTCCTTATACCTTGTTCTCTTTCCCATTTTCTCACTCATGTCTTTCCACCTGTTTCTGTACATTTCCTCAATCTCTGCCTCTGTTTTTTTCTGCGGATGTTTCTTGGAGCCTCTCTTTCCTAGATGCATTTCTCTCTTCTCTGCTCCTGCAAATTTTTTCTCTTGCTTTCTCTGATACTGCTCTTTCTCTCCCATCCTTGGTCTCCCAATTGTGCCTTTCTAGCTTTCTCTAAAGAAAGACCTCCCTTTGATCATATATTCTAAGTAGGATTTAGCTGGATTGGAGAAGGGTAAATGGAGGATAGTGGGACAGGAAAACAATTCTAAATAAGGCAGCATAGAGAAAACATAGGGAAAGGCTCAGTTTGAAAGAGAGATTTAACAATTGAAATTATTGGGGGAAATTTTATTCCACCTTGAAGTAATATTTCAGGAGGCAGGGATTAAGCTGGAGAAGTAAGCAGGTGGCTCATTGTGGATGCCTTTGGATGCTACTTAAAAACCCATTTATTTAATCCTTAGTGTATTAAGGAGGTAAGTAGGAAAATGATACAATCTGATGTGCACTTTAAAATATCCCATCTAGTTGAAGTGCAAATAACACATTTGATGGAAGCAAGATTAGAGGGAGGAGATGAGCAAAGGATGTTGCCCTGAGAATCATGAGGGTGATGGAGATCTGGACCAGAGACCTGGTCTTGGGGATGCAAAGATGGACAGGCCAGGGGCAACCTGAAGATGAAATGATTACATTGGCTGCATAACTGGCATGTATTTGAGGGCAAGGGAGGAGTCATCCATGATGACTTGACTAGGTTTCCAACTTGAAAAACCATGGGATAATAGTGATCCGTCTCTGAGAGAAAGAGTGCTGCAGAGGAGTTCGATCTAACTTGAGCAATGAAGATGTGGCTTTCAGTTCTCAAAGTACCAAGTTTAAGGTTCTTGAAAAAAATCAAGTGTAGATGTCTATCTGACCCTTGAGTAAAGGTCCTCAGGTCCATGAATAAATGTACTCTAAAGATAATTTAGAGTGGAGATTTGTGCTTGGGAATCATTGGACTATTCTGGGAGAGATCTATTGAAATCTGAGTATCATGCAAGTGCCACTTTGATGTGGGAACAGTTCATTCTGAAAACTTACGGTTAATGGAATAAACCCTTGTAAAGTTATGGATATCCAGTGCTCTTACCTCAAACCTACACTGTCCCAGTCTGTTTCTCTCTCCCTTTTATCCACTTTTCACTCTCAAGTGTTTTACACCCTTTTTTTCTTAACTCTTTATCTACATAGTTGCCTCTGTACCTCTCTACTTTCCCCATTTCTTGGTATTTATTTTCCTCTCATCTTTCCTTTTCCATATACTTCTCTCTCCATTTTTACCTCTGATCCTTGGCAGATGTTTCGGTTTACCTTTTCTCTGCTGTGTCTTATACTTCCTCTCTTTCCATTTCTGTTTCTCCCATTTCACTTTGATCTTCTATCTGCCAACACTATTTCAGTTTTGTCTCCCTGCGCAATTCTATCTTTCAGGCTCCCCTCTCTCTCCATATCCAAACTCCCCTCTTGGACTGTGACCACAGTACTAGAGACCCCTAACTGGTCATCTCCGTAAGGAATATCTCTCACCTGAATCTGATATGGCTTAGGTTATTTCTGAGTTTCTCTTAATAGTTCTATGAAATTAATTAAAAATAATCCCCTTATCTCAACCTCGGAGGGTAGGACTTTTATGTTCCTTTAGAAGATGGAATCCATTCATGTAATTTGTCCTGTATTATTCTCTGTCTACCTTTCCCATTTTCTCTTCTTATATTCTCCACCAATGGAGACTCCATCTATTCAAGAGATCAGATCTCCTTTTTCATTGGTTCTCTCACATCTGTTGGCAGATAAGGGCAGGTACATGGCTGTGTGAGGGGAGGAGGACTGGGAGATAACAGAGGGCTAAGACAGGAGAGGAAATACAAGATTTGCCTCCATGAAGGCAAGGAAGCAAAACTTTAATAAGGGCATTGATCAGCTAAATGATAGTTACCTTGTTTACCATATGGTAGTAATCTGGGTCTATCTTCTAAATCGTTTACATTATTCATTTGGAGAGGTGAGTGTTCATAGCATACTGAGGAAAACAATGTGAAAATTACCAAACTCAGACAGTGACCAGAGGAGAGACCTCAGTGTGCTCAAGATGAACTTGATGTCCAAGCCCCAGGATCTCCCACCCCCGAGGTCCAACAGAGCCTTGTTCCCCTTTTTTTCATTGAGAGGCACATATCTTAAGTGTAAATCATTGTGAAACCAACATCCCAGTCAAGATTCAGAACATTTCCACCATCCCAGAAAATTGCTTTGTGCTTAAGACACCACTGTTCTGGTTCCTATCACCAGCAATGGCGCCTTCCTTTCTGGCACTGTACTTGTCTGTATTGTCTGTACTTGTACTTATATAAATAGGATCATGCAGTATGTACTCTTACAACTTGCTTATTTTGCTCAACATAATGTTTTTGAGATTTATCCATGTTGCTCTATGTGATAACAGTTCATTCTTTTTATTGCTGAATAGTATTATACTCTATAAATTAGTCATAGTTTATCTACCCTCCGTTGATGAGCATTTGGGTTGGTTCCAGATTTTAGTTATTATGAATAAGGCTGCCATAAACATTCTTAAACAAATCTTTGCATGAACATATTTTCATTTCTCTCATGTAAATACCTAGGAGTGAAACTGCCAAGATCATAGGTTAGATTTAACTTTATAGGAAATTGCCAGGCACTTTCCCAAAGTGGTCGTTATCATTTTACATTCCTACCAGCAAGGGATGGGAGGTCCAATTGTTCCATATTCTCATCAGCACTTGGTATTGTCAGTCTTTTTAATTTTAGCAATTCTAGTGAGTGAATGATATCTCACTATAACTTTAATTTGCATTTCCCTCATGATTAATAATGTCATACACTTTATATTCTTGCTGGACATTTTATATCTCCTGTCTTGAAATGTCTGTTCAAATCGTTTGTCCATTTTTTGAATTGGTGATGTGTCCTTTTATTATTCATTTATAGGAGTTCTTCATATTTTGTGAGTACAATCCTTTGTTAGATATGTGTATTGCAAAATATTGTCTCCCAGTCTATGGCTTGTTTTTTCCTTTTCTTAATGGTGACTTTGGATGCATAGTTTTTAATTTGTTGACATCTAACTTACCAAGTTTTTCTTTTATGATCCATGTTTTTTTGTGTCCTGTATAGCAAATTACTGCCTACTCTCAGTTTGCAAACACACTGTCTTATGTTTTCTCTTTTAGCAGCTTTATACTTGTAGTCTTAACTTCTAGATTTGTGATCCAACTTGAATTATTTTTTTGTGGATGTTGTGTAGTATAAGTAGAGGTTTATTTTTTCTTTTTTCAATCTTTTTACAATTCATTCTACTTCTGCCCATTTCTCACATTTCTACTCATAGTCTGAGGCAGTGGGCAGTCGTGAGCCTCAGGTACCTGTCACCCAAACACAGGAAGTGCCAGATACTAACATATGAGATGTGGATGCTGGGGCCAGGAGGATCCCCACAGTCCACAGACAGAATCAGAGCCCCTGAGATGTGGGCAGTAGAAGTAACATCATTCCCTTCATTGCCACAGCCTGGAACACCCTGGTTAAAATACAAATATTGACTCAAAATTTGTGCCTAGGTACAGTTGGCTTGGGATCTGTGGATTCACCCACCCTCAGATTAAAAACGTGGGACAAAAGTTAAAGATAATAACAGGCCAGGCATGGTGGCTCATGTCTGTAATCCCAGCATTTGGGGAAGCCAAGGCAGGCAGATCACCTGAGGTCGGGGGTTCAAGACCAGCCTTGCCAACATGGCGAAACCCTGTCTCTACTAAAAATACAAAAGAATTAACCGGGTGTGGTGGTGGGTGACTGTAATCCCAGATACTCAGGAGGCTGAGGCAGGAAAATCACTTGAACCCAGGAGGTGGAGGTTGCAGTAGCCAAGATCACACCACTGCACTCCAGCCTGGGTGACAGAGTGAACTCCATCTCAATAAATAAATAAATAAAATAACAATACAAAAATTAAAAATAATCAAATGAAAAATACAATTTAACAACTATTTACATAGCATTTACATTGTATTAGGTATTGTAATCTAGAGATGATTTAAAGTATACTGGTGCAATGTGCATAGGTTATACACAAATACTACGCCATTTTATATAAGGGACTTAAGCATTCAGGACTGAGAGTGGTGGGTATTCCTGAAACCAATCCCTCATGGATACCAAAGGAGGCATGCACAGTATTTGACTTCCTCTAGACCTTTCTCTGACTTGGATGTATCATAATATGAAAACAAGATACCTCTTTTTTGAATCAAGGTATAGTATTCACAAATCAACACATCCCATTCTTCATACTGACTTCTTTTACTTTTCCCGTTTAAATGCCCTTTATTCCTTCTTTATTTTCCAAAAATTAAACTCCAGATTCCTTAGCACAGGGTGTCAAGCCTTCCAGAATCCACTTCAACTTCTTTCTCCAGAGTCAGCTCTCACACCCTGCCTCCCACAGTCTGCAATTCAACCACATGGTTCGGAAAGGCCCCCACCAACCCCCTTTTCTGTCTTCATAGCTTTCACATGCAGCTCCTCCTCAGTGTACCAGTATGTGCTAGGCTCTCTTCGTGACTTCTCCAGTCTTTGTTTGGAGAAACAAGTTGACACAGGACTGCACTGGATGATAAATTTTCTAATACAAAGAAAATTGTTTTATCTTTGAACATATCTGCAAATATCAGAGAAGGCTTCCTCCTTTCCCATGAAAAGACATCACTCATGTATTCCTTCAAAAAAATAGAGACTTCAACCCTATGTTTTACAGCATCAAAATCAAGTCCTGGCTGAGCAACCATTTGCAGGATTACTTGGTTAACGTCTGTCACTCCCACTGTATGTAAACTCCATAAGGACATGGGACATGTGTGTTTTTTCATCATTATATTCCCCCTGGGCTTGGCATGTAATAGTCACTCAGTCAAATATTTGTCAAATATGAATGAAGAGTGAATGAATGAATCAATGAATGAAATGGGCTTGAATCCCCCAAAGCTGTTGAGAGCTATAGTTACCATTCTGGAAGCTTCTGTAAATCTCGTTTAAATCAGGATAGGCCATCAGGTTAATCCTGCTGAACAATGCTTCCAGATGTGACCAGCCAAATGTCTTCTCCAGTTCACTGAGTACACAATACATCACTCTTGTCACTGGGACCAGGTTTCTAAAAGCTTCTTGAAAATGCTTAAAAATATTAAATGGAGAATTATGTAGCTAGAGATTTATGGGTTACAAAAGACTTTTAGGTTGTAGATAGAACATCTGTTCTCTTGTGAAATGTTAGAATTTTGCGTATATTTGGATGACTTCTTAAATGTCCTCCACCATAAAAATACACTCTAATTTTTTGAACCTGACTCTCTGACATTGTTGTACACTTAAGGGGAGAGAGTAATTTTAAATAATAAGTGTGGGTTCAAAGTTGAATGTTGTGTATGGCTTTAGAGCCTGGCCAGGTTATTTCAGGAGTGGCCTTAACAAGGCTGTTCTGTTGCATGGACAATAACCACTACTAGGATTGGCCTGGCCTGACGAGCTCCAGGAAACCAATCAACCAGCCCCCACTATGACTCCTGGCCAAAGGGCACAGAAAATTCACAAAGACAAGAAGAAGCCTTGTCCTCAGTATCCCTAAGGGCATCCACTGCTAACATTAACTTGCATTCTAGGGCTCTAGAAATGTCCAAAGATCAAACAATGATTTGGAGAGACAGTAGCAAGCATCCACTTCCAAATGTAACCTAAAATGACACAACTTCACTGTGAGTTTCAAAAAAATCTCAGTTTCAAGTGTTTCAAATAAGTAGGCTTTGGAATAAAATGCTGCCTAGGTCACTTATTTATTTTAATTATGGCTACCATTAGTAGATTGTTTACAAGTACCTAGGATGATCTGCACCCATACAGCATTCCCATTCTCTCTCCTGCCCCACCTCCCTCACTGTGGCCCTCCCCCAACATTTACTACAGAAGAAGGGAGGTTTTCTGTGATGCCTGCTTCTCCTGTCACCTCCTAACCTACAGAATGGTGAAGGTCCCCACTCACAGGAGGCCCTTTAGCCTGCTCATTGCATCTTGAAGTTTGGCATAATTGAGTATGGACCTGGTTTATCATCATTTGGAAATTCTTACTTACTTCATACATCTGCTCGGAGATGAAGGAGCGGTCTCGGAGGCCCATAAGGAAAGGAAATGGCCTTGTTATTGCACTTGCAATCTCCACCTTGTTTTCTCTGAAGAACCTGAAAATGGGCTCAGGGCAAACCTGCTCCTGCAGGTTCTGACCCTCTACGTTCTGGATCTCTGCGACCATCCTAAGAAACAAAGATACAACGTGGAAGTAGACACTGAGTTTCCAAGAGGTTTGTGGTGGTTAGAAGATTTTAGACATGAAGGATGGCCAATGGAGAGCCAACATGTATAAAATAAGCATTCTTGTAGGGAGACCAGAATGAATGGAATTTATTTATTTTGGGAAAAATCAAGGTGGAAAAGATGAAAACAGTGAACTTAAGAAAGACCTGTACATAGAAGTAAAAAGGCTCACCCTGTTCCAATCAAACTATTATAAAGAGACCTTCACCTGAACTCTCTAGGGAAAATATGCAATTAAAAGATGTCAAAATCTTTATAGGAATTGACATGATACTGTGGTAATTAATTTTATATGCCAACTTTGAGGGTGTTTTTGGATAAGATTAACATTTACATTGGTGAATTTGGAGTAGGGCAGATTGCCTTCCATAATGTGGGTGGGGCTTGCCCAACCAATTGAAAGCCTGAATAGAACCAAAAGACTAGTGTCCCCAAGAAAGAAAGAATCCTCTAGTAGACTGCATTCAGACTGGAGCTGCACCATCAGCTCTCCTGGGTCTCCAAACAGCAGGCCCACACTACAGATTTTGGACTTGCCAGCCTTCATAATTGCAAGAGCCAATTCCTTATAACAAATCTCTTTCTCTGTATATACACATCCTATTGGTTCTGTTTCTCTGGAGAACTTTAACTTACAGAGAAAGAAATAAAAATCTGGCTGAGATATTACAGAACCTAACACTGAACTGCAAGTCTTCTTAGTTAACAACAAAGAGAGGAAATCTCAGGAGATGTAAAGGAGATGTATCTCCTCCATCTGTAACTGCAAAAGGAGGGTGGCATTCTGCATCATAAAATTGGTTCAAAGACTCTCATCTGGTAAGGTTTGATTAAGAATACACAAGAAGGCCGGGCGCGGTGGCTCACGCCTGTAATCCCAGCACTTTGGGAGGCCGAGACAGGCGGATCACAAGGTCAGGAGATCGAGACCATCCTGGCTAACATGGTGAAACCTGTCTCTACTAAAAATACAAAAAATTAGCCGGGCATGGTGGCAGGTGCCTGTAGTCCCAGCTACTCGAGAGGCTGAGACAGGAGAATGGCGTGAACCCAGGAGGCGGAGCTTGCAGTGAGCTGAGATCGTGCCACTGCACTCCAGCCTGAGTGACAGAGGCAAGACTCCATCTCAAAAAAAAAAAAAAAAAAAAAAAAACAGTCACAAGAAAATCACTCTTTCTCTGGTCCAACATGGAGATTTGTGTGGATATGCAAAACTAGGACACATTAATCTGTCTAAACTTGGAGACCTCTGGATTTCAGACATTAAGGCTGTGCCTGGGAAACTAATTTTTAATCACAAAAGTTTGTAGTTCTGATTCCTACTTGCTAAATTGTTCCCCTTGCTAATAGGCCTTAACAAATTTATCTGTATTTCTAAACGGTATGAAGACTTCCAGGATTTTTTTTATCCCACCAGGAAATGGTCATTGGGACTTTCCATTCCTTAAACATGCATCAGGATAGAATAGAGGATCACTAAAATTTCCCATTCTCCAGACATGCACCATTTATCCATTGAATTCTTTTAAAAAAGAAAAAGCCTTCTGGTTTAAAATCGTTGATTAATGACAACTGTTTTTCTCCTCTTTCACTAGAATATCTCCTAAAATGACAGTAAAGGAATTAAAGTTACAATGATGAAGAGAAAGGAATTAGATGAGAAATTTTAACCTAAGTATGAAAGAGAAAAAGTGGTCTGAGGGGTACTCATTGCTATTGAAGGTGGAGGATGCTTCCTGAGGTCAGAAAAGGATCCAGCGTGTCCTGCAGCCTCCCAGAGATGCAGTGGTGGTTGAGAAGGAGATGCAGAGATGAAAATCGAGAGATTGTTCCAAAGGCAAAATTAAAAACAGTTTGCTCTACGACACAGAACACCCACAATCAGGCAGAAGACTGGAGGTTTCCTCTTAAGAAAAATATAAATGACTCAGAGAAAAGGCCTTTACCTTCAGGGATTTGGTATTTGCTCAGTGAAGCCCACAAGTTTGCAAGCCCATCTCATTAAATGGAGTTTCAAGTTTACTTTTCAGCATCTTGCTGGTAAGCATGAACAGACTACAACAGACCACAGCATTTGTGGAAACCTACAACATTAAGGAGTAAAACCAAGATAAGCAAAAGGCAAAAAATTACCCTAGCGGAAATACAGATGTTTCAGGGAACAAAAAAGAATTTCTAAACAACAAATATTATCACACAGAAAGAGAATATATTGTACCAAAAATTCCATGCAGAAAAGAAACAACCAGAAAATAAAACGACCTTGGAAATTCAAAATGATTGTGAAATTTTTAAAAAGTGAATGAAAATTTTTATAAGATAAAGGAGGGAGAATTTCCCAGAACATATGGGGAAAAGCCCTAAAGGGAAAAATAAGTGAATTTGAAACCCTAAATGTCTAAAGCAATGATGCAAACCTATAAACCTAGAGGTAAGAGGAAACTACTAAAAAAAGTGTATACCCATTCAGTTCTTGAGAATGGGTCCAAAAAAATTAAAATGGAAAAATGTATACCTTATTCAATGATTCACGTATGAGGGCAGAATCAATACTTAGATAGACAAGGACTCAAAGAATATTTTGCTCATGCACCTTCTGTGTTGGTCACACATTTTTCAATGTTCTTTTCTTCTGGGCCAAGGTAAGATTGTACCTCCCTTGGAGCAATGGGTATCACTCTGGCAGAAGAGCTCAGAGGCAGCACCTGGTTAGGCATGCTCTCTGTTCCTCTACCACAGTGACTGTCATTTCAGATGGGGTGGCTGCTCCTCAGCCAGAGACAGAGTCCAGGATGAGGGTCCTCTGTGCAGAGGGCTGGTGACCCGTTGAGATTTGGGAATTGTTTGTTCCTATAGATCACCCTACTCCATTTTTACTGACACTGTGTAGGACGAATTATTTGATGATGTACTACATTAACAGAATCAAGAAATCAGTATCAGTAAAGCCTTATTGTAGAGGAACTGGAAGCATCATTAAAACCAGTTACAATACTGATGTCTCAAATGTATAAATTATCTTAGAACAGTAATTCTCAAAGTGGGGTTAGGGACCCCCTAGGATTGTGCAAGACCCTTTCAGGTGTCACCAAGTAAAACTCTTCACATAATAACATATTATTTTCCCTTTATCTTTCTCATTCTCTCATGAATATACAATGAAATTTTTCAGAGGCTAAATGGCCTGTGATGTCACAACGGATTGAATGCAGAAGCAGATAGGAGGGTCTAGCTGCCTTCTACTTATATTTAAAAGACGTATAAAAATGTAAAGCAATGCTAATCCTCTGGCTAATTTATTTCTATTTTGAAAAGTTTTATTATTTTTCATAAAAACACATCACATATTCACGGGTAATAAATTCACTACTATTATTTCTAAATGAATAAATACATATTTTAAGTGTTCAAAGTTTTAATTTCTAATATCGTAAATAGCAACAGATATAACCCAATAAACAAAAGCCAGTTCTTTGGGGTTCTCGATAATTTTTAAAAATATAAAAATATCCTGAACCCAAATACTTGAGAAGCACTGTTCTAAAAAGAGAGGATATATACTGCATATAATAAAATTATAGTAATTTCAATCTTAAACTTTAGATTCTATTTTAATGTTTTTTTTGTTTTGTTTTGAGACGGAATCTCGCTCTGTCACCCAGGCTGGAGTGCAGTGGTGCGATATCTTGGTAAAGTTTTTTAAATTGAGTGAGGACAAGTAAAAAATTGAGTTAAGTAACTTATTTCAAATACAAATTCAAATGATATAGTTATAAATTTGATGGTCTCAGTTAGAGAAATATACATTAAAGAATTAATTAGAAACCCAAGTGTAACAAATAGAGTCAAAATGAGGCTACAAACTTTACAAAATAATGAGAAAGAAAAACATGCTCTTTTTCTTATAGAAAATAAAGAGGCATAAAATATAAAAATAAAAAATCCATAAGCAACAAGATATTTAAAACAGATTAAGCTACCATCTTAAATTATAAATGGTCAAAATAGAATCTAACTACAAGAGACATAACAGAGATAAAATAACATTAAAAATGTTAACAGTCAAAAGATGGATAAGTTTCATTAAGCAAATACAAATGAGAAAGAAGGTAAAATTCTCAATACTCACATTTAAAAAGTAAGATTAAAGATTACTAATGGGGAAATCTTTCAAGGCTGTTAAAAAACATCTTACTTCCAGTCCTTAGCTTCTCAAGTAGATAAAAATAAAAGAACAAAGATACACAAAATGTAAGTTTTAAAAACTGGCAAAATTGATTTTTAATAACACTGTGTTAAACACACAAGATCATACCAGGTATTTGGCCCTGAAGTAATTTCAATAAATAATAATGAAGAGAAATTGAACAGGTTACATGCTCTGGCTATAAGATAATACTATAATAAAACCAAAATTTAAAACAAAAAGAAAGTTTGTCTTAAGAAAAAAGTCTAAACTTCAAAAATGTAAAAGTTCACTAGACCTCTGGTTTCAGCTTCAACACGCAAAGACATTGGAAGTCATCGCTCCCATCCTCACAACAACAACAACAACCCTGCTGAACAAACTATGAATTAACAACTTTTCTTCTATCTCTCAAATAACCAAAGTCACAAGGCAAACTGCCCCAAAATCTGGAGATACAGGCAAATCCAGAGAATTAGCCGAGATCAACTATCTGAGGCAGCAGGCACTGAAGTCATAGCCTGGTATGTTTGATGAATTGCTGGAGGCTGAGTGTGGAGGAGCATGAGCATGAGAAACTCCTGGGGGTCATCATCTCAGGGCAGGCCCCCAACCTTTTATGGATTTTACCTCCACAAACCCCAAGAAAAATCTCTTTATCCTTCTGGCAAGAAGAGGGAAAAGAAAAGTTTTTAAAAAGCCAAAGCATTCTCCATGACAAGGGCCTGCTCTCCAGGGAAAATGCTTTAACCATTCTAGGGGAAGGGTGACTACCAAAATCTAGCCCCTTCTGGCCATCTTGTCACTTCTAAAAAGGGTGGAGGTGAGGCTGGGCACGGTGGCTCACACCTGTAATCCCAGCATTTTGGGAGACTGAGACGGGTGGATCACAAAGCCAGGAGTTTGAGACCAGCCTGGCCAACATGGTGAAACCCCGTCTCTACTAAAAACACAAAAGAAAATTAGCTGGGCATGGTGGCAGGCACCTGTAATCTCTGCTACTCAGGAGGCAGAGGCAGGAGAATCACTTGAACCTAGGAGGCAGAAGTTGCAGTGAGCCGAGACCACGCCACTGCACTATAGCCTGGGCAACAAAGCAAGACTCCATCTCAAAAAAATTGAAAAAAAAGGGTGGAGGGAGAAATTCTTTTAAAAGTAATAGCCCAAGGTGCAGTTCCATTAAAAGATCGAGATGTAATCATAAGATTATAGACCACTTCCCCCTCTGACACGTTACCATTCCATCAACAGGGTTCCTGTATAATAAGAGCAGATTACAGCTGGAAGAACTACAAGAAACAGACTATTTAAAAAGGAGTTCTCAGAGAAACCCAGAGAAAGCAGGGGAAAGAAAAACAAGAACGCTAGAGGAATTTGACACCTCTGCCACCTACAGCTAGAACAAACATTAGATATGGCCCATTTCCTACCCAGATTAATATAAAACCTCACATTGAAGGCTTATTTGCCTCAGTTCCTATTACCTGACTTATCATGTCTGACTTAAAAAAAAAATTATAAGACATGCCAAAAGGCAAGAAGTAACACAGTGTGAAGAGACAAAGTAATCATCAAAACCAGACTCAGATATGATGGATTTTCAAGTTTTTAGACAGAAATTTAAAATAACTATGGTTAGTTAATATGTTAAGGGCTCTAAAGAAAAAAGCACACAATACGCATGAACAGATGGTTAAGTGAGCAGAAAGATGACAACTCAAAGACATAATGAAAAATGAAATGCTAGAAATGAAAAACAATGTAACAGAAATGAAGAATACCTTTGATGAGTTCATCAGTAGCCTGGACATGGCCAAGGAAAGAATCAGTGAATTGAAGATATGTCAAAAGAAACTTCTCAAATAGAAATGCAAAGAGGAAAAAAAAAGGAAAAAACAAAACAGAACACAATATCCAAGAATGCTGGAATAATTTCAGAAAGTGTGACAAATATGTAATTGGAATACGAGAAGGAGAAGAAAGAGAAAATAGAGCAGAAGAAATATTCAAGTAGTGATAGCCAAGAATTTTCCAAAAGTAATGACAGACAACAAACCACAGATTCAGGAAACTCATCAAACACCAAGCTGCATAAATATCAAATGATCTAGACTTAGACATATTGAAACCACCTTTGCAAAAATCATGACAGTGAGAGGAATCTAAATTAACTGACTCCATCTTGCTTCTAACCTCACAAGCTGTCCTTGCTCATTCCTGGGTGTATGCCAAGCTAACAATGAGAAGAATTTAGTTTATAGTTTAACTTTAAAACAAAGATTATAACAATCCCTTCCCAAAACTTACCCCCTCCTTGCTCTGGGACCAAAACCACTTTTGTAAAACTAACAAATTGGATACAAGATTAGAATTATGGTTCAGGAGTCATGTAGCTGGAGGTCACATGATCCATAACCACCGCAATTGCTCCTATAGATAACTTCAGTATTGTAAAACCTAAGACTGGGGTTTGAGGTATTTTTCAGACCTTGCATTCTAATGGAACAGCTAATACCACAGGATTGGTAACCAGGTCCTGTGACCCCTACCCAGGAAATGACTCAGCACAAGAACACAGCTTCAACCCCCTGTGATTTCATTCCCAACCTAAGCAATCAGCACTTCCCTGTTCCCCAGCCCCCTGTCTGCCTAACTATCCTTTAAAAAGCCTAGTCTCTGAATTCTTGGGGAGATGGATTTCAGAAACATCTCCCGCTTGGCTGGCCCTGCGATTATTAAATTCTCTCTCTCCTGCAACTCCTACTATTCTCAATGTGTGGCTTTTCTGGGCAATGGACAAGAAGAGTCTAGTTTGGCAATTACAATTTTATATTCAAACTGCAGAATACGAAAGACAGAGAAAATATTGAAAAAAGCCAGGGGGTAGGGAAAAAAAACAAAAAACCCCTACCTGTGAAAGAACAAGGATAAAATTACATCAGATTTCTCATTAAAAACCATGCAAGCAAAGAAAGTGGAAAGAAATATTTAAAGTGATGAAAGAAAAAAAAAGCCTATGTAGGCTTCCATATCCTGTGAAATTAACCTTCCAAGTAAAGTAGAAATAAAGATTTTCTCAAACAAACAAAAACTGAGGAAATTCTTTGCCAGAAAGCCTACTCCATGTGAAAATGTTAAAAGAATTTCTTGACCATCCTGGCTAACATGGTGAAATCCCGTCTCTACTAAAAATACAAAAAATTAGCCAGGCGTGGTGGTGGGCGCCTGTAGTCCCAGCTACTCAGGAGGCTGAGGCAGGAGAATGGCGTGAACCCAGGAGGCGGAGTGTGCAGAGAGCCGAGATTGCACCACTGTACTCCAGCCTGGGCAACAGAGTGAGACTCCATCTCAAAAAAAAAAAAAAAAAAAAAAAAAAAAAGAATTTCTTCATGCAAAGGGAAAAATGATGTGGGCCAGAAACTCAGATTTACATAGAGAAAGAAAGAGCACCAGAGAAGAAATAAATGCAGATATAATAAAATGTTTTCATTTTTCCTACTCCAAGTTAACCTAAAATGAAGCCATTTATTCAAATTAATAGAATCAACAACATATTGAGTGGTTATGGGACATAAATAAATGGAATGACTGGAAGCCCTCCTGTTCTTTTTAACATTGTCAGTCATTTCACAATGTTAAAAAGAACAGGAGGGCAGAATTTGGGACATTCAGTTGCATGGTGTATTCTCTACTCATGAAGTGATATAGTGTAATTTAAAATGGGCATGATTCGCTGTAAATATATATTACAAACTTCAGGGAACCACTAAAAATGTTTTAAAGGAAGTATAATTGATATGCTAAGAAGGGAGAGAAAATAGAAGCATAAAATGCTCAATTAAACCAGAAAAGGCAGGAAAAAAGGAAGAAAAGATAAAAACGATAGGTACAATGAAACATTTACAAATGTGGTAGATATTAATCTAACTATATTAATAATCACTTTAATGCCAATGGTCTAAAACACCAATTAAAAGACAAGAGATCAACAGAGTACATAAAAAACACAAAACACCCGACTATATGTTGTCTATAAGAAAGTCATTGTAAATATAAAAATACAGATAGGTTAAACATAAAGGGATGGAGCAAGATATACCATGCCAACACTAATCAAAGAAAAGGTATAGTAGCTATATCAATTTCAGACAAAGAAGCTTCAGAACAAGGAAAATTGTCAGGGATTAAAGAGGGACATTACATTATGATAAAAGGGTCAATTCTCCAAGAAGGTACACAATCCTTAATGTGTATGCAACTAACAAACTAATGGCAAAATGTATGAGGCAAAAACTGATAGAACTATAAAGAGAAATAGACAAATTCACTACTATTATTGAAGGCTTCAACACTTCTTTTTTATTAATTGACATATCACACAGGCAGAAAAATCAGTAAGGGTGTAGTTGACCTGATGAGCAATAGCAATCAGCTTGGTCTAACTGACACTTATACGGTACTCCATTTAACAATAGCAGAATGCATGTACTTTTTAAGCTCACATAGAATATTTGCCAAGATGTACTTCATTTTGGGCCATAAAACATACCTTAACAAATTTAAAAGAATAGAAATCCTAAAAGTTTGTTCTCAGACCATAAACTAGAAATCAGTAACAGAAAAATAGCTGGAAAATTCCAAAATATTTCCAGATTAACCAAAAGAGTTCTAGGGTCAAATAAGAAGTCCTAAAAGAATTTTAAAAATATTTTGAAGTAAATGAAAAGGAAAACAACTTATTAAAATGAATGGGATGCAACAAAAGCAGCACTTAGAAGGAAATGTATAGTATTAAATGCATACAATAGAAAAGAAGAAAGATCTAAGTCAATAATCTAAGCTTTCATCTGAGGAAACTAGAGAAAAAAGGAGCAATTTAAGCCTGATGCAAGCAGGAAAAAAAATTAAAATTAAAGTGGAAGTTAAAAAAATTGAAACAGGAAAACATTCGAGAAACTTAATGAAACCAAAAGCTGATTTTCTTTTCAAAGAGTTAATTAATAAACCTCTAGCCAGCCTAACAAAGAAAAAAATAGAGAAGACGGAAATCATCAGAATGAAAGAAGGGTCATCACTACGAATTCCATGGACAATGGAAAGGTAATAAAGGAAAACTATGGACTCTACACCTACAAATTTGGTCACAGATGAAATGAACAAATTCTTTAAGAGGCAAACTAACCAAAACTTGCACAAGAGATAGGTTGTCTGAATAGGCCTACATCTATTAAAGAAATTTGAATCGATAATTAATAGCCCTCCAGAAAGGAAAGTACTAGGCCCAGATGGTATCACTAGCTAATCCTACCAGATATTTAAGGAAGAAATGACATCATCCTCCCCAATTTCCTCCAAAAATAAGAGCAGAGGCAACACTTCCTAACTCATTCTTTGAGGTTAGCATTAGCCCATTGTCACCTCTCAGTGCCGTCTTCTTCCTGCTTGGTGACCATGGGCTGGCTGGACTTTGAGCTCCGCTGGCTCATCTTCCCTTCACTAGAGAGCAAGTGAAAGAGAGATGACAGGGATGCCTGTCTGGGAGTGGTGGCACTGGGCACTGAAAACCAGTCTGGTGCCACCACTACTGCTGATAATAGCAATAGCTTTTGCTTTCTTGGGGCTGTACCAGCGCCAGAAGTAGCCTTAGCACAGAGTCCCAATTAGACAAGTTTCCATACATTTTTACATTCCACACATTTTCATTTTTATCAAGAATGTACAGTCATCCCTTGGTATCCAGGGGGAATTGGTTCCAGGACCCTCCATGGATACCAAAATCCATGGATGCTCAAGTCCCTGATATAAAAGGTGTAGTATTTACATATAACCTATGCACATCCTCCTGTATATTTTAAATCATCTCTAGACTTATAATACCTAATACAATGTAAATGCTATACAAATAGTTATACTGTATTTTAAATTTTTATATTACTTTTTATTGTTGTTATTTATGTTTTTAATTTTTAGAAAATATTTTGCATTCATGGTTGGTTAGATCCATGGATACAGAATCCACAGATAAGAAGAAATGACCGTATTGATGTACTTGTCTTTTTTTTTTTTTTTTTTTGAGATGGAATTTCACTCTTGTTGCCCAGGCTAAAGTGTAATGGTGTGATCTTGGCTCGCCAAAACCTCTGCCTCCCTGGTTCAAGCGATTATCCTGCCTCAGCCTCCTGAGTAGCTGGAATTACAGGCATACACCATGACACCCAGCTAATTTTGTATTTTTAGTAAAGACAGGGTT
Source organism: Homo sapiens (assembly GCF_000001405.40). Classification (NCBI taxonomy): domain Eukaryota; kingdom Metazoa; phylum Chordata; class Mammalia; order Primates; family Hominidae; genus Homo; species Homo sapiens. Next base: position 230,226,585 of record NC_000002.12, on the reverse strand, counting down.
TCTCCACGTTGGTCAGACTGGTCTCATTGTCTTACATTTTTTAAAGATGATTTCCAGGCTTCTCTGACCAGATATGTAAAAAATACCAGAACAGAAGAATAAAAAAAGCAGAAGCAGCACTCACTCTCTACCTGCTTGCCTTTTTTGTTGGGTCTCATCTGCTTTCACTTCCTCCTACCAAGTATTCAGAGATCCTGAAGTGATTCTAGGGCTAAGAGCCACATAGATGGGCTCAGAGCAGAACCGGTCCCCAACTACACAGCCTGGAAAGTGTGACAACAGACAGGCGTTTGGATTTTAATTCTTCTAAAAAGATCCTTTTTAGACAGAGTTGTCTTTTGGAGTGGGGATAAAGGAGGCCTGGGGGAGAAGAGAGGGTTCAGAGGTCACGGGGAATCATCCAATCCTACACAAAGCCTCAGAACAGGCATGATGTTCAAACAGCTCCAGTCCAGCCATTTGCAGATGTAAGAGAATAGGAAGATGATGTGAGTCACGGCATCCTTGAGTTTCTCCAACAGCCAATCCCTGCAATTTAAAAAATCTGATTGCCTCGTTATTTATTTGTAACTGAATTCTATTGTATACCTGTAGAGTGAAGCTGGGTAGACATTAAATAACAAGTATGAAAGGGAACCCTACCAGAGATGAAGGACAGACGGGAAAGGAGACGATGACCCACCTGAAGTTGAGATTGCTGTCTCCACTTGCCATCTGCCCCTGCTGGCCCTGCTGGGCCATGAGCTTGGCCTAGGATCACACCCGATTCGATTTTCACTGCCCCGTTCCTTCCTGCAGCTCTGAGGTGAAGCTGCCAACTGCCCCTCGGTGCTCAGTCAAAGAGGAAAAGAAAAGTGAAATTGCCTAACTAGCTGACGTGGGTGCACCAACTCTACAGTCCTCCCTCCACCCAATCTCCATGACGTCTCTCAGTCAAGGGAGGAGGAGCAGAGCCAGCCCCACGAGGCCACGGAAGACAGGGTCACTTGTTCCTGCCAAGGAAAGAGGGTGGAAAAGTCATTCAACTCAAGCAGATCAAAGTTGTTTTGAGGTAAGGTGGCATCATGAGGAGGAAGTAAACTCTGTATTTGTCCCCACCCCTTGCTGAGGTGGCTGAGAAGGACAAGTGAAGACCAGACATTTCAAATCTTCAGTCAGGCTCCAGGGCTGGCCATGCACCTTAGTGAGCCTGGGCTGGATGGCTTAGGCCCAGTGTTTGGACATGGGGCCAGGGAGAACTGAAATAGCATGCATTAGAAAGTGGGGGAGATGCTCTTAGCACTCCATGAAAGCAGACAGAGGTAAAAGACAACTCTCTCAACTCCTCCAGCCAAAGGCAAGTGCTGAGGTTGGGCAGAGAAATGAGGTGCAATTCTAAGTTTTCTCAAATATGTGGGCACTTTACAACAGCAGCCAGGGGTGACTGGGAAAAAAATGAGCTTCAACCATTTCACTGAAATCTTGAGGAGAGTGACAGCCTTCTCACTGGATGGGGAAAGGGTTTGGAGCTGAGATTATCTAGACCTTCAAGGACAATATGATACAGGAGGATAGCTGTATTACATTTATGTTTGCACACAATTTTTCATTTATACCCAGCCCTCATTCTGTAAAGGATTTGAAACAATTTACAAAAACACACTATATCAGCATAAAGTCGAGTGATAAACAAATGGAAGCAAAGGGCAAATATAAAAAATATAACCACAGGACTAGAAATCCAGGCAGAAAAATGGGTCAAAGACAGGGGGCTGATGAGAGCCAGGGTATGGGTAGAATCCAGGGCCAGTGACAGAACAGTAGTGAGGATTGAAAAGCCAGAGGCAAAGCAGTATTTTTCCAAAACATGTGCTCCTGAATCCTACTTTTTCTGGTTCATTACACATATGCAAGGAAATTTGCATACATAAGTTTGCAAAATACAGAGTGCAAGAAATTTCTACCCCTTCCACACTTCTGCTTTCTTTCTACCAAAGGAACAAACACCAATCTGGTTGAGACAAACTCTAGAACACTGATGAGGACACCTTTTCCAGTATCTCTCTCTCTCTCCTCTCTCTCTCTCTCTCTGTCCTCTCTCTCCTCTGTCTCCCTCTCTCTCCCTCTCTCTCCCTCCCTCTCCCTCCCTCTCCCTCTCTCTCCCTCCCTCTCCCTCCCTCTTTAAAACAAGAAGGAAAAGTATGCTGGGCTTCTGTTAGACACAGCTGTCCTCTCCTCCCAGTCTCCATGGGGCTCCAACAAGGCCTGGTACAGACTATACCGCCTGCTCCAGCATCCCCTCTCTCTCTTCTCTCTGCCCTTAGGCAGTAGGCAGACCCAGGACACCAATGAACTGGACATTTTTGAAAATGTGCCAGCTTCTTTTGCTTATAAGCACAAGGCCATTGGTGTTCCTCAGCTGACTGGTGGTAAGATTGGTACTTCAGGGGTACTGCTGCTACTACTAGAAAGCCCTACTTTGCAACACCATGCATTAGCCCAGGTAAGGATAGCCTGAAATTTCAGTTCTATTTCCCACTATCTTGTTTTTCCCTATGCTCACTACAGAACCTCTCCTGGGTAAGGGATTCCTGGGCCAGGCATATGTAGGACCATCAGACCATCTCTGGTTCCCAATGTCTTCCTTTACTGCCACGTGACCAGTGGAGTCAGAAGGCTCCGGCCTGCCTCCTGGCTCTGTTCCCCCATCCAGATTTAGGCCAAGTAGGTCATAATCCCCAAAGGTAAATCAATGCTTTCATTCTACCTGGAAGATTTCTCTTCATTTTGCTAAGCATGCTAGAATCTGACACCTGGAATTGGGGAAATGAATTGTATAGAGTCTTGATCACAATCCAGTGCTGTAATTTAATTTGCCAACTTACCCCTATTTGCCCACAACTCCAAAATTCCTGACTCTGAACGCTAATGGGGATGTTCACTGTTTTTATGTCCAATTATGTCAGATAACCAATCCCAGATTGATCATATTTCCTTGAATATCTCTTGCCTATAATTCAACCTCTGGTGCCCAACATTTTTATCAGTCAGGATTTGGGAGTAAAAGTAATCCAAACTGACTCTGGCTAACTCAGGCAAAAAGTCAATTTCTTAGAACTATATTGGGTAGCTCACAGAATGTATGGGAAAGCCAGAGGACTAGGTTAAGAAAGTAGGCAGTCCAGGCAGGTTATATTGACTCACTTGCCCTTTGTCATAATATAGTTGAAAGATATCTGGATCACCTGGACATCCCATAGAATGTCAGACTGGGCTGGGCATGGTGGCTCATGCCTATAACCCCAGCACTTCGGGAGGCTGAGGCAGGCAGATCACGAGGTCAGGAGATCAAGACCATCCTGGCCAACATGGTGAAACCCCATCTCTACTAAAAATACAAAAATTAGCCAGGTATGGTGATGCGTGCCTGTAGTCCCAGCTACTCAGGAGGCTGAGGAAAGAGAATCACTTGAACCTGGGAGGCGGAGGTTGCAGTGAGCCAAGATTGCGCCACAGCACTCTAGCCTGGAGACAGACCGTGACTCTGTCTCAAAAAAAAAAAAAAAAGTCAGACTGATTGATGACATCATGCTGATCAGACAGGATGAGCAGGATCTTGGTGGCTAGCATACCTGCTAAAGAAGAATAAATTACTGACCCACAACAACAGAGATGAATCTCAAAAGCATGATGATGAGGAAAAGAAAGCCATACACCAAAAATGCATTCCATGTGCCTTCATTGATAAAAAAAAAAAAAAAAAAAACTTTAATACACACGAAACTAATCTGTGGTGATAGAAAGCAGATCAGTGGTTGCCTGGTGCTGGCCTTAAGGAGGGGATTGTTTGCAAAGGTCACAGGGAACTTTCTAGGGTAACAGAAATGGTCTGTATCTTTTTTTTTTTTTTTGAGACAGGGTCTCACTCTGTCACTGCTCACCAGAGACTGGACCTCCTGGGCTCAAGCAATTCTCCCACTTCTGTCTCCCTGATAGCGGGGACCACAGGTGTATGCCAACATGCCCAATTAATTTAAAAAAATGTATTTTTGTAGAGACGAGGTCTTGCTCTGTTGTCCAGGCTGGTCTCAAACACCTGGGCTCAAGCGATCCTCCTGCTTTGACCTCCCAGAATGCTGGGATTATAGGCACAAGCGACTCTCCAGGCCTAGAAATGGTCTACATCTTGACTGGTGTAGTAACTACATTTGGTAAAATGTACATTACAATGAATAAATTTTATACCTCAATAAAATGGAGCTAAAAAGAATTATGTATAATTTATCTCAGTACATAATCACTAGCATGTGAATTAACAGGTGACGTTTTCCCATTATTACCATGTTCTCAAGCATGCATTTTTTTTTTTTTTTTTTTGAGGCGGGATCTCACTCTGTTGCTCAGGCTGAACTGCTGTGGCGCAGTCTCAGCTCACTGCAACCTCCAGCTCCTGAGTTCAAGCGATTCTCATGCCTCAGCCTCCCGAGTAGCTCGGATTACAGGCATGTGCCACCACGCCCAGCTAATTTTTTTGTGTTTTTAGTAGAGACGGGATTTTGCCATGTTGGCAAGGCTGGTCTTGAATTCCTGGCCTCAAGTGATCTGCCTGCCTCAGCCTCCCAAAGTGCTAGCTAAGCTACAGGCCTGAGCCACTGTGCCCAGCCAAGCATATATGGCTTAGAATAAACATCTTTCATCCTCATTCGCAGCTGTCTTTTTTTCATGTAACAATTTTTGCCTGATTTGACATTGACTTTATTTTCCCACTCCTGCTTTACTTTTGTTTGTTTGTTTTGCATTTGCCTGGTGTATCTCTGAATAGATCTAAAGGAAGAAGTTCTTGCTGCCAGGATCCTCAGATGCCCATGAAGGGGCTTTCCAGGTGATGGGGAGGGGCTTCAGGTAAGTGACATGTGACATTTGCATAAAATAACCTTAATTCCTTTACCACCGCCATCCCCTGCATCACAGCGCTGTATGTTACTGCATGCTGAGGCATCAATGCACCCTCTCCTCAGCTGTTAGCATTGAATTTTTCCTGGCTGTGGCTTCCATGCCTCTGTTTCACCCACAGCCATTACCCGCAAGGCCGGGTCTGCTATTCTGTACATACTAGGGTGGGATATGCTGTTTGTGCCTGCATAGAAGGGCTTGCTCTTATGCAGTTAGCCTTGGTTTCAAAGCTTCTTAAACTTTAGATCCATGTCTCCCATCTTTTATCTGAGGAGTTTGTGGATGTCCTGGTAGGGGAACTTGTGGGTCAAATACATTTGAGAATTATTGATTTAATCAAAGTTACATAGAATTCTTTTTTTTTTTTTTTTTCGAGATGGAGTCTTGCTCTGTCACCCAGGCTGGAGTGCAGTGGTGCGATCTCGGCTCACTGCAACCTCCACCTCCTGGGTTCAAGCAATTCTCCTGCCTCAGCCTCCCAAGTAGCTGGGATTACAGGTTCCCGCCACCACATCTGGCTAATTTTTGTATTTTTAGTAGAGATGGGGTTTCACCATGTTGGCCAGGATGGTCTCAAACTCCTGACCTTGTGATCCACCCATCTCAGCCTCCCAAAGTGCTGGGATTACAGGCGTGAGCCACCGAGCCTGGCCCAAAGTTACACAGATTTCTATAGTGCAGTGGTGCAATCATAGCTCACCGCAGCCTTGAACTCCTGGGCTCAAGCAAGTCTCCAGCCTCAGCCTCCTCACTAACTAGGACTACAAGGTGCATGCCACCACACTCAGTTAATTTTTTATTTTTTTATTTTTTGTAGAGATGGGGTCTCACTATGTTGCCCAGACTGGTCTCAAACTCCTAGGCTCAAGCAATCCTCCCATCTTGGCCTCCTAAAGTCCTGGGATTATAGGCATGAGCCACTGTGCCTGGCCAATAGTTTAGGATTTTTCATAGGCCCCACATGTCAATGTACATTAGGGATCTTTAAAAGGGGCATGAGAAGGGGTGTCCCTGCCAGCCCTTGAGTTACTGCTCTCTGGAATCAGCAGGTCCCAGTTCTGCCTCAGACTCCTGGCTCCCAACTACCTGCCCAGCTCTCAGCCATTTTTCTGCCTGGAGGTCTGCCTGCCTCTGCACAATTCCAGTTCATGTGCAGGTTCCCTTTCATTTCAATTTCTTCCTGTAATAATCTTATCCTGACAAGTTCTAGGCATTTCTGGCACATTCTCTTTGTTTTTTTGTGTGTTGTTAGAGTTTGATAACACACTGGATAAATTCCAGTGAATTCATTCAGTTATGTAAACATCACCACAATCCAGTTTGAGAACATTTTCATCAACCTAAAATGTACAGAATGAGGACAAGTCATGGGAAAATAGATGTGGTTAGGGAAGCATTTGGACGCTGAGTTCCCAGTTCCTATTGCCGCTGGGGCTGTACCCTTATGCCTCCTCCTCCCATACCTCCCTCTCTGGGCTGATCCCAACTGGCAACACGCCCTCCCCCAAACCCCAACTGCCAAGACGTCCTGGGAGCCTCACAAGTGCCCATGAGGAGGTGGAGAGAGGCTGCAGGCACCGACCTGCCTTCAGCTTCCGGCTTGGCAAACTCCGAAAACTTTCACTTTTCTTTTCTCGGAAGCCCGGCCCCTTACTGCGTTTGTCAAAGCACAGACTTCCTGTTTTGCCTGCTAGCATCTCCCTGTAACTCTCCCAATCTTGAGGAGTGATCCCTGTCCCAGCCCCTGGAAAGGGGCAGGAACGACAAACTCAAAGTCCAGGTGAGTTTCTGTCTTTGCTGCTTTATTCTTCGCTCTTGGTGACTGCAGCTCTTAGAGTTAACTTCGCGGCAGCAGCTGCAGGGTGGAGTTCAACTATTTAAACTCTGAGGCTCTCTCAGAGCTCAGACATGTGGTACTTATTAGGAGACTGTTAAAAGGGGGCACATGGAGGGAACACTGACACCTCTTTTTTTCGCCAGAGTCCAGCCTGTTATTGTGAATGGAGCCGAGATTTGCCCTCTACCCTCACCTAAGCTCTGATCCTTCAGTGCCCGCAATAGGCGGCTCATCTGTTATCCATTGTGTAAATGACTAGAGGTACTTGGGAAGCTGGTGGAAAAGAAAAAAATGAGAGTACATTTAATTTCGTCTCTAGTGTATCATGAACTTTTTATATATTTTCTCTAAATACATGATTATTTCCTTGAAATAAATTATTAGAAGTGGAAATTCAAAGGAGCACATGTTTTAGGACATTTGACACTGATTACTAAATCAGCCTTCAGAACATTTGGACCTGTTGACCTTCCCACTCACAGTGTCTGAGATTATTACTATTATTTTCTATCTTGGCCAATTTGATAGACAAATATGTTATCAAATTGTCTTCATTTACACTTTTTTTGGTTGTTTGTTGTTGTTGTTTTCTGAGACGGAGTCTCGCTCTGTCACCCAGGCTGGAGTGCAATGGCACCATCTCAGATCACTGCAACCTCCACCTCCCAGGTTCAAGCGATTCTCCTGCCTCAGCCTCCTGAGTAACTGGGACTACAGATGTGCACCACCACGCCCAGCTAATTTTTGTATTTTTAGTAGAGACAGGGTTTCACCATGTTGGCCAGGCTGGTCTCGAACTCCTGACCTCAGCTGATCCGCCCACCTCAACCTCCCAAAGTGCTGGGATTACAGGCATGAGCCACCATGCCTGGCCTTCTTTATGCTTTCTACTAGCTAGTTAACATGCTTATCGTATTATTCATTGCACATTTGGCTTATTCTTTTATCACTCTCTGTTCATGTATTTTGCTTTTTTATTTTCTAGTTGGATGTTTGTCTTTTGCTTATTCGTTTGCAAAATCTCTTTACATAATAAAAATCTGAACAGTCATATATGAGATGTAGTATCTTGCATAGAAAGAAACAGGGCTTTAGAGTCAGACAAGCTCTGCTTTGCCACTGAATACCTTGGGTGAGTTACTAAACCTCTCTGTGCCTCCCTTTCATCTTTGGGACTCATGACAGATGAAGAATGAGGAAGCTCTAGACTTCCTGTTCTGAGCGCTGCTGTATAATGAATTGTTCTAAAAGGAGCCTCCAAGACCCCTTCCTCTTCTTAGTATATGTTTACTCTGCCTTTCTCTGACTTTGCACTGATCTTTGCACTATCTCCTTCCCCTGTGCATATTGTGGATAGTAGATTTCTCTCCTATCTGTTCTCTATCTTCCAAGACTTCTTTACCACCACAGACTCTCAATGGCATCTTTTCTTGTTTTCCTATGCGATTGCGGATTATTCTTTTCATGAGTATTTTTTTCTGCCAAGTTAAAAAAATTGGGGAATGAGGAGAAAGAGACTAGGGTGCTTAATCTGCCACTGGGATTAAATCCCTGTAAACAGTTGTTAATTACGATTTACTTTTCTGTTCAACACAAAATGAAGTTGGAAAAGTGGAATCCATGTTTGTTCTGTTTGTTAAAAACTGTCAAGTTGATTGAATGTTTTGTTAGTGCTTTTCCTTTTCTTGACAATTTGTCAAGAATGTCATTTGTAAACTTTCTTCCCATTATAACCTATTGATATCTCCTCACAGTCCATAAATGGCCAATCTTTAATACATGCTGCATGGGCATGGGAAAAGGCGCATGTCTGAGACATGAAATGGTTGCAGTGAACAAGTCAGTTAAGTCACTTTTACTAAGTATGCCTTTCTCAGCCCTCATGCTTTTATTTATGCTTGGCCCATTTGTGTTGAAGATTGGGAGTGGTTCGTTAAAGTTTCCAAATATTACCAGGTTTCCAGCTGAACTCTACCCATTTTAGGGTGGTCCCTGTTGCATGAGCATTGCTAGTTAATGGCTTCAGCCGTAGCCCAGGTCATCTTGTTTAACCCAGATCAGTGTGGCCATAGAACACATAGTTAGCACTGTAAGCCTGGAATCAGGATTTGCTCCCAGCTCTTCCACTCTCTAGTTGTGCAACCCTGGGGCAAGTTATTAAACATTTCTGTGTCTCAGTTCCTCAACAGTATAAACAGGTGCAGTCATAGGAACCACCTCGCAAGGGTTTTATGAAAATCAGATAAGTTACTGCATATGAAACCCTTAGAACAAAGTCTGGCACACAGGAAACACTCCATAAATATTAGCTACTTTTAATACCTTCCTTATGTTTACCTGCAGCGCCTTGGGATTCTGTCATTATATTTTCAGTCACTCTCAGCCTCCATTGTTGCTGGGAATTGTCCTTGTTTCCTATACCCATGAGCCTTTTAGGCAGACATTGCTTTGCAGGCTACTAAGGATGCCTTTGGGACCAGAATGCTTACCTTTAGATCTGCCCATTTAATGCAGAGAGAAGCTTCCCACATTCCTCAAGGTTTTGCTTCTATTTTTTTTTTTTTTTTTTTTGAGATGGAGTCTCACTCTGTCACCCAGGCTGGAGTGCAGTGGCACAATCTTGGCTTACTGCAACCTCCACCTCCCCGGTTCAAGCAATTTTCCCGCCTCAGCCTCCCAAGTAGCTGGGACTACAGGCGTGCGCCACCACACCCAGCTAATTTTTGTATTTTTAGTAGAGACAGAGTTTCACCATGTTGGCCAGGATGGTCTCAATCTCTTGACCTCAGGTGATCCACCCACCTCGGCCTCCCAAAGTGCCGGGATTACAGGCATGAGCCACCGCGCCCAGCCTTTGCTTCTATTTTTTATCATGCCTCTTTCCATAGGATGTTCACCATGACAAGAGCCATGGAAGAGGCTCTTT